>NC_000010.11:100597640-100900671 GCF_000001405.40 Homo sapiens | reverse complement strand
AAAATACAAAAATTAGCTGGGAGTGGTGGCGGGCGCCTGTAATCCCAGCTACTCTGGAGGCTGAGGCAGGAGAATCACTTGAACCTGGGAGGCAGAGGTTGCAGTGAGCCGAGATCGAGCCACCGTACTCCAGCCTGGGTGACAAGACTCCGTCTCAAAAAAAAAAAGAAGACATTTTCAGGCTGGGGAAGAAGGTATATTATGGAAAAAAAAAAAATCAATATGATTTTTCCTAATGTTGGAATCAGAAATGTGGTTGGTGAACATTACAAAGTGGGCATTTCATTTACTATTTTGTAAGGCAGACAGAAACCAGAGCCAAGAACTAACAAAAGTAAAAATTTTGTAAGCTTTTTCCCACCCCACACTTGTTATTGCTATTCCTCGTTTGCTTCTAGGAGTGATGGCAGAAAACACTTACAACTAATAGAGTCTGTGTGCTGGTCATCAGATGCATTAACACAGCAGGGAGTTTAGGAAGCTACATGCTGTTTCTAAGCCAGGCTTAGGGGAAAGGACCCCAGAGGATGGGTGGCAACCTCCAAAGGAGAGGAAGCAGTTTCAGTACCTAGGTCTGCAGCAAAGAAGGAAGAAGAGAGCTTTGGGTGAGGTACACTTGGGAGGTAGCAGTTGGTCTTGAGAAAGGGCCAAGCAGCAGCAAAATTCATGTGTGAACAAAGGTTTCGAAGCAGCATTGTCTGCAATAGCCAAACTGGGAACGAGTCAGGTGTCCACCAAAAAGGAATTATTAAATAAATTACAGAACAGCTTTACCATGGAATAGCAGACAACCATTAAAAAGACTGGAGAGGGCTGGGCACGGTGGTTTATGCCTGTAATCCCAACACTCTGGAAGGCCAAGGTGGGTGGACCACTTGAGGTCAGGAGTTCGAGACCAGCCTGGCCTACAGGGCAAAAATCCCGTCTCTACTAAAAATACAAAAATTAGCCAGGCATGGTGGCGGGCACCTATAAACCTAGCTACTCAGGAGGCCAAGGCAGGAGAATCGCTTGAACCCTGGGGGCAGAGGATGCAGTGAGCTGAGATCTTGCCACTTCACTACTCTAGCCTGGTCAAAAGAGCGATACTCTGTCTCAAAAAAAAAAAAAAAAGCCTGGAGAGGATCTAAAGGTGCTGACATGAAAAGATAACTGAGATATTTTAGTGAATTATGAAAGTGAAAAAAGCAAAGTCTACAATAACATGCATATTGTGAAATTCCATTTGTATGTGGGTTTTCTTTTTAAGGATAGCCATGCAATGTTTTCTTACATATTCTTGTATATACATAGAAAATGTCTGGAAAGAAATAACATAAGACTGTTAGTGCCTCACCCCACTCAGCTCTCTAAGATTGAGAAATACTGAGGGAGGCACCAAGGAATTACTACTTTCTTTTTTTTTTTTGAGATGGAGTTTCACTTGTATTGCCCAGGCTGGAGTGCAATGGCGCGATCTCGGCTCACTGCAACCTCCACCTCCCAAGTTCAAGCGACTCTCCCGCCTCAGCCTCCTGAGTAGCTGGGATCACAGGCATGTGCCACCAGGGCCGGCTAATTTTTGTATTTTTAATAGAGACAGGGTTTCACCATGTTGGCCAGGCTGGTCTCGAACTCCTGACCTCAGGTGATCCACCCACCTCGGCCTCCTAAAGTGCTGGGATTACAGGCGTGAGCCACTGTGCCTGGCAGGAATTACTACTTTCAACTTTATAATCTTTTATTCTGTTGGAAAGTTTTAAAAACCATTTATAATTAAAAATTTTTCTTTTCTGCAAAAGGCTTTGAGCGTTTCAGCCAAGTGAATTTCAGGATTTACAATATATGAAAGCATATCTCTCAATGCTAATTTCAAATAAGAATATGGGCTTTAGTCTTCTGCTTTTTTCTTTTACTCAGGATGGTGGACAAAATTGCAGTATTAATATACGCTCTTTTCATGCACATGCAGAATATTTAGAAAGAATGACTGTTCTAAGCCATGGAAGGATTCAATGAGATGTCAATAAATGGATAGCACACAAATAATACTCTCTGTCTACAATGCAATACAATTAGAAATCAGAGACAAAAGTACTATATTTAAGTAATAGTTAAATAACCAATTTACGACACAGTCCAATTCTACATTCTCTCTCTAACAGAGTTAAGACAAAGGAAAAACTTGTACTAATGAAACTTTGATGATTTTTACCTTCACTCCTAAATATTATTATTTTTTCTCACCAATGGATTCACATCACACTCTCCTAATTATGAAGAGAACATTCATTGCTCCTGAGTTGAACTACATGTAAATAAATGAATGAGTTCATTTATATCTCACCTCCTCCCATAAAGATTTGAAGGCAGTTCAGTTGCTTGTGAACTCAATTCTGAATCTGGAGAAACCTTCCTTGCCAGTTAGTGGTTGTAACACTAATTTATTAAAGCCATGAAAAATTCCTCCAAGATCCTAACCCTTGGCTACAGGCACCAGCATTTGAAAGACTCTGTTTTTCTCTGGAGAGGAGCTCACACGCCTGCCAGGCACAGTCATGCTTAGATACAGACATAGACAGATCCCCAAATATATCTTATGTGAAAGAAAAAAAAAGTTGCAAGACAATGTGTAATATGTACTGTATGAATTGTTAGATTATCTAATTTGCAAATCAGGTATATGCTTGGGGCACCAAGAAAGCAAAAGACAAAAAAAAAAAAAAAAACCAGACACAAAAACCTAAAAAACCCCACAACTTTTTGAAAGAATACATTTAAAAAATACTGAAATAAATATTAAAGAAAAAATTAAAACTTTGACTTTTTGCTTATTTTTTTTTTGTTTAGTATTTTAATTTTGAATTATACATGTGTAGGGCCAGGGGACAGAGTAACCATTTTTAGGCTTAGGGTTGCTTAAGTTCTAAGTCTGGCTATGATTTTATAAAAATATTTTATATAAATTTCAAAATTTATATTATATTTTTATATTATATTTACATTTTTAATTTTATTATAAAAATAAATTTTGTAAACTTTACATATATATTTATATCTATTAAATATTCATATATGCAGGGAAAGCAATCTGGATAAATACACCTCAACTTAAAAGTGGTTATATCTCTGAAAGACAGGATTTTAACATCTACCTTATATGTTTCTGTAACTTTTGACATTTTCACAATGAGTATGAGTTATTTTTGTAATCAGGAAAACAATGAAGGTTAAAAACAACATAAAATATAAAGTGCAGGCAGTGGACAGTTAGGCCTTGTCCAAGAATGTCACTCGTCAGTTGTATGGTTGTGTGTGGTCTCACCTCGGTGTAGGCTACTGAGATATTGCTGCCCAGTCTGAAGCTTCACCCTTGATTCACTGCAGTTTCCTTTGATTCCTCTGTCCTGCTGCTGCCACCTCTGACCTGTGTTCCCCTTGTCAGATGGGGCTTGCTTGACATTCATCTGACTATTAAGATTCCAACCCCTATTTTTCTCTTTTCCAGCTGACCCCCTGGAATTGACATTACCTCAGACCCTCTAATAAATCATCAGCTCTTTTTCCTATGTAAACAGACCCTCTGGGCTGTCTTCTTGTGTGATTCAGAGCTTTATGTAAATATTCTGGCAAGCTGGGTCAATATAAAATGTGGACGTGGGGCCGGGCATGGTGGCTCGTGCCTGTAATCCCAGCACTTTGGGAGGCAGAAATGGGAAGATTACTTGAGGCCAGGAGTTCGAGATCAGCCTGGGCAACATATCAAGACTTCCTTCTCTACCAAAAAAAAAAAAAAAATTAGCTGGGCATGACGGCATGCTCCTATAGCCCTAGTTACTTGGAAGGCTGAGGTAGGAGGATTGCTTGAACTCAGGAGTTTGAGGCTGCAGTGAGCTATGATTGTACCACTACACTCCAGCCTGGGTGACAGAGATTCTGTTTCTAAAATAAATAAATAAATACATACATAAGTAAATGAAATGTAGATACAATCATTTAAAGATATTGAGCACAGTGAGTTTTCATAAGCTGTGTTTAAATGGGAGGTAGCAATGGTACCAGCATAAAAGCCAGCTTTGGCCAGGTGCGGTGGCTCACTCCTGTAATCCCAGCACTTGGGAAGGCTGAGGCGGGCGGATCACTTAAGGACAGGAGTTCGAGACTAGCCTGGCCAACATGGTGAAACCCTGTCTCTACTAAAAAATACAAAAATTAGTCATACGTGGTGGTGGCCACCTGTAATCCCAGCTACTCGGGGGGCTGAGGGAGGAGAATCACTTGAACCCGGGAGATGGAGATTGTAGTGAGCTGAGATCATGCCACTGCACTCCAGTGCACTCCAGCCTGGGCAACAGAGTGAGATTCTGTCTTAAAAAAAAAAAAAAGCTAGCCTTTCCCGGGCGGAGGATGCTCACTGGAACACAGAGCCGGACAAAAAGTGGCCAGTTGGCAGCAAGGAGACTACAATGTTTGGAGAGGAGGGGTATCAGGTGGTGATGGGGGACTTTGATGGGCTGAGGGGACTTCTCTGAGTGGAGAATTCATCAGGGGCTGGTGCTTCCTGAAGACAAAGGCTGCTGGGGCCAACTGGGATTTACTGGGCTTTAGCTAATCCTTGGTTTGGAGACACACAGATTACCTGTCTGGCCTATTTGTTAATGTGTTATACAGAGATGAAAACCCAATAAAAGAGAGGCCTGGGAGAACAGAACTCCTGTGAGGTGAGAGGCCCCCTCCCCAATGTAAAGCTGATGGCCACTCTGAGTGGGTCTTGCTTGATGGATAGTTGGCTACCCAAGGAGAGAGAGAGGGAGGGAGGGAGAGAGGGAGAGAGAAAGGAGAGAGAGTTGAAAGGGAGGGTAGCACCCAGTGAGGGCTTCCAGTAACCATTTCAGAAAGGAGTCGATGGCACAGATGGGAGAACTGCAAAAAAAATTTAAAAAGAAAGAAAAAAAGACAAACCAAAAATAAAGGAGTCAAGAGGCAGGCGGGGGAACCAAACCTTGTTACACCTGTAAGATTCTTGATTATGTGTGGCTTCCTCAATCGTGTTGTTTATATTTTCCACGTCTGTTTCCATGGTGATTAGCAGTAAATCAGTAGCAGCAAAGCAATAAAAGCTTTAAAATAAAATGTATTTGTCTTTGGGGAGCAGCAAGAAAGGAGGAGCTGGGGAGGCTGGCAAAGGTACCTCCCCAAGGAGAGGAAAGCAGGCTGGTTCCAGGACCCACTGCAAGAAGGTGAAGGAGATCTAGACTTGGCAGCAAGCTTGGGTGGAGGAGGATCCTTGGGGCTTATTTAAAAAACAACTACAACAACGAAAACCCCAGCCCTTCTATTATTTTGCTTGTCCTTCCATTGTGGCATTTATTTCACACCTACTTGGAGATAATAAATTACCCTGTGGTCTGGGTGCGGTGGCTCACGCCTGTAATCCCAGCATTTTGGGAAGCTGAGGCGGGTGGATCACTTGAGTCCAGGAGTTTGAGACCAGCCTGACCAACATGGAGAAACCCCGTCTCTACTAAAGCTACAAAAACTAGCCGGGCATAGTGGCACACGCCAGTAGTCCCAGCTACTTTGGAGGCTGAAGTGAGAGGATTGCTCAATCAAGCCCAGGAGGCAGAGGTTGCAGTGAGCTGAGACTGAGCCACTGCACTCCAGGCTGGGTGACAGAGTGAGATTCTGTCTCAAATAAATAAATATGTAAATAATCCTGTGATCATTTGCTTTTATATTTTCAGCTAGATGTAAGAATGAAACCATGTCTCACGTGTTCCTATATTCCCAAGCAGCTGATACAGAACAGGGCATGTTTCAAGGGCTCAATATATTTTTCTTTCTTTTTTTGGTTAAAAAGAATCTTACTTCTATATACATATGTATAATGCATAAATGTGCCCTTTTTACTTCCTCTTTTTGCTTGGCTTCCTCCTCCCCATCTTCTCAAAGTCATACAATCATATGCAAATAGAATGCACACATACATATATAGATTTTTTTGTCTATATATATTTCAAAAAATATGATTATATGATATTATACACTTTTCTGCCACTTGCTTTTTTTTTTCCCTCAACAATACCTTGGAAATCTACCAAGCAAACTTCTGCAATACAATCTCATTCTTTTTTTTTTTTGAGATGGAGTCTCACTCTGTCGCCCAGGCTGGAGTGGAGGGACAAGATCTTGGCTCACTGTGGCCTTGACCTCCCAGGTTCAGGTGATCCTCCTACCTCAGCCTCCTGAGTAGCTGGGACTACAAGCACAAGCCACCATGCCTGGCTAATTCTTTGTATTTTTTTTTATAGAGATGGGGTTTTGTCATGTTGCCCAGGCTGGTCTTGAACTCCTGTACTCAAGCAATCAGCCTGCGTCAGCCTCCCAAGGTGCTTGGATTACAGGTGTGAGCCACCATGTCTGGCCCGTCATTCTTTTTAATAGCCAGAGGTGTGGCTGTGCTATATATAACTTATTCAAGGTGTGGCTCAGCTGGAGCTCCTGGATTTCTGGAGCTGATTGTTCACATTTCTTTCCAACCTGGCACTCAGTGACATCAGGCTGGTAGCTTGAAATGAGGCATGACGGGAATATTCACATCATAGAAATCTGCAAACACTGCAAACCAGGGCTTTTTCCTGGTTTTAACTAGCATACCACTCGGTGCCTATTACTGGGTTTTAATTTGTTTCTGTCTTTTTTCCTCAGGGATGGGGAGAAGAATGGCCAGTACAAACAATCCTAATATGTATGTGTGTGTGTGTGTGTGTGTGTGTGTGTGTGTGTGTGTGTGTGTGTGTGTGTACGTATGTATGTATAATCTCTTGGCATTTGCTCTTCTATGGGATATAAGAGTGTGATTGATGGGTCAAAGGGAATATATATTTTCAATTTCTAAAGATGTTTCCAGATTATAGAGGGTTGTGGAAATTTGCATTTCTACCAGCAGTATAAAAACTGTTTTCCTTCTATCCCTGTCAGCAATGGAAATTACCCTCATTTTAATTTTTGCTAGTCTAAAAGGTATAAAATAATATCTCATTGTATTTTAATTTGCATCTCTCTGAATACTAATAATTTTGAGCTTCTTTCCCTATGTGTGTTGACCATTTAAATATGCTCTTTTGTGAGGTGTCTGTTGATGCCCTTTGCCTATTTTTCTATTATTTGTATCCCTTTTGTCCGTTTATAAAATCTTTTTATTTTTAAAAAATCATCTGTCCTATACATTACAAATATTTTCTCCCAAATCTGTTGTTTGTCTACTGACTTTGTTTTATCTTTTGCCATACAAAAGTGTTTTTTAATTGTTATAAGGTAAAATAAAATGTGTCTATATTTTCTTTTATAGCTTCTGGATTTCCAGTCTTGGTTTACAAAGCACCTCCCTTCCTGCCTCCATATTGAACATGTAGCCTCCTAAATTTCCAAGTTGTTATTGTCTTATTTTTTACATTTGTTTTTAATCTATATGGAGTTTATATTTGTATGTGGTATAAAATAGGAGTCCCATTTTATTTTCTTCCAGATGGAAGTTGTCTTGGTGCCATTTATTAAATAATCCATTCTTTCATGGAATTGAAACACGAAGTATGTCATATAGTAAATTTTCATGTATATACTTGGTCTATTTCTGGGTTCTCTATTTTATTCCAGTGATCCATTTATCTATTCCCATGCCAATACCAAATTGATTTAATTACGGTGGTTTTATAGTACATTCTGTTGTCTAGGAAGACAAGTCTCACCCTTTATGTTTCTTTTTTTAACATATTTTTTGCCATTCTAAAGCATTTATCCTTCTATATAATTTTAGGATGATTTTATTTAATTTTTCCTCCAAATCAAAACTTTTTTGTTATCTAATTAGAATTGTATCAAATGTGTCCATTAATTTTGGAAAAGTTGACATTTTCATCAATATTCTTTTATCCATTCCAAATATATTTACTGAGTACCTACTTTGCAACAAGCTCTGGAGATACAGCAGTGAAGAAGACAGACATGGTCCCTACTGTCTTTGAGTCCAGGTTGTTTTGTTTATAAATAAGTGGTCCAGTAATTCCACTCTTGGGTGTATACCCAACAGCAATGAGTGCTAATAACAACAAAACCAGGTGCAGTGGTGCACATCTGTAGTCCCAGCTACTCAGAGGTAGAGGCAGGAGGATCACTTGAGGCCAGGAGTTTGAGGCTGCAGTGCATCATGATCATGTGGGAGAATAGCCACTGCACTCCAGCCTGGGCAACACAGTGAGACCCCCATCTCTAAAAGAAAAAAAATGAGTGCTAACATCCACCATGAAACAGACACAAGAGTATTCATAGCAGTTTTATGCATAATAGACAAAAACTGGAAGTAACACAAATGTTCCAACAGTAGAATGCATAAATTGTGGTATATTTCTACAACGGATTACCACACAAGAGTGAAAAAGAATGAACTATTGATTCCCACAACACCATAGATGAATCTCACAGATATATTGAGCATGAGAAGGTAAACACAAAAGAGTATATACTAAGTGATTCCATTTCTTTTTTTTTTTTTTTTTTTTGAGATGGAGTCTCACTTTGCTGCCCAGGCTGGAGTACAGTGGTACGATCTGGGCTCACTGCAAGCTCTGCCTCCCGGATTCACACCATTCTCCTGCCTCAGTCTCTTGAGTAGCTGGGACTACAGGTGCCTGTCACCATGCCCGGCTAATTTTTTTTTTTTTTGTATTTTTAGTAGAGATGGGGTTTCACCGTGTTAGTCAGGATGGTCTCGATCTCCTGACCTCGTGATCCGCCCACCTCGGCCTCCCAAAGTGCTGGGATTACAGGCGTGAGCCACTGCACCCAGCCAAGTGATTCCATTTCTATGAAACTTAAAAAACAGGCAAAACTTATTTAGAGAGAGGGTAGAATGTGGCTACTTTTGGGAGGTGGATGCATATTGACTGTGAGGAGACACGAGGGAATCTTCTGGAATGGGGGTCATGCTTCACATTCGATCTGGCTGGTGGTTACATGAATACACATACAGTATACCTTCATCAAGCCAGACACTGTGAACCATCCATTTTACTGTCTGCAAGTTGTACTTCAATTAAAACCAAAAAGGATAAAGGTAAACTTTTCCACACAGAATTCCCCCCTCCACATCAGGGTGCCTAGGATAAGCAGCCATCCATCTGTGGACCTCTGTCTTATGCCTTCTCCATCTCTGAAACACTGAGTTTTCTAGTGCTTTCTAGGCTGGGCTATTGCAATCTGGAATCTACAGCAGCTGCTGCTCATATCATCATTTTCCAGCCCTCCTTTAAAAAACGCATTAAAAAAAATCTTGATGGACTACAGTATTGTGGAAAAGCAACAGACCTGGACCAGCGAGCTCAGACTCCCTCTCCCCGACTGGTCAATGAGAAACCCTGGGTTTATGTGCCTTACCCCCAAAAGAGTTATAAAGTTTAGTAAGTGCCTGGAAAGCAGGCAAGACTCTGCGATGCAATCTGGATCACCCATTACCAATTTGCTTTGCTCATCCACCGTAGTGGCTGGGCCTTATGCTTCCTAGGGGAAAATGAGCAGTTTGAATGCCTGCCCCCTCCTTCTCTCCTCTCCCATCTTATCCACTCTCCTCCCTTTGTTCTCCATTAATGTGTTCTCTAATGTGGGGGTGCCCATATTTGTGGCTATTTGGGGAGAAAACTTTGAGCCAAACTTGGGGCTTCACACATAACCCCAAGTTGTAAGCATGCGATGTAGCCTGCAGAGGTTACAAAAGGCAGATTACCATGTGGTGCTGCGGTTGCAGTTATTTCATGCCATTTTGTATTTCCGCTCTCTAGGGTAGTGACTCACTGCTTTCCAGTTCAATGTGAGGACATGTCCCACAGTGTTGACTGCCTGATGCTCCTGGAGGACATTCCTAACCCACCACTCACCAAGTTATTAGAAATCTAACTCCGAAATCACTAATCCCCAAATAGCCTCTATTCTCTCAACTGCTGGCTTCCTTGCTTTGATTTTATGCACAGTAGTTCTAAACTCAAGGCCAAAAATTCTACCCCATGCCGAGCCACTTTCAAAGGAGAACCAATATGCTAGGACTAGAGGGGGATTTGAATAGCAGCTAATTGTCAGTTTGTCTAGTGAATAAAGCTTCCTCTCTCCCCTGAGCAAGCTGGTTATTTGTTAAAGTTTGCTGGGGTTTTGGAGCACCTCACTGTTAGGGGCAGTTCAAACTCAGCAGTTTTAATTATTAATCAGGTCAAAGGCTGATGACAATTTTTCCTCTCTTCAGGGGAGGGTCTTGAGAGTTCACAGGAGGGGATGTCCAAGCCCTGTCCTGTGACGGGGTGGAAAGGAAGGAGAGAGGGAAACAATTCAAGTCAGACCAGTCCCGAGTTCCTAATGGTTCCTTTGCCCTAGACAGACCGTATTGGAAAGTCGCTTAATCTGCCTCTGGGTTCATTTTAAGCGAATATAGGTCTTCATCCTTTCCAGGGGGTTGTAGCTTTCTGAGTTGATAAAAATTCCAGACTTGATAGAACATGTTAAAATGTTGTACCCTTGCAAATTGGAGTGCAGAAAAGGTGGTATGCTCTTCAAATGTGTCTACTCTGAGGTATCACCTTCCTCGGGGTGAGAATGGGGAGGGGTGCCTTCTGCTTGAGCACATGTAGAAAAGGCGTGAGGCTTTTTCCAGTTTGAGTTTGTAACATTTTCAAATACAGCCCTTCCTCCCACACTTCTTTCCTGATCCCTGTGGGTCTCCTTTCTCCTTTTGGCCTGAGACCCCAACTTGACAAGATCCAGAAAGGTCTCTTTTACATCTGCCTATTTGTTAGCCATTCTAAACTATTCCAGCAGCCTCTGCCTCCCACCCTCGTTGCTAGGCAGATTCCCTGGTTGCTAGGCCACCACTGCTCCTTCCCTGCCTCAAAAAGAGGTACGAATTTCCGGTGACCCACTCAACCATCCACCCACCCACTCACACACTGACAAAACAAATAGGTCCTAAACACCTACTAGATGTGAAACTCTGAGCCCAGCGTAGAACAGTTCCAAATGGAAAGAGAGATGGCAAATCCAGGGGTATCTGATATAGAGGTGACCAGTTGTGGGGGTGATGAGCATGCTGTCTCCTGGGAGTTTTCTCCGGGAACAGCCATAGACTGGGATAATTTTCTCTGACCCTCAGCCTTTTGGGTGCAGAAAACTCATTTTCTGCCCAACCAGAAACAGATCCTTGTCCTAGTGGCAAAAGCATATTGATCAGGCTTGAGAGACTAATGCCTAAAACCAGAAAGTGAATTTATTAATTTATGATGTGAATGAAGTCTGTCACATGGATCCAAGATAATCTACTTTTCTAGAAATGATGGTGTCACCGAAGGATATTGGAGAGCTGGTATAGAGCACCAGTTTGCATAGGAAAGGGAGTATATCTGTATATCTATATTAATTTTAACATTCTTACTATATGTCAGGCAAAATGCTAGATGGTTTACAGATGCAATTTTATTAGTTCCTCCTATCAACCATGAGAGGGAGCTACAAAACACTCCTTCCAATGTCACAGAAAAAGCAGTTCCAGTTAAACGACTTAACTCAGGTCTTCCAGCTAATAGATGACAGGACCAGAATTTGAACCCCAAAGCCCATGGTTGGACCAATGGATTCCAGCTACCTGGCAATAGTAGGCTGACACGTTAGCTTGGGGGCAAGTTGGGTAATGGATGCTAAGGCGCTGATGAATGAGCCTGATGGAAATTTCCAATAAATGATGGAACATGTGGAAGTGGAACTCTGTTGAACCTACATCTAGAGATGGGAATTGGAGGCATCATCTAGCATTTAGCTCACTTCTTCTGGAGGTGCTCTGAGAGAACAGTTTCTCAATTCTTGGTGATAGTTGATACGTATTTGTGCTTGTTAGCTCCAGTGTAGCAGTGGAATATAGGAAGGTCATGTGGGCTGGCATCTAAATGGTGGGGAACAGGGGACCTAAGAGGGATTGCTAGGGCTGGGAGCTCAGAAGGAAAGGCTTCTGGAGTAATAGCTTCACCACCATCCTGCCAGACAGACATCAACCCAAGAGTCCCAGCACCTAAAGCTACCAAGAGACCAAGATCTTAGCTTTTTTTGTTGTTGTTTTTTAAAGAGACAAGGTCTCACTCTGTCACCCAGGCTAGAGTACAGTGGTGTTCACTATGACTTCAAACTTCTGGGCTCAAGCTATCCTCCTGCCTCAGCCTCCCAAGTAACTAGGACTGTAGGTGGGTACCACCACGCCCAGCTAGCTTTCTAAAAAATTTTCTTTGTAGACATAGGCTCTCACTATGTTGTCCAGGTTGGTCTTGAACCCCTGGCCTCAAACAATTCTCCCACCTTAGCCTTCCAAAGTGCTGGGATTACAAGTGTGAATCACCATGCCTGGCCAATTTTAGCTTTAAGGAAAGGTAGAAGCAGCCTTGGGGAGAAGGTCGCATGTTTGTGGGTGGAGCAGAGTCACTGAGCTCTCTGGAAGGGGCACCCCGGAACCGGCATAAGAAGGTCGGCAGAGGAGTGCATTCCTCGTTCAGGGGCCAGGTCAGGAGCCCCAACTAGGGGGCAGAGCAGACATAGCACAGCCTAGATTTGGGAGCCAGATTCAGACAGGAGCCTGGGTGGCATTGTTCTGAAAGCCGAGAACTCAATGAGACATGGCAATGGTGTTAACCGCTGTGGAGACAAGAGCGACTCCATCGCGGATGCTAACCCGCCATGTTAACTTATGAGTAGCCCCAGTCCTGAGTGCCTCCTGATTCCTACCTTGTTTGTCTCTAGTGTAAGAACAAAGCAACCCTGATGTTATCGCACAAATTATAGGCTATGACGCATGTAGCATTCTTGCCTCTTCCGGAGGGTTGCCTTGCATTGTCCTGCTGGAGTGTGTGCACCCTTTCTCTATGGTATATAAGCCATGGGTCTGGGGAGTAACAGTGCAGAAATCTACCTATCTTGCATCCATGCAAGACCATGCTTCTCTCTGTAAGTTCCCCCCAATAAAACACCCTTTACTGACAAATTGGATTTGTTTGCCTCGTTCTTTGTTTCTCAGCTCCTTCAGCATTTGGGGGCCACTTTGCACATATGGCCCTTTCCCAGAACAACCTCTATCTCAGGCTAAACTCCAAGCCCTAATGAATTGAGGAAGAATGAGGAGCAAGGGGTCAAAAACCTGTACCTTTTCTTCCTACCCTTCTTAGCCTCTTGTTCTTGCAACAAACTATTCTGGGTCTAGACTTGAATTATGCTGGGGAAGGAATCTGTGTTCCGTAAGTTGTCTGTTTCTCTGCCTTTGTAATTTACTTTTTTGGCGTTCCCCCCAGTTTCCTAGCGAAGTGCTTTTTGAACAATCTCAGCCTTGTCTGGACGCCTGAGATTTGCCCACATTTGGGCCGAGACAGCCAAGGGGTTCCAGGGCCCCTGGAAATTTAGCATGGTGGGGCCAGCAGCTGTCTCAGCTGGATTTGCAGGAAACAGCTGGTGGAGCCAGGGCAGAGAGAGGTGAAATCTCGAGAGAGGAAGAGATTGAGAAACAGAGAGAGATGGGAGCAGCTGCAGTTGCTAAGCTCTTCCAGCCTGGGTTCTTCCATTACAGAGGCCTGCCACCGTCTCCAGCTCTCCCCACACTGACTTTACTCAAAAAGACATAAACAAGTTAAAGTAGTGATGCCCCAGGGACTATAAACAGTGAGCATGGAGAGTATCTGATGGGGAATCAGACCTAGGGTTCTTACCTTAGAGCCTGGGTTGTGTTCACCTGCAAAGCTTAACAGCACCTGGGGTGTGATTCAGTTGGAGGGGGGATTATGCCCCAGACATTAGACCATGACTGTTTGGGGATAAGGTCCAATCAGAGAACATAGCATTCAATTGAAATAGCAGGGAATTGGAGGAATTTGGGCTCTCCTGTTAGTTTAGTAAACTGAGAGTCTCTCAAAGATTTGTGTATGGCTCTGGCCTGCGCCTGATAGAAGGCCCTCCCACAACCCGTACCTCCCTTACTCGGTGAGCCATGATTTTTCTTTTTACTTAAAGACCTGGAATTATGAAACAACCGGAGAAACACACGCATTCTTTGACTTATTGCTAGTTGGCCCTTTGGGAGGAATGGCTGAGGTTAGGAAGGTGCCAGAGTTACTCAGAAAGTTCTGGAGGGTACCTACTTCTAACCCACAAATACTTTGCAGACGCAGGCTTGGTTCCTGGGCAGCAGCGGTTAAATTGAAATCTTGATTCTCTTGGTAACTTGATGGCTTAGTTTAGGCCTCAGATTGCTGTTCCATGAACTGCCTTGAAATTTAATCACCCAAATTTATTTCCTAGAGTGTTTTTCACCATCTCCTCCTCTAGGCCCATTAGTCACCATCCCGTGACCTGACAGAGTGATTATTAAAGACCCTGTGGTTCCCTTTCACTAGATTTAGGGGTGTTGGTAACTCTGGAGGCAAGTTCTAACTTGGGTCACAGTTGGGTGGATTTTCCCTCAATTGGTTGTGAATCTTCCCTCAGGGCACCTGGAGGCCTGGGAGAATTACACTGTGTACCTGCCATTTCTTCTTTAAAGCTGGCGAGATGGTTACTGGTGTCTTCTAGGGCTGGTGTTTTCAGGCTAGGGGTTATATTATCCTTTGCCCCTGAGCGCATTACTGACATCTCCCAGCTTCAATTTCCCTTTTGGTAAAAGAGGGATAATGCCCATAAAAGATCGGTGCTGACTGGGCGCGGTGGCTCATGCCTATTATCCCAGCACTTTGGGAGACCGAGGCAGGTGGATCATGAAGTCAGGAAAGCGAGACCATCCTGGCTAACGCAGTGAAACCCTGTCTCTACTAAAAATACACACACACACAAAAAATAGCTGGGCGTGGTGGCGGGCCCCTGTAGTCCCAGCTACTTGGGAGGCTGAAGCAGGAGAATAGCGTGAACCCTGGAGGTGGAGCTTGTAGTGAGCCGAGATCGCGCCACTGCACTCCAGCCTAGGTGATAGAGCGAGACTCTGTCTCAAAAAAAAAAAAAGTCAGTGCTGAGCCTGGCACATCAGCATGCAACGAAATGTTAGCTCCCTTCCCTTCCAGCTGGTACTAGACCTGGGCCTTCCTTTGAGGATCTTGGAAGAGAAATTTTATTAGTCTGATTTAGAAGCATTCTTACAGAACTTTATTTCAAGAATAGTTCATAAATGTTTAACTCTCTCCCCCTTCCAACCTAGTCCTCTTCTAAATAGGGGCTGCAGACCAGGTGCAGTGGTTCTTGCCTGTAATCCCGACACTGGGAGCCTGAGGCAGGTGGATTGCTTGAGCCCAGGAGTTTGAGACCAACCTGGGCAATGTGGCAAAACTCCATCTCTACCAAAAACTACAAAAAAGTTAGCAAGACATGATGGCACGCGCCTATAACCCTAGCTACTCGGGAGGCTGAGGTGGGAGAATCACCTGAGCCAGGGATCTTGAGGCTGCAGTGAGCCATGATGGCATCACCACACTCCAGCCTAGGTGACCAAGCGAGATCTTGTCTCAAAAGAAAAAAAAATGTAAGACAGTGTCTCTCTCCTAGAAACAGTTGTTTCCAGGTGCGAATGAAAGCCAGAATGATCTTGCCTTTTTTTTTTTTTTTTTTTTTTTTTTTTTTTTTTTTTTTTTGAGACAGAGTCTCACTCTGTCGACAGGCTGGAGTGCAGTGGCACGATCTTGGCTCACTGCAACCTCTGCCTCCCGGGTTCAAGCGATTCTCCTGCCTCAGCCTCCTGAGTAGCTGGAACTATAGGCACATGCCACCATGCCCAGCTAATTTTTGTATTTTTAGTAGAGATGGGTTTTCACCATGTTAGCCAGGATGGTCTCAATCTCTTGACCTCGTGATCCACCCGCCTTGGGCTCCCAAAGTGCTGGGATTACAGGTGTGAGCCAGTACGCCCGGCTGATCTTGCCATTTTAAAAGAGAAGCCAGATACCAGCATGTATGATGAAAAGTCTCAAATTTTACATGTTTTCAATTAATTAAAAAATGTAAAATATTGGATAGGTAAAACACAGTATGGCTTCCCACTGGTTAGGATGGCAGTGGGAAGGCTTTGCCCTCGGCAGGCTCTGGATACAGTGTTCTTGTTTTTGTGGCCACCCCCTTCCCCACCCCAAGGGCTGGGCCTTCCTACTGTCTTCTTGGTTGGCCTCTCAAGGTAACTACGTGAGCCTTCTCCTCTCCTGCAGACATGTTGGGCCAGTTAAAGGTTATTCTGTAGAAATCTCAACCAACAAGTCAAAAGATGAGTTTCCTGCTCTTAATAGATAATTTTTATTGGTTTTGCAATAAACGTATGAAATAGAAACAATAGCAATAAACCAGCTCAACAAGAAATCGAAAGGCGCAGGCCCCCAAAGCCCTTCCCGCCTCTTGTTAATGAGTCTCTAATTTATAGACCGGCTTGCAGGCCCACTTTTCTTTTGCCAAGCTTTGCAAACTTTTCCATCTTGGAGGCCCAGGTACTCTGGGGGCTTCTGTGCTCATTTCCACATAGTGGTTGTAATGGAAGTGGTTGTCATGCCAGAAGTGGTGGGGTGGCACTGCCTTGGGGTTTGGGGCCTGAGCCCAACCTTGTCTCCTTAAGGGGACTTGAGGGTCTGTCCCCTTTGATTTTGTTTATCAATGGAGGGCAGAAAAGGAGAGTGACCAGGATAAAAACTCATGCTGAAATGGCCGAGGGCTGTAAGTTTAAATTTTGGAGAGCACAGAGGCCAGGGAGTGGGCACAAAAAGCATGCAGAGGCTGAGGGAAGGGGTTGCATCTTCTACACCCTTGAACTTCGTCTTTTGGAATGTGCAGACTATTTTTAGTTTGTGGTGCTGGGCCTTTTCTCAGGATCCAAATCGGCGTGCCCCACGCCTGCTAAGGGAGGTAGGGTGGGTGGGGGGCGATCCTGGTGTCACTGTAGACACTGATGAGACCTTGCAGCTGTTCTCAGTGGCAATTCAAGCAAGCTGGAGGCCCAGGGTCCCTGCCAGCGGGTGTTTACTTGCCGGGTTACTGGCAGTGTCAGATGAATGATAGCTAAAGTCAGAAGGGCTCAGTGCTCCATTTGAACATTTCCCCTGGGGCCTGTAGCCCAAAGAACAGGTTATCTGTGTTCCTGATCACGCCTCAAAGAAAGTGCAGGCCTCCTCCGGGCTCATGCTCTAACCGTGAGAGTGAGAAAAGAGGACCAAGCGGGGTTTCCGCGTCCACCTCTCCAGGGATTGGATGACCCAGAGTTTGGACGGGTGGCAACAACCCCGGCAGCCCATGGCAGGAGCCCCCAGAGGGCATTCACTTGGGATGCTGATGCTCTCATCCCTGGGGCCAGGTTGGCACTCCAACACCCCCCTTCTCACCCCTTCTGGCCATGCCCAGTGAGGGCAGAGCTGTGGGCCCATCTCTTCTAGAAATTCACAGCAGTGCCTCAGCTCTCTGTGGCTCTTCTCCTCACCCCATCTCCCCACTGCCCAGTGAGCTTGGGGGAAAAGACCGCTGACTTTGCAACCCACAGCCCCTGAAAGTCCCCTTCGATAGCATGCTGTTATGCTTCGAGGACACAGGACTGTGAACTCGAAATTGTCTCGCCTTTGTCACCTCCTGGCAGGTCTTTAGAGCTCGGGGAAACAGCCGAGTGGTACAAATCGCAGCGGCGTGGTAAAGCCCCCCTAATTCCCGATGGGCTGCCTGACTCATATCCGTTTCCCTGGCAAAAAATAAGTTTTTGTTATTGCTGGCTTGGCAGAAGCACGGAAGAGTGCGCGAGGATCTACTGCCCCATGCATCACTGGCCAAATTGCCTGAGAAATCCCAGCTCTAGAACTTTTCATCGTTGGCTGTGATGTACGGAGCAGAACGGCAGCTCCATTTCCCCCGCGTGGGGCTCAGCGACGCTGGCGCTTAGCAGACCTTCTCTGCTTGCAATTCACAGCAAATGTGGCCTCTCCTTTCTCTTCCCCTCTTCTTGGCCTCTTATCCCCCCAACAACCTTTATCTTTCCCATCCCCCCGTCTGCTCATCAACCCCCTCCCTGCTCTCCCCAGCAGAGCCATAGCTGGAGAATCAGGAGGAGGCCTGCAATGTCATTTCCCCATCACTCTGCAGACGATTCCACACTAATGTTCTTTTAATGCTGTGATGCTGCACTAATTAATAAGCATCCTGCACAGAGGCCTCGCCTCTCCTCTCCTCCCCTCTCCTCCTCTTCCCTCACTGCCCCTCCCCACCAGCCCCCCGAGAAGGCCTCGTCACATCCTGGCATCTGGCAGCAGAGAAAGGATTTCACTCTTGTACCTGGGCTGCCTGATATTGCTATGAGAGATAACTGTATACGAACCAATAATCTAGCCTGACAATCCAATTTACTGACCAATAGCGCACAATCCACCATGTCATCGGCTGTGGGGAGGCCCATAAATTAGTTCCTAGTAATTTATTCTGATCAATAGAATGGGCAAAGTCACTTGTCTCTTTAATCAAAGGCCCTCTCAGAGATGTCAGTGCAGGCAGCTGCGTGGGAGGGAGCAGGGCTCTGTGAGCAACAAGGCAGTGGGTGCTAGCACCACACTCCTGCCCTGGCTTCCAGAACCCAGAAGCCTCCCCAGAATGGGGCTAGTGTGGGAGGGGCCCAAGGTCCAGGCTGCCTATGCTTCCCTTGGTCACCCCAACCATAAAACATTGGCTTTCAAACAAGCTAAGGACAGAAGAGGCCATGACAGTAATTAACAAGAGATAAGCTCCAGGGAACACTGTACAGGGCCCCAACAATGTCTGATTTTTTCTGAATGTTCAGAATCTTCCTTCCTCTCCTGGTCACGGGGCCCTACCAACGCTTGTGCTGATGCTTCTATAAAGAGAAGGATCCTAGCCCCGTGGGTAAGAGCCAGACTGCCTGGCTTTGAATGGTGACTCTGCCATTAGCTACGTGGCCTCAGGCAAGCTTCTTGCCTTTCTGTGATTCACTTTCCTCATCTGTAAAGTGGAACTAATAACAGTACCTACCTCAGGGTTATTAAGAAGATTTAGTAAATTAATTATATGATATATAATAAGTTAATATAAAATTAAACTAATAAATGAATATACAAAGTGCTTAGAATAGTGCCTGACATGCAGCAAGCACTATATTGAGTGTTTGTTAACATAAACAAACAGAGATCAAGGGAAAACATTGATGTGCTTCTCTCTGAAGATGTGCCAAGTCCTTGAGATGGTCTTCCTGACAACTTTGACTGTTTCCTACCCGTCTTCACCTCTTGTCCTCCTTGTCCAAAATAAATAGATAAAGGAAGAGTGTGTTGATGTTAGCTCTTTGAAGTGACAGGGAAACTCCAAAGGCCGCCGTGCAAGGTTTTCCCCTTATCTGGGCCCTCTGGCAGAGCCAGTGTGTCAGCCTTGGGGAAACAGACCGATTTTGCTTTAGAGAAAATAGGCCTGATGTTAGACAGCAGGGAGGGAAAGGAAGGTCTGTTACCTGTGCTGGCTGCAGGGACTGGCTTGTGAGGAAGGAGGCAGAGCTTGCTGACATGAGCAGGACACAGGAAGATGCTGGGCAGGGCGCCATAAAGGGCAGTGGTGCAAGGGTCTGTCACCTTGGATTCCCATCCTGGCTCTGCCACTCACTGGCTGTGGGACTTTGGCCAAGTCACTTCAGGTCTCTGACCCTGATTCTGTATTGAGGCAGGAAGGGGTTTCACAGAGTGATCTCAGAAGTCCCTTCGCGGCCAGGCATGGTGGCTCACACCTGTAATCCCAGCACTTTGGGAGGCTGAGGAGGGTGGATCACGAGGTCAGGAGTTTAAGATAAGCCTGGGCAAGATGGTGAAACCCCGTCTCTACTAAAAATATAAAAATTAGCCAGACGTGGCCTGGGCGACAGAACGAGGCACGATCTAAAAAAAAAAAAAAAAAATTAGCCAGGCATGGTGGTGGGCATCTGTAATCCCAGCTATTCTGGGGGGCAGAGGTTGCAGTGGGTCGAGATTGCACATTGCACTCCAGCCTGGGCGACAAGAGCTAAACTCCATCTCAGGGGGGAAAAAAAAGAAGTCTCTTCAGGCTCTGACGCTCTGAAATTCTGTATGAATCAGTGAAGGAGTCTGTTGGCTTTTTCTTGATCCCCCTCAACCCTGTACTCCCCACAATAATCATCTGAAAGACTCTGAAACCAAGTTAGTAGCCCAGAGAAATCTGCAGTGTCTCAGGAATATTACAGTCACTAAACGGAACTAATGTTATTTGCAGAACAGGGATGGGGTGAGAGCCAACTCATTCGGGATTGGGATTCCTGAACCCCTGGCCCCCAACTGTAACTAGGTTCCTGGATGTGCAAAGGGCCAGGGGTCTCTGTTCTGCCTTCAAGGTCAAAACCAGGACTTCTGATTCTTGGGAACCTTGGAGGCCTCTTTGTTCAATCATTAGCCCTTAGGGCTACCTCATGGCAGGGAAGCCCATGCTAAAGGCAAACACTCACTGAGGCGCAGAGGGGAAACTGAGCCAAAATCACGCCCAAAACTTAAGACTCCAGTGACTGTCCTTGGATCCTATCCTGGCCTCCTGTTCCCCCATAACAGCCCTGGTGTGTCTATCAGAGGTGAGCTGGACGGCTGGGGTGCAGCGGTCATCGGGGTGATGGGACCAGGTTGGAGGCCTGAGGCCAGCCCAGGGTGGCTACATGGCAGGTGGACACAGTTTCTAGTGAGCAGGAATCTGGCACCCTCTGCTGACCCCGCGGCAGGAGACAGCTGGTCAACCAGGCTAGGCTGCAGCCACCAGGAGGGGGAGGGGTGGGGTCCAGGACCAAGAGGCAGCTTCCAGTCAAAAGAGCAACTTCCCTTTCGGAATAGATCATTTTTACTGGTTTTGCAATAAGCTTATGAGACAGGAACAATAGCAATAAACAAACCGAACAAGAAATCGAAAAGATGGACCCCGAAAGCTGTTACTGAGCCCTTCTCACCTTCTCTTAACGAGTCTCTAATTTATAACAAACTCATCAACCCAGCACCTCCAGGGTTCCCTGGTTCCAGGTTGGGAACCCCTGGCCTCTGCCTTGTGTGTGACTTGTCATCTCCAGGGTCCTAAGACCTGGCTCCAGAGGTGGCAGGAGGCTCTGGCTAGTAGGAGGAACTGGCCCAGGGTTGTCCAGGGACTTCCATCATGGCTTCCTCTGGGAGGATCTGCAAAGTGTGGTCCTCCCCTGCCATGCACCCCCCACCCCTGCCCAGTAGGTCTCTCCAGAATCAATGGGGCTGGCTCTGGATGGCCCACTTCCCCAAAACTTCTGCTCCAACCCTCTGCCCAGCCCCAGGCTGCTGATGCAGGCATGGAAATCATGTTCCTTTCAGACTACCAGATTAGGGCTTGGCATGGGAAGCTGAGATAGCTGGGGGCTTCCAAGCCCCCAAATTCCATACTCCTCGGATAGGACTGAGGTCACTGCTGTGGGCTGAGGTTTTTCTCTCCTTAAGATGAGAAGATCCATTAGGGCAGAGCCATGTCTCTCCCCTTCCCCTCTTCCCCTAAAGCTAAGGCTGTCTGTGAGGAGGGCCAAATGCCTCCCATCAGACTGGGCTTCCAGGAGGCCAGGGCTGAGTCTCTTCCTTCACCTGGAGATCCCTGGGGAAAGGCTGTGTCGCCTCCCTAGACTGCAGTCCCCTGGGCCTGGGCCATGTTTCCTTACCTTAGACTGAGGCTGTGGGAATGTGGGACTACATTTCTACCACAGGCTGCAGCTCCCTTAAGCATCCATTTTTTTTCCAGTCCCTTTTGTCACCCAGTAACCCTGAAGCTTTTCCCAAGGTAGCCCCCTGTATTCTACCTGTCCGCGCTGGAGGAACAAGTCAGCCCCTGTGCCTTTCCTGGCAGCTGGGCATAGGACAGGGCATCAGGGATGGGAAGCAGTGTTCTGCCAACGACTTTCTGGGTTGGGCAGGGCTATGCTTCTCTGCAGGGGACTGAGTGTCTCCTTGTGAAGCCTGCAATCATTGGAGATGGCCACAAGATGTCAGCTCGAGGCTGTGGAAATGGCTCCAGTCCTGGGACTGAGCTCAAAAGGAAGGAAATCAGACAGCAGCCTGAAAGGCCCCCTCTGTCCCCCACTCAAACTCACAACAATGCTCCATCTCTCTACTTTGTCCCCAGTTCTTTGCTCCCAGAAGAGTGGGTTCTGAGGCTCCTTGACTTCCAGCTCTGGGAAGGATGGGAGCTGCTGCCCCTATTGCAGGCACCCTTGCTGGGAAGAGCCCTGTGTGCCTGTGTTCCCCTGTGTGTCCTTGTGGGTGTGGCTTCAGGCCACCACAGCCAGTGTGAGTGCTCAGGGCTGCCTGCGTTTGTGTGCAACTCTTGGCAGGAATTTGTGTCTGCCACAATAGACAGAGAAATTCAGACCTGAAAGGGCCCTTCGAAATCTCCCAGTTCAACCTGTTGTTTTATAGATGAGGAAACAGAGGCCCAGAGAGAGAGAGGAAATGGCTTGTCCAAGGCCACACAGCAAGTCCATGTTGAGCTGTTCCTGGAACCCAGGACTCCCACTTTGCAGCATGTGTGTGCACCCATCTGGGAGTCTGGTTGACCAGGACTGTGTGCCTGGTGTACTTTTGTGTTAGTGATTTACATCCAATGGGTCCTGGAAAGTTCCCTGACTGACCATCAGCCTGCAAGTTTCCAAACAGAATCACAAGGAAATGGGAAGAAGGAAGGCATGGAAAGGAAGGAGGGAGAGACAGAGAAGTACATATGCATGTAGATGCACATCTCTTTTTGCTTCACGGGGACGGGGTGTAATGTCAATGGTTGGATGTGTCTGTATCTCCCTAGGTAAGTGTGCCTGTGTCAGATACCTTGATTCATTCTGGTGTTGAGGTTTGAGTTTGTGTACATGCATGTGTACACGTGTGTACAGGGACCCATTTGTGGGACTGCAGGGAGTCGAGGTGTCTTTGGGGAGGCGTTGGTGCTTTTGGCTGGGTACAGTGTGAGCGATGGTGTGTGCCGCGGTTGGCGTGCCTGTCAGTGACTCTGGAGCGAGCATCGGTCAGTGGCCACGTGAGTGACTAAGGGTGTCAGTGAGCATAAAGAAGAGGCTGCTCCCTCTCCTCATCTCTTTGTCCCCAATCAGACTGTCTTCCCATGGCCCCTAAGGTTTCAGTGTCCCTGCCCCAGTAGCAGTGAAGAAATCCTTTATCGGTTGAGGCACCAGCCCCCGTGTCGGGATTTCAAGGTTCCTGTCGGTTCCATCCATCTTCCGGGGCCTCCTGGTATTAGCATTGATCTACAGGGGAAATGGAGAGCGCGGCTGGGTTATTACGCACCCACCCGCCTTCCCTGGGCCGTGATTGAGTGCACACAGAGAATTTTTGAAACATGGCCACCCTAACTTATTCTGTCTTCCTGCCAATAGCGTGGCATGGGTCCAAATTACGGGTCGATACCAGCTGATCTTTTTATGTTAAACTGTGATGAAGTTGCTTCTGTGGGGAGATGGTATTAGGCCCTGGGTCCTCTTTTATTGGAGAACTTTTGGGATGGAAAAGGGAGGGATGGAAGAGTGGGCAAGGGGAGTGGTCAGTCGGGCATCATGGAGGGCAGGTAGTGTGTGCATGGGCCAGGAGCATGTGCATGCCCGCAGGGGAGTCAGAGCTCGCTGCACTGGCCCTGGGATTCCCGGTTCTTGCCTGATTTCTCCCCCTTGTGACCCTTGCCACACTGGGGACCCTCAGGGACCCCCATCAGACTTTCCATCGCTCGGCCAGCCTGCCCCTGGTGAGGCCCCTCCCTACTTCCCTCTAAGGATAGAATTCTGTTTTCCTCTAGCCGCTTCCACCCTTCTCCCCCACCCCCACTCTACACACCTGCACCATCAAACGGGTTTGTCTTTAACCTCCAAACAGGGAACTTTAATTAAAGAGACAGTGACCCCTTTTATGAGTTTGGTCGAGTTGGGTTTCAGGGCCCTTGTCACTAGTGGCTCACATAACCCTAACAAAAGCTTGAAGGCCCCAAGAGGAGCCGGTCTCCCTCGTAGACATTGTGGTGGGGGCACGGGTGGGATGGGGGTGGGGGCATGGAGAAGGGGGAGGCATCCTTGGGTCAGGATCCCCAGTGACTGCATTGGTGAGGTTGAAGGTTGGGGGAGGGGACAGGTGAGGGGTATAGGGAGGGAGCACTGACACTGTGCAGTACCTTTGGAGCGCAACCTCCCTGCATAGGACAGCCGTCTGGACCCCAGCAGTGTAGCGGCTTCTCTCTGCTTGAAATGGTTAAGTTTCCAAGAGGGACTCCTGCGAATGTCCAGGGCTTGAATCCCATTTGCCTATGGACTTGTATTATAAAACTTGAAGTCATCTCCAAGAGGAATAGACTGGATAGAACTCCAAGAAGAGCTGAATTTTTTTACCCACATACTTAAAGGAAAAGTGGTTTTATGATAAAACATAATTGCTAATAACTATAATAACACCATTCAACATCTGGCATGAAACACAAATTCTGTCCTGAACCTGAAGGTGCAAACACCGCACAGCATACACACTGCCAAGAAGGGAGCTGGCCCTCCACATGGAAGAGCTAAATTCAGGCCTCACTGGGCCCCCTGCTGTCCACATTCCCCACCCCCAGCTCCCTTAAGGACCCCAAGTGTAGACGTCTAGTGGGTTCGTGTTGTGAGTTTGAAGGGCCCTTATCTTACATCCAATCACCTCTTGTTGATTTTTAACCAAGGGCTTCTGTAGGTCCTGTAAGGGATGTTTGCTTGCCCTTTGATCTGGTACTTTGATATCCTTTGTGAATTCTTCAGCCTGGAGAGGGCTGCCCAATCTGCCACACTTTTTCATTCAACAAACATCAGGGGCTGTTAAAAACAACCAGTGTGTGATTGGTTATTTCCAAAGGGATGGGTTTTCATGAAGTGGGGTGCACTCCCGTTAACCAGAGGCTGATACATTGTCAGTTATCTGCAAAAGGAATTAGCCACCTAAATGGTAATCCAGGGTTGCTCTGACCAGAAACTAAGGCTCAAACTAGCTAATTTGTGGAGATGAGACTCAAGGCCAAAACTGAATGAAGAAGATTCTCAGCACGCCCTCCACTTCCACTTCCACCATCACCATGGGTTCCTTGCTCCTCCTGGTGACAAGTGTGGTGACTGGATAGGGACACTTAGGTGGAATGTGGGGACACCTGTGGGGAGTCAAATGACCCACAAGGGCATACAGACCAGAACTTGCAACGTCATCACACCCCAGGTCTCCACATTCCCACGCGTGGACCTTCCCTTGTGCACATGCGTTCCCATGTGTGGACCTTCCCCTGTGCACCTGCGGCGTCACCTACCCACGTGAGTGGCCTATGTGTGTGACCTCACCCACAGAGAGAGGTCACAGCCCCTTCCCTCCTCTCTAGGGGAGAGATCTGGAGGCCAGAGGGGCCGGGGAGTAATTGGTTTTGGCGTTTCCTACCTCCGCTGCCCGGGAAGCTTTCTCTGTTTCATCTTCAGCCTGATCAATCCCCAGTCATGTGCCTTTCCACATGGACGCCCCCGACCCCCCAATTCACCATGCTCTCGGAAACTTCGTTAGTGCCATTAATCTGCTGACCCAAGCAAATCACCAACTCTTCCTGCAACACAGCCTCTCAATCCCTCCCCCAGAGACCACCCCCCCAGGATCTCCAGAGCTGGCTCACTCTCCTCTACCTCCTCATGTTCCCACTCACCCTTTTCTGTTTGGTACCCACCCCCAACCCCATCACTCCCAATCTGGGATTCTCCTTCCTCCTCATTCATGTCTGCACACTCAGCGCTTTCTGAGTCTTTTCCTGCATGTGTGTCCCAGCAGGAGCTTAGTCCGTGTCGGCCACCGGCACCCTGAAGCTGAAAGGGTCCCACGCACCTGCTCCTTAGTAGTAGAGGGTGTAGGGTAAGGCTCTGGCCATAGGAACCATATAAGGAGGAAACTAACAGGTACTGAGCCCTTACTGTGTGCCAAGCACTGTGCCAGACCCTTTTACCCAGTTAGATTATTTAATCCTCACAACCCAAGAGGCAGTCATTATTTTCTCCATTTTATAGATGAGGGAAATTGAAGTTTGAGAGATTAATTATTTGCTCATGAGTAGTAGAGCTAAGATTGGGACCCAGATCTGCCTGACTCATAAACCATTTTTTCTGCTGTATAGAAAGGAAGAGCACCCCCATCCTTGAGCCAGGCCCTAAGACCTAGAAACTTCCTATGTGAAGGAGACCCTGACATGAGGTTTGTTTCTCCTTTTTCCTCTGTAATAGCTAGGTCTTGAGGTGTGTGTGTGTGTGTGTGTGTGTGTGTGTGTTCCTATCCTCTTCCTTTCAGCCTAGGAAGCATTCATGGTACCAGCCCCCTGTTGGGGGCCCCAGGTTGCAGGCTGGTGCCAGGATGCACCCCACTCAGCCGGCTCCTGGCCGCACAGGAGAAGGCCCTGTTTCCTCCGTGGCCTCCATGGCTGATGTGCTGGGCCCATTGTCCAGGCAGAAACAAAGACTGCGGATTTAAGCCGAGTGACCAGGCGGCTCTGCCAAGCAGAAAAGACCGCCCCCCTCGAAGCTGGGCCCAGCCGGGGGTTAGGAAGGGGACCCGAGAGAAAGGGGACAGGGAACCTTTGAAAGTAACTAATTAAAGGGCCTTTGCCTGCCCCCTCCCCCTGGGCGCCTAATCTCTCTGGGGCAGCAGCCAGACAATGTGCCCCTCCACCCTGCCCCCCTCACCCGAGTTTTAAAACAAGAGACAACTTGAAGTTAATGAGCGCCACCTGACGGGGGTCCCCTAATGAGAGGGGGCTGCTGGGCAGCTCACACATTCTCTGGTTCCATGAATAGCTCCCCCCGCCCCCTGAGTTTTATTCATCTAGGGCCAGGGGCAGGGGGCAGAAAGGAAGGGGCCCTGCTCAGCTCGGAGCATGTGGACTGTGGTTCAGGGCAAGGAGGGGGCCCCACAACCCCCTCCCCCATGGCCCATGCCCAGCTCTGAGGCTGAGGCTTACCAGGCTTTGGCCTGAGACCTGGGTGGCCCAAGACCCATCTGGGTAGCTCAGGGCCAGCCCTGCTGCATAGGCTCTTGGTCACTGGCATTGCCACTGGCTTTTCCCAACAGGGCAGTGAGGCGTAAGAGGCATTCTTTGGGACTGCTGTACTTGGTGGTGGGGACTGGGGTCAGGAGTCATTTGGGAGCTGGACTGAAAGCCTCGCTTGCATATTTGGGCAGTTTCCACCATCTCTGCCTCATCCATCTAACTCCGAAGTCCTGGTCTTATCTCTGATTCCTCCATCTCTGATCCCTGCCTGGCTGCCATCCCTGAAGCCCTCATTTCCTGCTTCCCTAGATCTGTTCTCCATCTCTCACCCTTCCTTGCCCCCAACAGTTGTTCCTCTCCCAGACTTAGCACCTTTTGCTCCCAGAGTGGGCGGGCAGTTTGTAAACCTCAGGAGACAGGCCCAGCCTCCTTGACGGGGTGTGTGGGTCCTGCTGCTGTGAGTGTGGAACAGCCTGGGGAGTGAACAAGTGTGCAGAACTTTGGGGAAGATGGGAAAATTGTGAATGACTCCAACTCTCTGCCCTCGAACTTCTTCTGCCCCAAATAACTATCCTTAAACCCACTGCCCATCCCTGTTCCCCATCCCAACCTGCACTGTAGCCCGCAATGAGACGTAGAGAACCAAAGACCCTGACTTCTGATAAATCAGAGAAACGGGAACCCAGGGCAGCCTGGTCTTTGCTTTGAGACGAGGAGACAACCAGCAGGCCTCCTCATAGTGACACCACAGAATTCCCCCTACTACCCCAAAAAGGCAGGAGCTGTCGGGGTAGCATTTGAAAGGCCTGAGGTGGAGGTGAGACAGGAACCAGACAGCCTGGGGGTCTCCAGCCAGCAGGGAGCCATGGACAGAGGTGACTAATTTCCCAACTACTCATGGTGAAAATATCACATTTCATGCTTTGTTGCCGATTCATAGAAAAATCCTATTAAAACCCAGTAGATTATTTATACAGTTTAAACAAATGATGATCAAAGATTTTACATGTTTTTAAAAGAACCCAGAGTTATGCAGCCTGGCTGGGGCTTAGGCAGAGTGTGGTGGATAAATGTGTGGTGTGTGTGGATGTCTTACTAGGGGAGGGTTAGGGGTAAGATTAGCTGGGCAGGCTTGGATGGGGAAGTGGTTACAGTCGTCTTTCCAGCAGGGGGCGACCTCTCCCCGGTGTTGACACCCCCTCCCAACACCCGATGAGAGCCCCACAGATGGGCAATGATTTCATGTCCCTTTTTGTCTGGTCATCCTCCCTTATAGCTCCTGGACCTGATTCAAACTGCCCAAAAGTGTAGCTGTGCGGGATTGGCGATTTAGAGACCATGATTGTGTGGGACTGGGGCTTTGCAAGTGAATGTGCATGATGCAAGCACCATGTGCGGCTGTGTGTCCAAGTCTGGCATCTGTGTATGGGGTCAGTGTGGTGCCCGTGAACCGGGCAGTGCATGTGGTGTGTCTCTCTTGTCCGCCTCTGTGATTTACCTTCCTCTTAGTCCCAGGCTGAAGGTCTCTCCATCCTACAATAACCCTGGCCTGTTGTTCCTATTACACATTCACATGCACAGGTCGCACCTGCTCAGAGAGATGCTTTTTGAGAGGCAGTTCCCAGTGGCTTAGCTTGGATGGTGGGCAGTGATAGATGAGTGGAAGAGGTAAGGGCCCCTTTGAACAAGCTTTGGGGAACCCCAGCCTGGGAAGAATTGTTACCCTACCCAACCTCTGAAGGACCCATGGGAACCCCCTGAATCTGCCTAATCCCACCTGCCTTGGGGTTGTAGCTCCCCATCATGCATCCAAACCCTCCAATGCAGGAACCTCCAGGACTATGCATGGCCTGTCCTGGGGGACCCTAGTTAGGCCCCTCAGAATGTTTCTGACCAGAAATTGAACTAGGCCCTGGCCTGGCCCCTGACACCAGAACACGTATTGGGGGTGCAGGGTACATTCCCTTTCAGAACAAGCTGCCTGCCCCCAGGGTCACTCCATCACAGGCTGAGGCCCTGCAGCAGGACCCCCCATCTTGAAGAGAGGTGTGCTAAGTGATTGCGATCCCAAGGTGGAGGTCAGCCTAGAGTCTTGTTGCCCTTGTCGTGAGAACTTGGAGCCTAGTTCAGCTCCAGGAGTTGGATGAGGGCCGGAGGGAGGGTGGATGAGCTGATGCCTGGGGCAGGGACAGAACAGCCCTGCATCCTGCACCCAATGCTGCCTGTGCCTGCCCACCAGGCCGTCCTGCCTCAGCAGTTTTATTACTCACAGGGAGATAAGGCCCTGGGGGGAGGCAGCTTGTTCTGAAAGGGAATGTTCCCTGCACGCCATACGCGTTCCAGCCTCAGGGGCCAGGCAAGGGCCTAGTTCAATTTCTGGTCAGATGGATCCTGAGGGGGCTAAACTAGGGTCCCCCTGGGCAGGCCATGGATAGTCCTGGAGGTTCCTGCATCAGAGGGTTTGGAAGGGGCCTGGCAGGGGGAGAAGAGGCAGAGTTAAGGGGAAGTGTGGTTCCTCCCTTGAAGGGAGGAGGAGCTAGAAACAGCAGGATATGGGGGCATCTGCCTCCTTGGAGAACCCCCCAGCTGGCACAGGGGAGAGCAGGAATCATGGAGGGCACCTCGCCTGGCGTGAGTGCTCAGGGCTGCTGATGCGCCTAGGGGACACGAAGTTTCTTCACCGCTTGGTTTGCTTATGTGTTTATTGCTCCTTCCGCAAAGCTGGCTGCAACAGTGACAGGAGTGCCCAGGGCCTGTGCAGCTAGCTAAGGAGCGAGACCCAGCCTTGGTATATTTAACCATCTCATCATGGAGACCCTGGCCTATTTGTTTTCTTCCCTGACTCTCTCTTTTCTTCTTTCTTTCTTTCTTTTTTTTTTTTTTTGAAACAAAACAGG
Source organism: Homo sapiens (assembly GCF_000001405.40). Classification (NCBI taxonomy): domain Eukaryota; kingdom Metazoa; phylum Chordata; class Mammalia; order Primates; family Hominidae; genus Homo; species Homo sapiens. The sequence goes on along the minus strand of NC_000010.11, from coordinate 100,870,711 downwards.
CCACATTTGGGAGCCTAGAATATCAGCGAGTAGAACAATCGCTTGTGACTGCCGCATCCATCACAGGCTGAGGTCCTGCAGCAGCCCGGCCTGGAGGAGCCGCCACCGGCCCCGCTGCCTTCACCATAGCCCGCACTTTATTAGAATTTATACGTTGCCCCGATTGAGGGGGAAAATAATTAACACCCCTACAAATATATCGTAAACAAAATATTTATTAGAAATAAATAACTCATTTATTTTACATATTTCATTTCAACAATAACATTACCCAATTTATCATTTAACATTTTTGCAAGACAATTTAACGACTACTTATTAGCATTTCCATTTTTCAACCGCGCACCATAAAGCACAGGCGCTCCCCAAATGGCCTGGCACAGGCCGAGCCAGGGGCTCAGAAGACCCTGGGGAGGGCTGTGGACCCCCTGGATCTCTCTCTCTCTCTCTCTCTCTTTCTCTCTCTCTCTTTTTCATTGAGATGGAGTCTCGCTCTGTCGCCCAGGCTGGAGTGCAGTGGCACGATCTCGGCTTGCTGCAACCTCTGCCTTCTGGGTTCAAGCGATTCTCCTGCCTCAGCCTCCTGAGCAGCTGGGACTACGTGTGAGTGCCATCATGCGCAGCTAATTTTTGTATTTTTAGTAGAGACGGGGTTTCACCATATTGGCCAGGCTGGTCATGAACTCCTGACCTCAGGTGATCCACCTGCCTCGGCCTCCCAAAGTGCTGAGATTACAGGCGTGAGCCACCACCGTGCCCGGCCCCCTCTCTCTTATATACCCAAAAGTATGCAGGACAGACAGCCCACAACAAATACATGCAGTCACCTTCGACCATAGACATCCTCGCCTCACATAAACTATAGAGCTGCTCTCCCCAGAGCAGACACCTCCAGAAGACACATATAAGTATACGATTGACACCCCAGTGTTCATGCTCATGTGGACCCCATTATCACCCCCCTACACACATGCATGCACACACACTCACATTCCTAGTGGCCCACACCCAATTGCACACAGACGCAGTCACTGGCTGTGCACTTATGCCAACCTCAGTTCTCACATAAGTGGGTAATGGAGAGAAGGGCAGTGCGGTCTCTTCCCTCTAGCTCCACAGGGGTGGGGTGGGGCATGGACGAGAAGCCCAAGTGCAGGATGTGAGTCCCCTTCAGTCCCCACCTGTGGCCCTTGGGCTTCCCTCTATGTCCCTCTTCTGTTTTCCCCTGCTCAGCAAGGATTTCCTGGGATCATGTGCCCATTTTTACTTCAAACTTCTGCCCCAGGGAGGTCATCCTGAAGGCTGGGTCTCTCCAGTGCCCAACCCCAAGTATATTCTCTGGGAAGGAAGTGTGTAAGAACCAGGCCTCAGCTGCTTGGGTTCTGGGCTGTGAATCCAGGGCTGGGGCTCTGGGCTACAAACGAGAGGTTAGAATCTGGGTGAAGTAAGGTTAAACACCTGCTGATATTTGGTGCATTTGCGTGTCTCTTCTTCACCCAGCGTCAAGGCCCAGCCTAGCTCCTCTGCCTGCTTCTTTCTGTGGGCAGAGAGAAGGCAGCAGGGAGAGTCAGTATCCCAAGTGACAGACGAAGCTGGAAGACGCTTCTCCATCCTCCTGCCCTCTAGTTCTGACCTGGTGCCTGGTGGAGGTGGAGGGTGTCCCTAAATGCTCATGGAATCAAACTGAAGCCCCCACCCCACCCTCCTCTCAATCCCTAAACAGTACTCATTTCTGTGTGTGTCTGTGTGAAGACACGGGCTGAGGGAACAGATGGGTATGCAGCCCTCAAGGACACACAAGGGTACACATATGTGCATGCGTGTGTGCCACTCAGTGTGCATTCTGCCCAGGCTGCCTCACTGCCTCACCCCCAGCACCAGTCACAACGTCTGGGAGATTTGGGTCCATTTTGAGGTGTTGGAGGGCCAGGGCTGAGATGTTCCCCCGAGTGCATAGCCTTTCTGCCCTCTCTCTGGGAGGTGAAGGTGGGAGACTGGTGCCTGGGTTGGGGGGGGTGGCTGGGGCCCAGGAGACAGAGCAGGGAGGCCCTTCAGAGTCATCTAGCCAGGGGATGGGGGCAGGGCCCAGGGCGAGCACACACAATGGCTGGAGGTTGGAGGGTCTGAAACTGGAGACTTTAATAAAAGCCACTGACAGCAAATAAAGCTGCCAGGGGAGTCCCATTACCCACAACAAGGACCCTTTGTGAGCTAAGCAGGACTGAACTGACCCTTCTCCACCAGCCTGGCCCCATACCCACCCACCCAGGCCCCGTCTCCCTGCAGGCTCCACAGTCCCCATCCCCAGCCCAACCCAGTCCAGCTCAGGGGCTTGCCAATGCTGAGGGGATCGGGCTGGGGGATGCTCCACAGCCTGCAGGTCTTTCTCTACACCTACCCCAGTCTCCCTGGTTTCCAGTGCCACTGGCATTTGGTTGTTTAGTGCCCTTCACAAGTGTTCAGTAACTCCACTGCAGGATTACCTTTGGTTAAATAAGTGGGAAACTGATCCCTGCTGTGGGATCCACTCACCCTGGTCCAGTTGTGGGGCAGGGGACTGATAGCGAAGATCGGCCTGGTCCTGATATGGACCCTGGTATGGGCCTTAACCCTAAGACGGCCCCTTTCCTCTCCAGAGACCAATGCTGACCCCGGTACTGTGGTATATCAGAAAGACTTCTGCACTTCGGGTCCGGCAGAGCTGGGTGGAGTCCTGGAGCTGCCCCTTACCAATCGTTTGACCTTGGACAAATCATTTCTCCTCACTGAGCCCGTTTCCTCATCTTTTCAATGGAGCTGGTTTATTTATTTATTTGCTTATTTTTAATTTCTTGGGATTTTTAGACAGGGTCTTGCACTGTTGCCCAGCCTGGAGTGCAGTGGAGTGATCACGGCTCACTGCAGCTTTGACCTCCTGGACCGAAGTGATCCTCCCACCTAAGCCTCCCGAGTAGGTAGGACTATGCCCAGCTAATTTAGTATTTTTTGTAGAGATGGGGTCTCCCTATGTTGCCCAGGCTGGTCTTGAACTCATGGGCTCAAGTGATCCTCCTGTCTCGGCCTCCCAAAGTGCTAGGATTATAGGTGTGAGCCACCATGCCTGGCCCAGTGGGGCTGATTTAAAAGAGTTCCTCTCTGAAGGTTAGGATTAATGACCTAATAGATGTAACACATAAACTTTAAGGCGCCCCACAAATGAGGGTTGTTATAATCACTCACTTCAGCCCCACTTTGAAACCAGATTGTAAGTTGAACTTTGATCTCCACGCAGGTTCTGAGTCTTGCTCTGATTCCCAACCAGACAATGATATTGTTAGGGGCACAGGAAGCTCAATGAACGGCTGTTAAATGAAAAATTGAAGAAAGGGATGGAAGACATTCTAACCCCTGACCTCAGCTAGGAAGCCCACTGATTGCTGGAGGATCTGGGGGAGCCAGGCAGGGAATGGAGAAAGCTAGGGGTCAGAGCACAGGCCTGGAGTTTGGGGACACTTGGAGGAATGGGGGAAAGTGGATTCAGGGCAGTCGGGGTGCTCTGAAGCAGAGTTGGGGGTGCTCAAAGGGCAAGTTCTCTGAGGTTGGGTGCTGAGGAAGGAGGTAGAAAGGGGGCAACCCATGGGGCTTGGGGTTGCTGCTTTAAGGGCAAGGTGGGGCCTGAGATGGGGGCACCACACAGGGTTACAAGATGGGCGTCCGCTATCACAAGTCCCTCCTTGGTCCGGCAGGAGGGGATTCTGGTGCAGGGCGGGGAGGGAGATTAGGAGGCGCTCTCAATTGCCTTAATGGGCTCTAAGAGGCGGGATCCTATTACAGCTCGGGGTGCCCCGGGGTGCCTTGCTGGGAAGACAAGCTAATCTGCCATGCAAATTAAATCCTGCCTCAAGACGCAAAGCCTGCTTAATGTGATCCATTACACAGTTTACTTGTTTATATCTAATATTGGAACAGGCAGCCCGGGCGGGCGGCAGCGGCAGGCGGAGCAGCCCAAAAGCAGGAGAGTAAATTACCAGCAAAATGAGCTTTTCCAGCCTCAGCCGCTGCCACCACCCGTGCCTTCCTGGCTTTCAGCGTCTTGGGCACCCCCTCCCGCCCGCAGCGTCCCCTCACTCTTGCTTCCTCCTCATCGGCCTTCAAGTCTCCGTCTTCTCTTTGTCTTTCTCCTTCTTTTTCTGTCCCTTGGCCGCTGTCTCTGTCTCTGTCTGGTTCCTTGTTTCTTCCTGTCCGTCTTGTCTCAGCCTCATCTCTTGAGGCTATCTGGCTGCTTTTTTCCTCCTCCTGTTTGGATTTCCAGCGCTCACTTTGGGCTTTCCTCTGCAGTGCTTCATCTCTTCCTGCAACAGAGATAGAGACATGTGTCTCTGTGGGTGCCGGGTGGCTGTGTGATGCTGTGTGTGGGGAAGTGGAGGGTAAGCCCAAGCCTGGAGGACACGCTTGTGTACACACTCCTGGGGGAGAACTGCGAGAGGCTGGGCACTGGAATGCCTGACTTGCTGGCAACACTGTCCCTGATGGTGAGGGAGCACACTCAGTGACCTTGAGGTCTTTCTATGGCAAGTGTCATCGAGCCCTGTGCATGGGCATGGATGGGCTCCTGGGACCTGTCTCTCTCTCTCTGTCTCGTGTGTGTGTGTGTGGTAGTGTTTTAATAAATCTTGCAAGAGGTTGCCTGCCGTCTTCCCCATGCACCCTTTGGCTGGGGCGTCCTTCCCTTACGCCGAAGCTTCCCTCACCTTCCTCACACTTCTTCACCCACAGGCCACACTCCTTCCAGCTCCTGGAGCAGCCCCAAGGCTTGCAGTGCCCCAGGGTCACCTGACTGTCCACCATCTGAGTCCCTGTGTGTCATGTTTTGCTCCGCTGTCTTCCTGGCCCACTTCCTCCACCCCACCTCCCACCTCTGTACTCCTCTGTGGAGTCACTATCCCTCTGGCTAGATATCTCTGAGGCCCAAGCCTGTACCTCCAGGAGAGTCAGAGGTCAAAACAGAGCCAGAGACAGGCAGAAAGAGAGTGAGGTGAGAGAGACACACAGAGACCCTCACCATGGAAGAGGGGGTAGACAGGGGAGGTCAGACAGAGAGACCACAGGCGTGGAGACAGACACAGGTCAGGGCCAGGCAGCAGAGAGGCCCAAGAGGGTGGGATGGCCGCGGATCTGTGGCTGGGGGCTCACACTTAAGCTCACAGAGGCCCAGGCCTGGTGTTAAGGGGGCTATTTCAGACTCCAAAGCTGTTTGGGGTTGGAGGGGTATAGGGACGGGGGCTCCCTATCCTCTGGGCTTGATGGGGCACCTGCCCTGTGACCATACTTTGAGGAGGAGACATGAGTGACAATGGCCTAAGCCTCTGGCCCCCTGACCTGTGCCTGTGGTCCTGAGAGGAGCCAGCCCTCCTATCAGGCTCTGAGAGCCTTGGGCCCCCAGGACAAACAGGGGCAGAGGGAGAGAAAGCTCCTACAGCTTTCTGTGATGTGCACAGCTGCAGCTCTTGTGCCTGCCCTGCACACACACTTACACACACGTGCCACGTGCCACGTGCCAGGCTGGAGGCTTGCCAGTGAGGCTCTCCTGGCTCTGGTCCATGGCCCTGTGCTATGGCCCTAGCTACAGTCTTTATGCCTGGGACTCCTGGTTCCCTAACTTCCTGTTCCCCAAGGGTCTTGCCCCCTTTCGGGCCAATGAGCAGTTTTGACCCCCACTCTCCTATTCCTCAGCTCTCTGGGACTACTGGCCCTCTAGTTCCTTGCAGTTCCCAAGAACCCTGGAGCCCCTGGTTCTTCAACTACCTGGCACACGTCTTCTTGTCCCTGACCTCTGGCCCTGGTTGGGGGTGGGGGCTCCTGACGGGTGGAGGGTAGGAGGGAAGGTGTGAGTCTGTATGTCTGTGTGGAACGGGGGCTGTTTAGATAAACAGATGGCAACAAATGGCATAAAATTATATACCCATAATGTCAGTTCATAACATTTTGTTCGACATACTTGATTTAATCGCTTAGCTGACGATTTGGCTTTTGGGCCCATATGGTGGGGAATGAAGCTGCGTGGCACCCGCTCCAATCTGGCTCTTTTATCACCGAGGCTGGGGGGCGGGGATGGGGGGGGTCAGTCGGGGGAGAAGAAGCGACGCAGATGGAAAGAGAATGAGCTGACAGGAGGGGGCCCAGGGAGGGGGTGACGGCAGGGACTGAAGGGGACTGGACCCTGGCAGGGTGGAGGAGGGCATCTGGAGACAGTGTGGGTGGGGCCGAATCATCCAGGATGGACAGGACTGTCCCCAAGGGACCTGAACCCTATGGCTGACCTCACTGGACTCTGCTAGGGCTGTGGCCCAGATCTGCCTCCATGAGCCCAGTGACCTGACACTGTCTTTTTCTCTCTTCAAAACGAAGACCCAGACCCCCAGGGCTATCCCCATCACTCCTGCCAAACTTAACAATTTGTGTGTGCACACATACGTGCATGCGTGTATGCCTGCCTGCTTGTGCGTATGTGCGAGGACGTCTGGGAGACCAAGAGATGCCTTGTGTGATGAGTTCTGTCTGTGCAAATTGCCTGACTTTCACTCTGAGCAACTGGGATGAGGTGAATCAGTGTTGTTGGGCTGAGATTGTTGCGGTGTGACTGAGTGAATGGGTGGTCCTGATGCACCGGGGCGCGCAGTAGGCATTCCAGCAGTGTGCTCAGTACGTGCCTCACAGAGGTTTCTTCTGGGTGTGAATGCTGGACTGGGGAATGACGCGTGTGTGTGTGTGTGTGTGTGTGTGTGTGTGTGTGTGTGTGTGTCCAGGCCCATCAGCGGACTCACCCTGCACTCTCTGCAAACAAGTCAAGCCCTGTGCAGAGTGCCCCCTCTTAGTTCTCTGGCTGTGGTCCCCAATCGCCATTCACCTGGCCTCTGCTGGGCACTCAGAGAAAAGTCTGGCTCTTCCCCACAGAGATCTCCCTGCTTCCCCATCGCCAGTCCAGCCTGCTTACACCCTGCCCACCCCTCCTCCTGGTCTCAGAACTGCGCCAGCCCCCACAATTGTGGCAAATCTGGGCCTAAATCGGCACCCATCACTCATGTCGGAGTCTCATCTGCCCCCGGCAGGGTGCCACCCGCTGGCTCCAGAAAGGGTGGGGAGCTGGCCCAGGATGGGGGCTGGCACCTGCAGAGGGTTGGGAACCTGCTGTCCTCTCCCCAATCCCCAGGACCCTGTCCCCCAACCCCAGCGTGGGCTTTGTGTGCATGGAGGCTCCTGGGCTGTGCTGGGGGCCTTGTCACCCATCTGCCCTTCTGGAGTCTCTGCCACTGTCTCCCTGTGTCTTCATAAGAGCCTCCTTCCCTCTGTCACTCGTCCTGTCTCTGCCTTTCTCCCACATCTCTGCTTCTCCCTCCCACTGCTTTTCTCTCCTTGCACCTCTGAGGATCTCTGAAGGTGGAGACCAGGATTGGGCTGGGGCTGGGGACCTATGCCAGCCCTCTCCACGTGGGAAGTTCTATTACCATCTTCCCCAATCCAGTGGGATCCTTCAGGAATGTTACCGGGCCTTGTGGCAGGGCTGACCCTGCTGGCTGCTCTCTACCTCCTGCAGATTGTGCCCTCAACACTCTGACTCCCATGGGATGTTGTGGTGTTTTTTTTGTTTGTTTGTTTTTGAGATGGAGTCTTGCTCTGTCACCCAGGCTGGAGTGCAATGGTGCCATCTCGGCTCACTGCAACCTCCACCTCCTGGGTTCAAGCGATTCTCCTGCCTCCACCTCCCAAGTAGCTGGGATTACAGGTGCCCACCACCATGCCCAGCTAAGTTTTTGAATTTTTGGTAGAGATGGGGTTTCACCGTGTAGGCCAGGCTGGTCTCAAACTCCTGACCTCAGGTGATCTGCCCACCTCGGCCTCCCAAATTGTTGGGATTGTAGGTATGAGCCACCGCACCTGGCCCAATGCTGTGGTTTGACTAAACTCTCAGCTCTCTCAGGCCGCTTGGCCATTCACTTGTTCAACAATCATGGGGCAAATCTGATGTGCCTGACACTGTGCCAGCCAAGATCAGGAGGACACCCATTTGCCCTGCCCTCCAGGGCCTCACCCTGTAAGGGAGACAAATATGCAAACACATCAGGCTGCTGGTGTTCCAGCAGGTGGAAGAGAGGTCCCAATGAGGCCCAACGGAAGGGGAATTCTGTGGGTAGGGATATGGAAGCCTGAGGAGAAGCTTTAGAGAGAAGGGGGTTCTCAGCTATATTAAAACATTTTCTTTCTCTAGTTACAAAAATAATATTTGCTCCATGCAGAATACATAGAAGGCACAGAAAAGCTCAAAGGAAAACAAACATAAAATAGAACCTCTAAAGAAAATTTCAGGGAGTCTGGAAACATGATGGGGTGGTCAGGGGTGGGAGGAAGCCGGGGTCCAGTGGAGTTTGGAGAAGGGCATTCCAGACGGGCAAGGAACAAGGCACCCCAACATGAATCTGGGACATTTGGTTGCTGTAAGAAGTCAGCTGTGGCTGAAGTCTGGGGTCCTGTAGGCTAGCTGAGGAGCTGACCTTTGCTTTATAAGGAATGATGAGCCTATGAGAATAGTAAGTAGATGAGTGATGTGTTCCTATTTTCCACTTCAGAACAATTGTTCTGGAGGATGGATTGGAAGTGGTGGAGACCCGAAGCAGAGAGACCAGCCAGGAAATCACAGAGAGCATGAGAGGTGGTGGCGGGGAGAGTGTAGTGGGAGAGGAAAGAGGAGAAGCAGTAGGAAGGCAGAATGAATGGCAGTGGAGACTGCTGCGATGTGGGGGTAGGGGTGGTAGAGAAGGAAGGGCTGAGAATGAAGCCCAGGCCTTGGGCTTGTCAGTTGTGTGGCTGGTGGTGCCATTCACTAAAACAGGAAACCAAGCAGAGGAGCAGGATTCAGGTGGGCAAGCGGGGAGGAATGAGTTTGGTTTGGGACATGTTAAGTGTGAGATGGAAACGTGCAAGTGGAAAAGTTTAGTTGACAGTGGAATACACAGGTCTGGAGCTCGAGGGTGTAGATTTGTTCATTTCTTTGTATCAGTTAAAAAATATCTACTGAGCATCTACAATAGATTGGGCTGAGGATTCAACAGCGAATGAGACAGACTGCACCTTTCCCTTGTGGGGCTCACAGCTCCCCATGGAGAGGTAAGATCTGAAGCCATGGAAATGGATGGACTTTCCAGAGGGAGGGGAGAGGTAGGTGCCAAAATGTGAGCATCTCCGGGCTGGCAGCGGGACAGCACAGAGCAAGGGCCTCTTCCCTCTCTCAAATCACAGAAGGCCATCCCATGCACTTGCTCTGCTACCTTCTTAGACTCGCTTTGACTGGATGTCTCCTGGGGTCCCTGTTCCCCAGGCCTGCTCCTGCTAGTGTGCTCATGGACACTCGCATATGTCTGCGATCCTCCCTGTGTCTGCCCTGCTCCCACATGTGGGGTAGTGGAAAAGAATTTCAACAAACTCTGGTTCTATGTGACAAGTAAATCCTATTTAGCACCTGACATTGTTTGAAAGAAACTGTCCGGGCATCATGGCTATTGCCTGTAATCCCAGCACTTTGGAAAGCCGAGGTGGGCAGATCATTTGAGGCCAGGAGTTCCAGACTAGCCTGGCCAACATGGTGAAACCCTCTCTCTACTTAAGAAATAAAAAAATTAACCGGGTGTGGTGGCGCATGCCTGTAATCTCAACTACTCGGGAGGCTGAGGCAGAAGAATTGCTTGAACCCTGTTGGCAGAGGTTGCAGTGAGCTGAGATTGAGCCACTGCACTCCAGCCTGGGCAACAGAATGAGACACTGTCTTAAAAAAAGAAAAATAAACCAAGACTCCTTGCTATGGTCTTTAAAGCCCTTCATGGTCTGGCCTCTGCCCAATTACCCAGCCTCATCTGCAGCCAAGCCTCCCACATGGCCCAGGGGCTACCTTTGCAAACAAACTCCCAATCCCTGATCAGCTCTTGCTCTCTCCCACCTCCAAGCTTTGCAAATGCTCTTTCTCCTGACTCCATCTCCTTCTCCCAGCCAGTCAACCCAGCTGACTTTTTTTTTGAGACGGGTCTCGCTCTGTCACCCGAGATGGAGTGCAGTAGTATGATCACAGCTCACTGCAGCCCCGACTTCCTGGGTTCAAGCGATCCTCCTGCCTCAACCACCCAAGTATCTGGGACTACAGGCATGCACCACTACACTCGGCTAATTTTTAATTTTTTTGTACAGGCGAGGTCTTGCTATGTTGCCCAGGCTGGTCTCCAACTCCTGAACTCAAGCAATCGTCCCACCTTGGCCTCCCAAAGTGTTGGGATTACAGGTGTGAGCCACCATGCCCAACCTGCCCCAGCTAACACTTAATGACCTAGTCCAAGTGCTTCCCATCTGGAGCCTTCCCTAGTCTGCCAGAGTGCACTGCAGGCCCCTCTCATAGGTTTCTGTTATGGCACAAATGTTCATGTCTCCCCAAAATTTGTGTTGAAATTCTAATCCCAAGGTGGTGGCACTAGGAGGTGGGGTTTTTGGGAGGTGATTAGGTTGTAGAGGTGGAGACCCCATTCTCAAGCTGGTATTGCTATAAAAATAAACAAACAAGTCAGTAAATAAAAAGAGACACCAGAAAGCTAGCTAGTCCCTTTCACCATGTGAGGACACAGCAAGAAGGCACTATCTATGAGAAGTGGGACCTCACCAGACATGGAATCTGCTGGTGCTTTGATCTTGGACTTCCCAGCTTCCAGAGCTGGGAGAAATAAATTTCTGTTGTTTATATGCCACCCAGTTTCTGGTATTCTCTTATAGCAGCCTGATGGACTAAGACAGCTTCGCTTTTGGAAGGCCTTATTTTCTCTACCTCCAGATAAGGAGATCCTTTAGGACAGGGCTTGTGTTGTTTTTGTTCATCTTTACACCCCAGTGCGTAGCATAGTTCTGGGTACGTATTAGGTGTTCAGGATTATAAACTGTGCACTGAAGGCAGGCTGCTGTTGAGATCGAGCTCGAGGGGCAGGTGGCCTATGTGTTGGGCAGGGCCGATTTTAGAGACAGAGTTGGTTTTAGGGGGCTGATGTGGGGTGGAGGAAGCCTTGGCATTTGGGGTAACAGCTGGGTGCTGGGGTAGGTGGTGGGAGGTGGGCTGAATGTAGTAGGGGTGGATCTGGTGTTGGCGTAGTGTGGGGTGTTTGCGGGGGTGGTGGACGTTAGAAATGTGGTGTTGAGAGCTAGGCAGGTAACTAGGTGTAGGAGAAAGGGGTGAGCAGAGGAGGGAAGGGGAGGGAGCTGAACGCAGGAGCACAGGAGTCCCCCGAGACCTCTCCAGGGTTCTGACTTTTAATGCTGCTGATCCAGCTCTTCCTCAGTAACCAGCTTCTCCCCAGAAGGAGAGGAGAGGAGAGGAGACCCGAGGAGAAGAGCCTAAAAGGGTGAAGAAGGATTTTCATTATGAAGTTAATTAGCTTCAGAGCCGCTGCACCTTTCAGGACGAGGAATTAGAGGGATTTAATTGCTTTATCAGCCTTCCCTTTGATTTTCAGCAACCAGGCCGATTCCATTTAATTTAACTGCCACAGACGAGGAGAAAATTGATGCGCTCACCTGCCTCGGAGCAGAAAGAGAGAGAGTGGGGAAGAGGGAGAGGGGGAGCCAGAGAGACTGGCAAACACAGAGCCTGCAGATTAATGAAAACCAACAGCATTTGCTCACAATTGGAGATGAAGTGTGCCCTCGAGGTGTTTGGAGCTGTACGTGTGGCCGTGTATCCATGGCTCTGTGTGAGTTTGTGTGTGCGGCCGCGTGGGAGTTTGTGACGTGCATGTGTGTGGGGACGTGACAACGAGTGCCTTGGTTGACATGGAGGTGGGTGTGTGGGTGAATGTTGGTATGTGGCCGTAGGTAAGTGATGGTGGAGGCATGTGATTGACTGTTGAAGACTCTTCATACATTGAAACGACAGTGTGAGGGAGGATGGCTGTCTCTGTCTGCGTAACCATGAACACAGTGACTGTGTGTGTGTGTCATTACATAAATAAGAATTTTGCTCTGTGTGAAACTGCATACCTATTCATCCATTTGTTCAGCAAGCACTGAATAAACTTGTGCTAAGAAGCAGGCACAGTGCTATGGGGCAAAGGACACTGAGATGGAGTCCCTGACCTCAAGGATTCCCAGTCTAACAAGGAGAAAGACTGGTAAATATGCATCATAGTTAGAGTACTGTGCTGCATGGGTTGCCCTGGAAACACTGTCTGGAAGGCCTCCAAGAAGAGGTGGCTTTAAAGATAAGAAAGTCTCTAAGTAGAGAAGGCATTGATGGGGTCGTGGTATAGGAAGCGCATTGCAACCAGATCAGACAGTATGGGTCACATAAAGGGAAGCTGGGGCTGCTCAGGTGGGCAGACCCCGAGAAGAAGGACTCTAGAACATGCTAAGAAACGTAGGATTTCCTTCAGTGGGTACTGAGTTGGAGGTATCTCTCAGATATATGTGATAGAAAGATTGTTGGCCGGGCGTGGTGGCTCACGCCTGTAATCCAGCACTTTGGGAGGCCAAGGCGGGCAGATCACTTGAGGTCAGGAGTTCGTAACCAGCCTGACCAACATGGTGAAACCCTGTCTCTATTAAAAATACAAAAATTAGCTGGGTGTGGTGGTGTGCACCTGTAATCCCAGCTACTCGGGAGGCTGAGGCAGGAGAATCGCTTGAACCCGGGAGGTGGAGGTTGCAGTGAGCCAAGATCATGCCACTGCACTGCAGCCTGGGTGACAGAGTGAGACTTCATCTCAACAACAACAACAACAACAACAACAAAAGATTGCACTGATTCACTGACTGTTGTGTGGAGGCTAGACTGGAGAAGGCAATGGAATGATCTGGGGAGGGGACAAGGCAAAAGGAGGTGAATATTTCTGAACAGCTAGGTTGTAGATGATTCCATAAAGGGGAATATTAGAGGATGAGGAAGTTGAGGGATGATTCAGTCTGGAACATATAGAGTTCAAGTTGCTATGGGACATCCAGGTTGAGGTATCCAGTAGACAGCTGAATATGGGTTTGGAGCTTAGCAGAGAGGTGAGAGGTCCAGCCTGGAGATGGAATTGTCCGCATGTGTAGGCTGTAAACAATGCCTTAGGAAGGGATGAGGCGACTCAGGGAAAATGTTGAGATCAAGAAAAGAGGAGGGTCAAGGACGAAAGCCTGGAGATCAGTCATGTATATGAGACTGGAGAAAGAAAAAGAAATGGGAAAGATGGTGAAGAGTCAGACAAAACAAAGGAAAACTGAGAGAAAGTTAGAGAAAAGAGAACATTGCTGAGAAGTTGAGTTCCATTTTTAGACACGTTGAGCTTGAGGTTTGCTATGAGACATCCATGCAGAGATGGGCAGGATCTAGAACTCAGAGCTCTTAATGTGAGTGAATGCTTGGGGATGTGAGAGTTTATGGGGGAAATCTCGCATGGCTGGAGAATAGGATAAGTGGATGGATGCAGAAAATGATGAGATTGGAGAAGTGGGTAGGGTTATGTAGGGCTTTGAATACCAACCTCCAAGTTAGTACTTTAACCTGAGGGCAGGAGTTGTTTGCTGTCTTTAATAAGGAAAATGACTTGATCAGATTTTCATCTTAGAGATATGACTCTGTCTTAGTTTGATTTTCCCCTAGATCAGAGCTTGAGACAAGGACTTAGGTGAAGGCAGTTTATTTGGAAGGTGATCACAGGGAGCAGTCGTGAGGGAGTGGGGAGAGGGAAACAGAGAAGAAAGCTGGTTGTGGCCGGGCGCAGTGGCTCACGCTTGTAATCCCAGCACTTTGGGAGGCCGAGATGGGTGGATCATGAGGTCAGGAGATCGAGGCCATCCTGGCTAACACAGTGAAACCCCGTCTCTACTAAAAATACAAAAAAAAAAAAAAAAAATTAGCCGGGCGTGGTGGTGGGTGCCTGCAGTCCCAGCTACTAGGGAGGCTGAGGCAGGAGAATGGCGTGAACCCGGGAGGCGGAGGTTGCAGTGAGCCGAGATCACGCCACTGCACTCCAGCCTGGGCGACAGAGTGAGACTCTGTCTCAAAAAAAAAAAAAAAAGAAAGCTTGTTGTCTCTATGGGCAACCAAAAAGCGATCCTTGGAGATCCTCTGAAGAATCACGTAGAATGCACTTCAGAATTGTCCCTTTAAAGGACAGGAAGCTGGGTACTTATCTATTACTGGGTACTCGAAGGAGGTCCCCACTGGTTGACAGTTGCTGCCAGGGTCATTACATTCCCTTTCCTGGGCTAGCTGCACTGAAATCCGAGGTGGGCCAAGAGGAAGAGATGCTAGGAACAATAAAAGCATCTGCCTCATTCTGGCAGCCTCTTGGAAAGTGGATTAGAGAGGGAAAGGTTGGAAGTTGATGATTGTAATTGGAGAGGGAGAGGTTGAAGATAGATTATTGTAATGTCTAGACAATCCAAGATAAAGAACGCAGGAACTGATAGAAGGGCTGTCTTGGAGGCATAGAATTAACAGGACTTGAAGATCAATCTGATATTTGGGGTTTATGGCAGGCAGAATAATGGCTTCCCAAGTGTATTATTCTGTCTTCTGTTACTATAAAGGAATACCTGTTTAGAGGCTGGATAATTTATAAAGAAAAAAGTTTATTCGGCTCATAGTTCTGCAGGCTGCGCAACATGGCACCAGCATCTGCTCAGCTTCTGGTGAGGTCTCAGGAAGCTCTTACTCATGGTAGAAGGCAAACAGAATGGGCATGTCACATGGTGACAGAGGGAGCAAGAGAAATGTCACAGTCTTTTAAACAACCAGCCCTCACGTGAACTAATACAGGGAGAACTCACTCATTACTGTGGGGAGGGCACCAAGCCATTCATGAGGGATCCATCCCAAACACCTCCCACTAGGCCCCACCTCCAACATTGGGGATTGTTGGAGGAATCTTCCACATTTTAATATGAGATTTGGAGGGAACATCCTAACTATATCATCAAGGTCTATATCCTAATTCCAAGAACCTGTGGATATGTTATATTACAGAGCAAGGGGGAATTAAGGTTGCCAGTCAACTCCAGGAGATTTATCCTGGATTATCTGAGGAGATCCAATATACTCACAAGGATTGGCCCTTACAAGTTAAAGAAGGCAGACGGGTCAGAATCAGAGAGAGACTTGAAGATGCTATCCTGCTGGCTTTGAAGATGAAGGAAGGGGCCACAAGCCAAAGAATGCAGGCAGCCTCTAGCAGCTGGAAAAAGCAAGGTAGTAGATTCTCCTCTAGAGCCTCCAGAAGGAACCAGCCCAGTCAATACCTTGATCTGAGCTTAGAGTGAGACCCATGTTAGACTTCTAGCTTCCAGAACTGAAAAATAATAAACCCATGTTGTTTTAAGCCACTAAGTTTGTAATAATTTGTTACAGAAGCTATAGGAAACTAATAAAGGGTCCAAGAAGGATTCTCTAATAACTTTCAATATTTCTAGCTTGGTCCAGAGAGGGAGGAGGAATTCATGGAGAAAGGGAAGAGAAGTAAATTTGGGAGAGCAGCTTCCGAGCTATTTCATCCATGTTCTTTGTGCAACTGGAGGGATTTCCATGTGGAGCTATCCAAATGGAATATGAAGTCAGGGTGTAGGAAAGATTTTGGGGGAAGGGGAGGGCCTCATCAACATGGTGATATTTGAAGCTGGGGAAGCAGATGACATTTCCTGGCAGAGGATGAGGACAGAACCTTGCAGAGATGCCAGAGTGTTGGGGCCAATGGAGAAGCTGCTGCTGCTGGAGGCTCATTCTCTTGATCTCTGTTTCATCTTAATGAGCTTGTTGAGTTCCAGTGTTGGCTCCATGGCCTCCACTCTGTCTTCTCCAGTATCCTCTGACCTTCCCCAGGACCTTGGTTTCTTAGGAGGTAACCTACAGGGCTGCTCTGCTCTGTTGTGCAGGTTGTACACTGCACAGCTCTAAGGGCATCATTCACATAGACTACAATATAAACGTGGTGCCCTCCTAGCATTGTCAGTGCACTACCTTGTGAACAGTACATGACGGCCTGGTTGGTGTGTTTAGAGAGACAGGGAATTGGAATTGGACTCTCCCTTGCCTCTAACTCTGTATCTAGAGTCTTAGCCCTGGCTTGAATCCAGGATGCAAAAGAGGTCTCAGGAGCAAGGCCCAGACAAAGTGGGAGCAGCCCCTGGAAAGATGGGGCTCTGGAGGCTAGGCTCTCAGGTGTCTAGGCCTGGGACCTCCGTCAACCCCCCATTTCTTGGGTGGACAGCTCTTCCCTCTTCCCCCAGCACCCCACCCTGTTGACTGCCTTTTGATTAGAATGTGGACTCTAACTTGGAATTAACCTGATTAATGTAATGAAGGCAGGGCCGGCTCAGCACCGCCTGGTGATGAGGGGAGATGGATTGGGAGCGAAGGCGCTGGGATGGAGGCGCGGCCGTAATTGCTGCGTTTACTGCTACCTGCCTCGCTGACCCTGCTGTTTAGCCCATTAATGATGATGCACAAGCTTCACTTTCCAGAGATAATGACAGAGAATCTTGGGGGAGGGAAACAGAAGTGGGGGTCTGAGGTCTGAGGGAGACATGGATCTGAGGATAGGGCCATGGTGAGGGTGAGGGGTTGAGGGGCCCGGGGCACAGAAGCATATGATGGGACAGGGTGCAACAGTACAAGATGGGGGGCTTGCTCTAGGCTCCTGTCCCCTTAGGATAATTCAGGATAACCACCCACCACTGAGCTTTGGGTAGGGGCTGCAGCAGCTGGCAGGGCTCTCTGTCTGGGCAGGAGGGCAGCACCACAGACTCCCCAATTCAGGAGGGCTTCCTGGAGAAGAATCTTGGAAAGAGGAAAGAAAACCCAGCGGGTGGGCACGAGCTGAGCAATGCTTCTCCTATGCCTTCAGCACCTGCCTGGGACAGGGAGGAGAGCATGTGGGGGTCAAGGCAGAGCCTTGTGGGGCATGGTGTGGGCACACATATATGTACCCATGTACTGAGCCCAAAGAACCTATGCATGTCAATAGGAAGACTTACCACTTCCATTAATTTCTGTTTGATGCCTCAAAGAAGATGAAATTGATGTCCCTAATCTCATCTGCTGCCCCTCTATGTACTTTATCCTTACCTATGTACATCATTCATTCATTCGAGATAGTGGAGAGCTGCCCTAGTTCTACTGCAAACTTTTTGACCCCACAAGGTACACCCCTTCCCCTCTCTGGGCCTCAGTTGGCTGCTCTGTAAATGAAAGAGAGGGACCAGGTGGTCAGCCCTGATATGTGATGATGCAGAGATGCTGCCCGTCTTTCTCGACACCTGCAGCCTGCCTGGTGGCTCTGGGTGGATGGAGGGCCTTCTCAGAGCAGGCCCAAGGACCATGTGTTCCATGCTGTGTTGGATTCCTTCAGAACTGCCCACACCTACATCCTAGCGTTCTGGTAGCCAGTTGGCTTTGTGGACCCACATGAAGCTCCTGGGCATCAGAATTACCTGCTTTTTCTCATACGAGCCACAGCAGCCAGGCCTCCCTCACTGTGCACTAGGGCAATTGATTTGTAAAACAAATTCAGGACTTGACATTTATCCCTTAAATTTCATTATGTTAGTTTTGACCCATTATTCCAAGCTGCCTGTGAGGCCCTAATTTTGTCCTCTGCCATTTAACAAGTTTTACATCTTCTGATGATCTGGCGAGCCTGGAGGTCATTAACAAAAATAGGAACTAGGAACAGCTGAGGGTGGAGTCATGCATCAGAATCCTAGAAATTTCCTTTTGAGCTTACACTCATCTACTTTTTCAATACCTTTCTCCATTTTAACTAGTGGTTCTTGGTGAACCTACATTGGTTACTGCTGTGCATAAATGTTCTCTATTTAGTGCCCTTGCATTGTTAATGATGCATTTTCCAGAATGTAGACTCTATGAGGGCAAGAACCACATTTGCCTGGTTCACCACAGGATCTCCAGTGCCTGGCGATCTCTGTCTGAGATATAGACATAGAAGGTAGAGTACAGGCTGGCACGGTGGCTCACACCTGTAGTCCCAGCACTTTGGGACGCCGAGGCGGGTGGATCACCAGAGGTCAGGAGTTCGAGACCAGCCTGGTCAACATGGCGAAACCTCGTCTCTACTAAAAATACAAAAATTAGCCAGATGTGGTGGTGGGCGCCTGTAATCCCAGCTACTCAGGAGGCTGAGGGAGGAGAATTGCTTGAATCTGGTAGGTGGAGGTTGTGGTGAGCCAAGATTGCACCACTGCACCCCAGCCTGGGCAACAGAGTGAGACTCCTTCTCAAAAAAAAAAAAAAAAAAAAGAAGGTACAGAGTACAGGGTCATTGAGAGAATAATTGGCTCCTCTAGAGAAATGAGGATGGCAGTTGTGTTCTCATGGAGTGACTAGGAATGTCTGTGCGTGTGACAGCCCCAGTGCTTGCCTTCTGTTCTCTCACATCAGGCTTTGACAGGAAGTGATGAAGAGGAGAGGGAGATTTGGTGGAAATTTTTAAGCAAGTACTGAGGTACTTCAAGAGAGAAATGTGGTGTGTGTGTGTGTGTGTGTGTGTGTGAACTTTGGGGTCAGGAAGACCTGGATTTGCATTTTGCTTTAGTTATTTATTAGCTGCATGATTGGAGGTGATTGCTTATCATTTCAGAGCTTCGGGTTTTCATCTGTAAAATGGGGCAAATAATATCTAACCCCCCTCAGTTATAAGGATGAAATATAACTAGATGGACGGCGACTGGATGTGGTGGCTTACGCCTGTAATCCCAGCACTTTGGAAGGCCAAGGCAGGAGGAAGACTTGAGGCCAGGAGTTCAGGACCAGCCTGGGCAACATGACGAGACCCCATTTCTAAAAAAAAAAAAAAAAAAAAACAATAAAATAAAAATTTAAAAATAAAATAAAATAAATGATGGAGGAAGCCCCTAGCACGTGGCTTGGCATTGTGCCTAGGAATGATAGTCTCACCCTCTTTGCCCCCTCCCTCTTCCTTATGTGGACTGAAACTCTCAGGGAGAAAGAGAGGGAGCATGAGGAATGTTATTTGTGCTCCAAAGTATCTCTGTACAATTACGAAGATACTGTAAAGCCAACCTTGACTTTTTATTAAAAGCTGTTTCCTTAGCTGGGTGTGGTTGTGAATGCCTGTTGTCCCAGCCACTCATGAGGTTTAGGTGGAAGGATCACACGAGTCTAGGAGTTTGAGACCAGCCTGGGCAACATAGCAAGATCTTGTCTCTAAAATACATGCATAAATAAATTAAAATGAAAAGTTGTCTCCCCTTATTATATGGGTTATCAATGTTAATTGAGGAAAAGCTAGATTGAGACATGCAAAACACAGCATCGCCTGTAACCCTACTGCCCACACGTGTGTGGATCTCTGTCTACAGGGGGCATGTTGTACTGTTTAGTTTTTAGACACACTGAATTAAAGTTTTCAGGAGAACTTCCAGGTGGAGGTGTCAGCTAGGCAGATGGAAATGTGAGTCTAAACTGTGGGAGAGTGATCTGAGCTAAAGACAACAGCCTGGGCAGTTGTCTGCTTGCATGTAAGTGGGCTGTTGCAGCTGTAGGAAGGAGTCTGGGGCCTGAAGGAGAGGGTTGGGCTGAAGGCTGAGGGCAGAACCCTGGAAAGCACCAGCATTTGAGGGTCAGGTGGAGTTAGAGGAGTCAATGATCAAGACAGAGAATCACCAGCAGAGAGGATGGAAGAAAGTCAGGGGAGAGTGTTGTCAGGAAGCCAAGTGGAGAGAGAGTTTCAAGACAGTGGAGTGGGCAGCTGCGTGACATGCTGCAGGGATGTCACACAGGATGAGGCCCCAGAGAGCCATGAGATGTGCAGCAGGAGGACATAAAGATCTTAGCTAAAGCAGCTTCCCTGGGGTGGTGGAGGCAGAAGCCAGGTGACAACGGGAATGGGGCTAGAGGTGGGAAGGAAAGTAACAAGTGTGGGCTACTCTTCCAGAAAGTGTGGTGAGGAAGGGAAAGGGTCCTATGGGGTCCTGGACTGTGGGGGTCAAGGGATGGTAAGGTGAGCACATGTGCACACTTGGAGGTGTAGAGGTGGGGAAGGGACAGTGGAGAGAGAGAAGAGAATAGTTGAAGCAGAGTCATTATAAAGTATGACTTAATGGTTTATAAAACACCTCTGAGGCTGGGCGCGGTGGCTCAAGTCTGTAATCCCAGCACTTTGGGAGGCCAAGGCGGGTGGATCACCTGAGGTCGGGACAGCCTGACCAACATGGAGAAACCCTGTCTCTACTAAAAATACAAAATTAGCCGGGCGTAGTGGCACATGCCTGTAATCCCAGCTACTTGGGAGACTGAGGCAGGAGAATCTCTTGAATCCAGGAGGCAGAGGTTGTGGTGAGCCGAGATCGCACCATTGCACTCCAGCCTGGACAACAAGAGTGAAACTCCGTCTCAAAAAAAAAAAAAAAAAAAAGAAAGAAAGAAAGAAAGAAAAGTAAAGAAAAGAAAAAAATCTCTATATCTTCCACAAAGTCTGCTGAGGATGTTATCCATTACGTAGGTTCCTCCCTTCCACAAGGAACCACATGAGCGGCGGGATGCACAGTGGTTAGGAGCACAAGCTCTGGAGTTTGCAAACCCTCATTTGAGTCAAGGCTCAGCCATTTACCGACGATGAACTCTTGGGCAACCTCTCCAATCCTTGGTTTCTTCACACGTAAATTGGGAAAATAATACCGAATTTATGTGATTGCCATGCAAATTAGATGGGATGATAGATATTTAACCTGTTATATAGCATCAGGTTTATAGAATTAAAAAGGGAGAAGTTATTACTATTATTACTTCTCATTAAGAGTTCAGTCACAGGAAACAGACACCCATTCTATATTAAGCAGAAAAGAATGTAATACTGGGAACTGAGGGAGTTCTAGGCTGCTTCTCAGCAATGACTCCCAGGACCTTCTATGGTTTGTCTCTGAGGTCTGGCTGAACTCTGTCCACACCCATTCATCCTTCTATATGCTGTCTGCAGAGCTTTGAGGCACTAGGTAAAGACACGGAAGAAATTTGGGTACAATAGGATGTGTCGGAAATGATGTTTCATTTTTTCTGGTTTTGGAGTTCATGCTTCCGGAGGGAAAGGTGAAGAAGGCGTTTGAGCTGTGAGCTTAAAGATGGTTCTGAAGGCCTCAAGTGGTGGCTCACACCTGTAATCCCAGCACTTTGGGTGGCCACACCAGGAGGATCGCTTGAGCCTAGGAGTTTGGGACCAGCTGGGCAACATGGCGAAATCCCATCTCTACACAAAATCTAAAAAATTTGTCAGCTGTGGTTGCGCCTGTAGTCCCAGCTACTTGGGGGGCTGGGGCTGGAGAATCACTTGAGCCCAAGAGATCGAAGCTGCAGTAAGCTGTGACTGCACCACTGCGCTCCAGCCTAAGTGACAGAGCGAGACCCTGTCTCAAAAAAGAAAAAAAAGAGAAAACAAAACAAGAAGATGGTTGTGAAGATTAAAAATGAGGATTTGCTTTAAGTTCTGTGCAGGGGTGATCAGAGAAGTTTTAAGAAGAGATCTGCTGCCTGATTAAAAGAGCTTTAAACTGCAAGTTGATAATGGTATGTCAGGGAAGGAAAAACCAAAAATCTTTAAAATTGGATGCTATGGGGACTGCAGGTGTGATGGCTGCTGTGGTGTCATAAAAGGAGGAAGGCTTTAGGGTCAGGCAGACCTGGGTTTGAATTTAGCTTTATTTACTAGCTGCGTGATTGATTGTCATTTTAGAAACTCAGTGTTTTCATCTGTAAAATGGGTTAGCTTCACCTCACCTTCCTTTGACCTTGTCTCTCCCCAGTCCAGGATCTCATGGTCTCCTTTCCCTTCATCACCCAACTTTCTGGAAGAGTCGATATTATTGGTAAAATTTACTCCTCTCAGTTGTGAGGATTAAATGCAGTGATGGAGATAAAACCCCTGCCCATGGCTTGGCATTGTGCCTACAAATGGCAGCCCCATCCTCTTTTTCTCTCCCCTCCCTCCTCCTTATATTACGGGAGAATGAAATTCTCAGGGAGAAGAGAGAAGCATGTGGAGGAATGTTATTTGTGCTCTAAGATAGCTCTGATTTACCAGAGTCTGGGAAGTCAACCTTGACTTTTTTAAAAAAAAGCTGTTTTCCTTCATTACATGAGTTATGAATGCTAATTGAAGAAGAACTGGAAAATTCAGATGTGCGAAAAAAACATCACCTGTAATTCTTCCACCCATATTACCGCTGTTAATATTTTGGTATGTAGACTTCTGGACTTTATTTTTATGTGTACATAATGAAGGTTTTTTGTTTTTGTTTTTGTTTTTTTACAAAAATGGAATTATAAAATCATATTGCTTTGTAAACTTTATTTTTCACTTAACAAGGTATGGTGGACACTTTTTCATGTCAGTGAATATAGCTCTACAATCCATACCAATATTGTTAATGGCAGCAGAGTAGTCTACTGTAAAAAGGTTCAGATAGGTGTCAAGATGATATGTAATCAGGAATCTGCTGTCAGTGACTTCAGGGGATCCTGGAAATTAGGAGGGGTGCTACGGGGTGGAGTTGGACGAATACTGCCATCATAGCCAGCAAGGAGTAGGCTTTGGATATGGAAATTAAAGAGTGTCCAAATTAATGCTGATTCCTGGCAAAATTCTAGAAATGATTATTATATATGAGGTCTGGCAATGCTTAGCAAGGAGAATGATGTTTGGCAGAAGCCAGCATGAGGTCTCTACAAACACATACCAAAGGACAGCATATCATGCTTCTTTTGTTGATAAGGATACAGAATGAAGAGGTTAGGGGAATGCAGAAGGCACTGTTTTTATACTTACAACAGGGCATAAAGCAGCTTATCATTGTATTCTTGTGTATGTGATGGGAAAATGTGGGCTGCATGATGGCCCTGCTTGGAAGATTCATAGCTGGAGACTCACTCTACCCAAAGAGACGTGATGACAGGTTTTCTGTCTTGCCAGCATGACGTCTCTGAGCCTGTGACTCAGCCCTGGCCACGCGATGTTTCTATCAGTGACTCAAATGAAGATGTAGGTGTCCAGCTCATCACACCTTCAGATGACACAAAGAGGAACAGGCTTACTAATAGATTGGGTGACAGAATTGAGGTTCAAAATGATCTTGGCAGGCTGGAATGATGACCCAACATGAGCAAATGACATTTGGAGAGCATGGATGTAGAGTCCTGCAGGCAGGTTAAAAAGATCAGAAGTGCAAATGTGGGCCCAGGAGTCTCGGCTTAGAAATGAATCACGTGAAAAAGACAAAGTTTATCTGACAGCGAATTCATTGTGAGTCAATTGTGTGGCACTACCAGGAGCCTGTTGACTCCCAGGCTGCCTCGGTAGATGCAGGAAGCCTGGAAGAAGAAAGGTCAGTGTTCCCACCGGGCCCCATAGTTTGCTAGGTTCAGGCCTGGGGACCCCTAAGAACAAAGTCCAGAGGAGGACAATCCCTATGGTGAAGGATCTAAACACAAAGTCTTGTTTTTTGTTTTGTTTTGTTTTGTTTTGTTTTGTTTTGTTTTTGAGACGGAGTCTCACTCTGTTGCCCAGGCTGGAGAGCAGTGGCACGATCTTGGCTCACTGCAACCTCTGCCTTCCAGGTTCAAGTGATTCTCCTGCCTCAGCCTCCTGAGTAGCTGGGACTACAGGTGTGTGCCACAACGTCCAGCTAATTTTTGTATTTTTAGTAGAGGAGGGTTTCACCATATTGGTCAGGCTGGTCTGAACTCTTGACCTCGTGATCCGCCCACCTTGGCCATCAAACCTGGCTAATTTTTGTATTTTTAGTAGAGATGGGGTTTTGCCATGTTGGCCAGGCTGGTCTCAAACTCCTGACCTCAAGTGATCCACTCACCTTGGCCTCCCAAAGTGCTGGGATTACAGACGTGCACCACTGCGTCCAGCCCTAAACACAAGCCTTAAAGTAGGGTGGTCATTCAAGTTATTACCTAAACTGGGACAGATTGGGAGTGAAAGTGTTATTAATAACGAGAATGCATCATTCTACCTTGGAGGCATCTTTGGGACTGGGACTTTATATACTGGAGAAGAAATAACCAAAGAGTTATTATGTATTATATATGAGTCAGGAAACTTGTTTTTATAGTCCATTATCTTTTAAAAAATTATTATTTACAGGTCAAGACTGGAGGATCACTTGAAGAGAGGAGTTCAATACCAACCTGGGCAACATAGTGAGACCCCCATCTCTAAAAAAAAAAAAAAATTAAAATTGGCCAGGCATGGTGGCCCCTGCCTGTAGTCCCAGCTACTTGGGAGACTAAAGTGGGAGAATCCCTTAAACACAGGAGTTTGAGGTTACAGTGAATCTTGGGCAACAGACGGAGACCCTGTCTCTAAAACAAACACATAAATAAATATTTAAAAAGGAATATCTGCTCACTGAAAAAAATTCAAATGATAAACAGCTCTCTTCTATCAAATAAGAATAAAACTAGCACACACTTCATCGATTTGCTATGAGGATTAAATGAGTGTAAAGTGTTTAGAGCAGCGCATGGCATAAGTTTGTAAGATAAAAATAAAAATAAAACTGTTTAAAAAGGAAAAAAGCTCTTTTCCTCACCTCTCCCATCTCTATATCAGTCATATGTTTCAGAGGTAGCCATATTATTAATTTATTGTGTATATTTCTAAAATTTTAAAAAATTTTCTAAAAAATTTAAAGTAATGTACTTACATGAAGCAAGTGTGGCAAAATTTTGATAAATTGCTAATTCTGAGGGATTAGAATATGAGAGTTCATTGTACTATTTTCTCACTTTTGTGTATGTTTGAATTTTTCATTAAAAGTTAAATATAGGCCAGGCGTGGTGGCTCATGCCTGTAATCCCAGCACTTTGGGAGGCCGAGGTCAGATCACCTGAGGTCAGGAGTTTGAGACCAGCCTGGCTAACATGGCGAAACCCTGTCTCTACTAAAAATACAAAAAAAATTAGCCAGGCATTGTGGCGGGCTCCTGTACCCAGCTACTCAGGAGGCTGAGGCAGGAGAATCTCTTGAACCTGGAAGGTGGGTTGCAGTGAGCCAAGATGGCAGCACTGCACTCCAGCCTGGATAACAGAGTGAAACTCTGTCTCCAAAAAAAATATATAAAAAATAAAAATAAAATAAAAATAAATAAATAAAAGTTAAATATAGTTGGCTGCGAGTGGTAGCTCACACCTGTAATCCCAGTACTTTGGGAGGCTGAGGCGGGAGGATGGGTTGAGCCCAAGAGTTTGAGACCAGCCTGGGCAATATAGCAAGACCTCATCTCTACAAAAAATCAAAAACTTAGCCAGGCGTGGTGGTGTGTCGCTGTAGTCCCAGCTACTTGGGAGGATGAGGCAAGAAGAACACTTGAACCCATGAGGTTAAGGCTTCAGTGAGCCATGATTGTGACCCTGCCTCAAAAAAAAAAAAGTTATATACAGTTGACCATTGAACACTGCAGGGGCTGGAGTGCGGACCCATGATGTAGTTGAAAATCCATGTGTAACTTTTCAAATGGCCAAAAAACATGAAAAAAATGCTCAACATCACTAATGATCAAGGAAATGCAAATCAAAACCACTATATGATACCACCTTACTTCCACAAGAATGGCCATAATAAAAAAAATTTAAAAAATAGATGTTGGCATGGATAAGGTGAAAAGGGAACACTTCTACACTGTTGGTGGGAACGTAAACTAGTACAACCACTATGGAAAACAGTGTGGAGATTCCTTAAAGAACTAAAAGTAGAACTACCATTTGACTCAGAAATCCCACAACTGGGTATCTACCCAGAGGAAAAGAAGTCATTGTTGAAAAAGGTACTTGCACACACATGTTTATAGCAGCACAATTCACAATTGCAAAAATGTGGAACCAACTCAAATGCCCACCAATCAACGAATGGATAAAGAAACTGTGGTACATATATGACGGAATACTGCTCAGCCATAAAAAGAAATGAATTAACAGCATTTGCAGCAACCTGGATGGGATTGGAGACTATTATTCTAAGTGAGTAACTCAGGAATGGAAAACCAAACGTTGTATGTTCTCACTCATAGGTGGGAGCTAAGCTATGAGGATGCAAACGCATAAGAATTATACAGTGGACTTTGGGGACTCAGGGGCAAAGGGTGAGAAGGGGTGAGGGGTAAAAGACTACACATTGGGTTCAGTGTACACTGCTCGAGTGATGGGTGCACCAAAATCTCACAAATCACCACTAAAGAAACTTACTCATGTAACCAAATAGCACCTGTTCCCCCAAAATCTATGGACATAAATAATTAAAAAAAAAAATCTATGTATAACTTTTGACTCTCCCAAAACTTAACTACGAATAGCCTACTGTTGCCCAGAAGGCTTACCAATAACAAACTGTCGATTAACACATATTCTGTGTGTTATATGTATTATATACTGTATTCTTACAATAAAGTAAGCTAGAAAAAAGAAAATGCTATTAAGAAAATCATGAGGAAGAGAAAATATACTTACTATTCAATAAGTGGAAGTGGACCGTCATAAAAGTCTTCATCCTCGTTGCCTTCACACTGAGTAGGCTGAGGAGAAGGAGGGAGGAAAGGGGTTGGTCTTGCTGTCTCGGGGTGGCAGAGGTCAAAGATGTGGAGGACGCAGAACAGGAGGCAGGAAAGGCAAGCACATTCAGTGTAACTTTTTTGGAAAAATTCTGCATATAAATGGATCCATGCAGTTCAAACCTATGTTGTTCAAGGGTCAACTGTATTTACATAGCTCAAAAAGCAACCAAATACAAGGTTATAGTTGTCTTCTATTAAGTCCCTATAGGCAACCTTTTTGAAAATGATTAGTTACATCTTCTGATATGTACTTCCCTACTTCTGTGGCCATATCATGCTTATATTGCTATTTTTGACTTTTCACTTTATCTCTAATATTATAGATATCATATGTATTATGTGTACATATATCTATAAATATTCAGGAATTTTAACAATTATTATTCTCTGAATATACCTTAAAAACACACCCTGGCCAGGTGAGGTTGCTCACACCTGTAATCCCAGCACTCTGGGAGGCCGAGGCAGGTGGATCACGAGGTAAGGAGATTGAGACCAGCCTGGCCAACACGGTGAAACCCCGTCTCTACTAAAAACACAAAAAATTAGCCGGGCATGGTGGCACGCGCCTGTAGTCCCAGCTACTCGGGAGGCTGAGGCAGGAGAATTGCTTAAACCCGGGAGGCAGAGGCTGCAGTGAGTTGAGATCACACTACTGCACTCCAGCCCGGGCAACAGAGCGAGACTCTGTCTCAGAAAAAAACAAAACAAAACAAACCACACCCTGTCTTTTTTTCATGGATGTGTTTCTTATACCTCTCTGAGGTTATTAATTGCAGGTTTGTTTGTTTTTTTAAGCTTTCTTCTCTTCTCTGAATATTCTTTGATACTTTCAAGTTCTTTTTTTTTCTTGAGATGGAGTTTCTGTCATCCAGGCTGTAGTGCAGTGGTGCAATCTCGGCTCACGGCAACCTCCACCTCCTGAGTTCAAGTGATTCTCATGCCTCAGCCTCCTGAGTAGCTGGGATTACAGGCATGTATCACCATGCCCAGCTATTAACTAATTATTATAGAAGATGAGGATTGGGATCTCTTATGTCACCACCTATAATCATTTTGTCTTTGGCCCAATATATTTATATCACAATTTGGGGTAAAAATCAATCAATATATCACATTTATGTATATAAGTGTGTAAATTTTTTTTTGAGATGGAGTCTTGCTCTGTTACCCAGGCTGGAGTGCAGTAGCTCAATCTCAGCTCAATGCAAGCTCCGCCTCCTGGGTTCAAGCAATTCTTCTGCCTCAGCCTCCTGAGTAGCTGGAATTACAGTCACCTGCCACCACGCCTGGCTAATTTTTGTATTTTTAGTAGAGACGGAGTTTCACCAAGATGGCCAGGCTGGTCTCGAACTCCTGACCTCAGGTCATCCACCCACCTTGGCCTCCCAAAGTGCTGGGATTAGGGGCGTGAGCCACTGTGCCCGGCCTGGTCTTTATCTTTTATGTTAGAAACTTGTCCTAAATCATTAGCATCTTTTCCTGTCCATCAATACACAAAGGTAGGGCACTAAATGACCGCTTGAAAGCTCTGTGCTAATTTTAGGACCTGTTGATTAGTGGACATCACTGAAGAATGATCAGTTGGAGACCCGGATGTTTTGTGGGGGGACTCTGATTGTCAGTATTTAGAGGTCTTTTTTGGGGGGCTGGTCAGTTTGTTCAGTTTCCAGCTTGGAGGGCTGAACAATGGAAGACAGCTGCCAGCTTTCTGAAGTTCAAGATGGGGGAGATAGCTACTCCCCAAATTTAACCAGCTCATTTCAATATAACATGGGTTAAACATTGAAAACTTCAAACATATATAAAAGTAGAGAGGAGTATAATGAACCCAGCTCCAACGGTTATCAATTTATGGCCAGTCTTATTCTATATATTCCTCAGCCAACTCTACCCCCTAGATTATTTGATAGCAAATCCAAGATATCACATCATTTAATTTATAAATATTTCAGTTTATATTTTTAAAGTAAATGACTTTAAAATAACCATAATATCACTAGCACATCTAAAAACTTAATAGTGTCCAGTTAATGCAGTGCTTACATGTCCCTGATTGCCTCATAACATCTTCTACTCTTCTTTCTCTTCCTCCTCTTCCTGCTCCTTCTCCTCCTTTTAATTACTTGCAAGATTCAAATATAATGCAATTAGTTGATATATCTCTCAAGTCTGTTTTAGTCTATCCATTTTTTTCTCTCTTTCAATTTTTTAATTGAGGAAGCCAGGATATTTACCCATAACCTGGAGTTTTTGGATTGCATCCTTGAGGTTCCTCTGCTCACAGTATTTTCTGCAAGATAGTAGTTACATCTATAGGCTTGATTAGATTTAGATTAGATTTTTTTTGAAATATCACTTTATTTATTTATTTATTTATTTATTTATTTATTTATTTATTTAAGATAGAGTCTCTCCCTGTTGCCCAGGCTGGAGTACAGTGGCGTGATCTTGGCTCACTGCAACCTCGGCCTCCTGGATTCAACCCAAGGTATATATAGCTCATATAAGAAAGGCAGTAGAAATGCTTGGTTTTTTTTTTCGATCAGTTTACCAAATTATGAGTTGGCTCTCTACCATCCTTCAAAGAAGATTAGTAAGGTTTTTCTTTTAAGTATAATGATTATTCATGGATTTAAATTTATTAGATGAGTTTCAATCAATTGCAGTTATTATAAACACTGATGCTCAATTGTATCATCTTTGGCAAATGGGAGCCTGTAATTAGTGCACAAGTCCTTTTGAAATGACCCTAGTAGTCTTTCATAGCTTCCTCGCTTTCTGGTATAAGATTTCCAGAATGATCTTGTACATGTCCTGTTTCAGATCTGAAATTTTTCATTTCCCCCAAAGAGCCCTGGTTCTTTTTAATGCAAAATGGTATTTAAAGACCACAGTCTGGAGACTAGAGGTGCTTATTGCTACTGAGTTGGTTGGTTTCTTGTCTTTTTCAATGCATAAAGCCATGAAATACATTTTTTAAAGATAAAATACATCAACAGTTATTACTGATACTTCCAAATCAAATGCAAGACTATGGGGATTTTACTAATCACCACTGATCTTCCATCTGTTTTTGTTTGTTTATTTCTCCCTTACCAAAAAACTCTAAGAACATCAATCTCATTACTTATTGGCTTTATTAGTGTATATCCCACTAGGGATGTATGTAGAGTCAATTACTGGATTTTAAATTACTTGAAATAGTTTATCTATGTGATTATAATACCAACTTAGTAGATAAGTTCATTTGTTTCATTTTGCTTTTGATTTTTTATGGATTACTTATTTACATACTTGATTTTATTGTGTTATTATATAAAGTATCTATATGGTTTTAATCTATTTTTAAAAATCTATTGAAAATTTATACTCAGTGATGTCTACCTTCTACCCCATCCTCTTCACTTTGTTTCCTCCTTTCTCCAATAATTATTTTTAAAATATTTTGTTTATCTTTTCATTTCAAGAAATGTAAGCAAATAAGAATATATATTCATATCCATCCTTTCTTTCTTAAACACTTGCCCATTACACACATTTTAATCCACCTTAATATTGACCTTTTAAAAAATGTATGTCTAGGAATATGTCACTTGTTTATCCTTTGGCTCAACCTGCTCCCTGGTTTTTTTCTCACTGGTTTGTCACACACTTCTAAAAGCAGATACCCAATGACAAGAGCAAGAATGTGCTTTAAAGGCAGATGTGGATCTGAGTCTGAATTCCAGCTCTGCCCTTTACTTGCTATGTGACTTTAGACAAATATGTTTAATCTCTCTGGGTCTCATTGTCTTCATCTGTAAAACGAATAAGATAAAACCTTCTTCCTTGGGTTATGGTGAATAATCTGCAGAAGAACAGTGCCCAGCACATAGTAAAGATCAGATATGTGAGTTGTTTTCAATTGTGTTACTCTGGGTTTTCTTTTATATTCTTGTCAATGTGATGATTCCAAGAATCTTACAAGTACTGAATATGATTTGCCCTATTTCAGCTCCTGAAGGAGCAGACACCTCTCAGGCTAAGTGAACAGTCAAGAGCACTGAAAGGGGTCAGGGCTGCTCAGATAGTATCCACAGTTGGGGGCTGGCTTGCTTTGATCCTGGCCAGCCTAACAGAGCTATGTCCTGTTCTGCAAAGCCACCACCACTTCTTGCCTTCCTTCTTTTCTTTTCCCCTTCCCTTCCCTTTCCTTTCCTTTCTCCTTCCTTCCTTCCCTTCCTCCCTCCCTCCCTCCCTCCCTCCCTCCCTTCCTTCCTTCCTTCCTTCCTTCCTTCCTTCCTTTTTTTTTGTTTTTAGAGTCTCACTCACTCTGTCACCTAGGCTAGAGTGCAATGGCACGAACTCGGCTTACTGTAACCTCCGCCTCCTGAGTTAAGTGATTCTAGTGCCTCAGCCTCCTGAGTAGCTGGGATTACAGGCGTGCACCACCACACCTGGCTAATTTTTGTATTTTTTAGTAGAGACAGGATTTCACCATGTTTGGCCAGGCTGATCTTGAACTCCT
Organism: Homo sapiens; assembly: GCF_000001405.40. Classification (NCBI taxonomy): domain Eukaryota; kingdom Metazoa; phylum Chordata; class Mammalia; order Primates; family Hominidae; genus Homo; species Homo sapiens. The sequence goes on along the minus strand of NC_000010.11, from coordinate 100,839,576 downwards.
GATCTCAAGTGATCCACCTGCCTCAGCCTTCCAAAGTACTGGGGTTACAGGCGTCAGCCACTGTGCCCAGCCCCCAGTTTTCTTTCTCGGCTGAGCTCTTTCCTATCCCAGGCTGCAACATCCTTCCAGAAGCTTCTTCCAGCCTCTGCAGCATCCTGAGGAAGCTTCCTTTTAAACTTGGAAAGGGCTTTCTTACTCTATTCTCAGAGCCCTGGGGCTTAGGTTAAGAGCTCCATCCTCTTCCCTTCCACTGCCTTTGAGGTTTTATGATCATGTGACATCATTACCACACTCTGCCATCATGTGATTGCATCATTATATCGGTAACCATTACTAAGTTAACACAATTACACTGTCAGATTGTCATATCAAGTTGCTGGGTTGTGTGCCTTGTTACAGTCATTTCAACACTACAATATCACTGATTACATGGTTACCTCATTATAGCCCAGTACTGTTAACCTATAGTGCACCGACCCATCATTTCCTGGCTGACAGTAGCAAATTGCCATATGGTTATACTGTTTTTGGATTACATCGTTACAGCCCTACACTACACTATCACTTGTATCTTGGCAGTGATACATCATCTTTACTGTGCTATGGTATTATAGGATTATTTTGGGTTAATACTATACTGTTACTTTGTTACAGAATTAAATTGGCCCATCCAAACTGCAATGCAAAACTGGAGACTAGGAGAGTGGGGCAGGAGGGTATATCTCCCCATTCTACATCCAGAGGCCAATTTACTCCCCTGAGCTACTTCCCTGTAATTCTGTCTATTGGCCATCATGCCCTGGCATGTCAAACTCAGGCACAAATACTCAATATGCAAAGGCATGTCATGATCTCTAGCCCCAAGTTAGCGTCTCTTCTTACCTCTGCTGGTGGCCCATCAGCTGCCAGGCTCTTGGAACACCCTTGGAGGCAATCATCTTTGCCCTATCTCTCCTCCTCACCTTCATAACCAATTGGCAGCCAAGTCCAGATATGCTACCTCAGTGAGGCTACCACCAGGCCTTCTTGGGCCAGACACTTGGAGATGGAGCCCACCCAGCTTACCTGTCCCCCTCTGTCCCTCAGGGAGACTTCCTTATCACAGATCTTCCTTCCACAGGTCAACCTGCATCTCTCTCTCTCTCTCACTCTCACTCCATTTCATCCCCCATCTCATCATTGCACTAGCCTTCTAATAGTCTCCCTGCCTCAAACTTTCCCTTCAACCACCTTGTCTGGCAGCTAGAATTAACTTGTAAATAAAACTTTGCATCAGGTCACCTTAGAAGTAGTCAGTGCCCTCCCCCCAGTTAAGGATAGGAAAATGGTCAAACAGTCTGGCATTGATTGCCCTTCACAAACTGGTCTCCCTGGCCCTCATCTCTCTCATCCAGTCAGTACCCAAGTCTTGTCAGTTCAACCTCCAGCAAATATATGAGTATCAGTTTTGGAAAGTTCCCTTTCCAACTATTACCCAATATTTCCAACTATTACTTCTCCCTTGAACAACCCCATGCTTCAGCCAGCCCATGTTTGCACAGAGCCTGCTTCTTTCAGACCCCACTTCCCTACTCTTCTGGGAAGTCCTCCTAACCATTCTCTCTGCCATTCTACTCTGCAGCCCTCAGCAGCCTCTCCCTCGTCTGAGCCCACAAGGCACAGCTGATTTGGGTCAGTTTGATGGGCTCACAAATATTCTCTGAGGGTTTCTCAGCCTCTAGCCAACCCAGCTTGTCTTGGGCTATCAAGAGAGTTCTGACACTGGGGAACTTGGCCTCAGACAAGGGGGAGAGCCAAGACAGGGCTAGGCAATTCTTCATTCAGTACATTTATTCTGGTATCCATTAAATGCCAGGCTCTGAGAAAAAAGACATTGACTCCACTCTTGTGAAACTTAACATTTTTGTGGAAAGACAGATAATGCACAAGTACTTGCCAGATGACATGTTGATGAATGAAAAAATTTGAGGAGCTGTAAAAGCATATCAAGCAGTCAGGGAGGGCTTCCTGGTGGAGGTGACATTTAATCTGCGATCTTAAGGATCATCAGGAGTTAGTCAAGTGAACGTGGGGATTGCAGGGTAGGAGTACTTCATGCTGAGAGAACAGCCTGTGCAAAGGTCAGAAGGGAGGGGCAGTGGGGCTGGAGCAGAGAGCAAAGGAGCATGCTGGAGGCAAGGCCAGGGCACAGGCTGAAGCTTCGTGGCTTGTAAGTCAAGGGTTTGAACTTGATCTCTTGCAGGCCCATGATGATCCCCAGAAGAGTGTTAAGCTGGATGTTAGTATCAGGGAGGGAGGCAGTGCAGCAGGATGTTATTTGCATTAAAAAAAAAATAACATTAGCCACAAGCAAGAGCCTGAATCAGGAGAGCAGGCAGAGCAGATGATGGCTCAGCCTTGACTGGTGGCAGAGAGCTAGAAGCAAGTGGACCAGATGTGATGTATTTACAGGAGGCTGAACTCTCAGGATTTGGATTTTGATTGGATGGGAGAGATGAGGGAGTGGGAGGAGTCAAGGATAATGATGGGATTCTGGCTTGAGCCATGGAGTGGATGATGGTGCTGTTCTCTCAGATTAGGATCAATGGATGGGACAAAATTGTGCCTTGGGTTCTGCACACATGTTCACCTAGGATGTTTGAGAATAATGACAGGGGAGTGTGGGGAGTTTGGGCCTCACCCAGTCAAGGGGTTGAAGAAGTCTTCCTGGTTGGACTAGCTGATGGCAAGGCCATGACTAAATGTGGCTGAGGGGCCAAGATAGGAGGTTGGGCCTACGACTGGGATCTGGGGGGACCTGAAAGTCAGAGGAGCAGGAGGCCTGGAGGCTTGGAAGGGGACCCAGGGTGGCCCAAGGCTTGGGTGACTCCAGCATTGGTTGGTGACAGACGGCTAGGTTGGGCTGGGCTGCCCTCTCCTCCTCCGATAATTAATCCCGCACGGGGGCCGCGGGCGATGACAGGGCTGTCTAGCGTGCACTTAAGCATTAAATGACCAATTTCTGTCAGACTAACTTCCCCAACCTCCCCATCCCCTCCCCTGCTGCCCACCCCCTGCCTGTACCCCCTCCTCCGCCCCCTGCACTCTGAGTTTTTCAGCAACTGATGGCTCCTGGTTCATTTCTGTGGAATTAATTGGTCCCTGAATGAATTCTGTTGACAGGGCAATTTATCATGTGTTTGGGCTGACAGTGCGGGTGTTGGGGGTAGGGGGTGGGGATATGGACTAGGGGGGACGGGATGAGGGGGAGGAGGGGGTTTGAGTTGGGGTGAATATTGACCCTAGATGGTACCAATGCAAGGGCTTGGGGTACCATAGAACACCCCAATTGTGGCTTCATCCTTGGCTACACATCCTGACCTCACAAGTTTAAGAGAAAACCCCAAATTGGAGAGGAGCCCCCAAACTTTGTCCGGTCTCTCTAACTCTTCAATCAACCCAAATGGGGATATGGTCACTGGGGAAATGCAGCACCACCCTACATTAACACTCATAAGGCTGGAATGGGGCCTGGGGTTCTGGGTGAGAATAAGGGAGAGTATGTGTGTGTGTGCGCATGCGTGTGTGATGAGGACGCTCATGCACTCAGAGTGAAGAACTGATTAGTCTGCGGGGTAAAGGGGCTGGTCCCCAGGGAGTTGGGCGCTCAGCCGGCCTGGCTAACAGGGGCCTAAGGGACTGGCTAATTAGGGTATTGGAATGGTTTGGTCATGCAGAGGTGTGGGGGGAGGCTGGAAATGTTCTGGGCCCCAAAGAGCAGCTTCCTTTGTCTCCCTCCCCTAGTGCCCTACCCTGCACCCTCAGGGGTCCCCTTAGATCACCATTCATCTGCCTCAATGCTTACAGAGACCCACCCCAGAGACCTCTGGGCAGAGAGTGGGAAGAGAGATAGGAAAAGGCAGTCCTAACTCTCAGATGGGGAAGGTGGCAGCAATAAATAAATCCATGCCTCCTCCTTCTGTAGATTAAAGAGCTTTCCCCCATCCCCTTCCCCATCTGAGTGCACCCACCTCACCTCTACAGAGCTTACTCGAACTCCTTCTGGCCACAGAGATTGCCTGAGCACCTACAGTCTAGAACTATGGAAGCCTAGAATGTCCAAGTGGGAAGGAGCCCTAGTGGTCATCTGGTTTTACACACAAGGAAACTGAGGCACAGAGAGAGTGAGGTCTGTTGAAGGTCACATAGTGACCTTGTGAGCCAGCCTTGTGACTCTCTTGTGGGTCCCTTTTGCCTTCAGTGTGGAGATGCCTCCGTACACACATGGTTTTTCTTCTGCCTCTAGGTTGCATGGTGGGAATTCTTTGGGGTGCAGGTGGTGGCTTTCTCACATAAGGCAGCTGAGGCTACACCTGGGCACTTGAGGATGAACAGTCACAGAGATCAGACTGTGAGCATGGGCTCAAGGTTCTGCCGGGGTCCAGTCAGCTAGGGAGGCCCCTTGGAGAAGGGAGATGTGGATGGAGTTTGGGAGTGGGGGCAGTGTAATCTTGGGGGCCTGGCTTCTGTGTCTTGAAGGATGGAGCCCAGGACCTCCCCACAGTGTGAGCTCTCCCTGCTGCTGTTGGCCATGTGCTCCTGCTGCCCTCACAACTTCCTTCTGAATCCCCAGAAGAGATTCTTCCAAAATTCTCTACCCGCTCAAGGCAGGATCCAGTCCTGCTCCCCTCACTCTCAGCAGACAGCAGCTGTGGCTCCTACAATCTTTCTGAGCAAATCTAGTGGACCCTGTCCCTTCAAGACCTTCCTCTCCCAAGCAGAATTTTCTGGTTCCTCTCCACCCCTCCCCACATGCCTCCACCCCATTCTTTCAGGCCCCTCATGTCCATCATGAGCAGCTTCTCTTCACATCCCTGCCTTCCACCCTCTGCCTCAACCACAGGCTTGTCCACACAGCCCTCGGCCAAAAAGAACCTTCTCTTGAGCTCACAGACCATACAATCCCCAGGCCCCTCTCCTGTTCTCCTCCTTTCCAAATATTTGAAAAGAATCAGTTACACTCTGCCCCTTTCTACATCCTTACATTTTAGCCACCCCCCACTTCCATCTGCAGAAAACACTAGCTTGGAGGTCACCAGGTATCTGCTATTCTCCAAATCAAATGGCCTTTCCCTCAGTCATAATAGAACATCAAGAAAAGCCAAATTTGGCTTATTCATTATGCTTATATGTGTCAAGGACCTGGTTGTCTCTTTACATTTCTTAATTGAAATTTTATTTTTCATTAAAGTCAAAATTAGGTTTTAAAAAATTATAGTCACAGAAATGACTATACTTGCCCTGTCCCCGTCCACATAGTTCCCAGCTCAGAGACACCATTTTATCTTTCTGTTTATGTGTATATAAGCAAATGTGAGAAAGATTCTTATTTTCTCTTTCTCATGCAGCAGGTCTTCTGATCTGCACTTGTCTTTCTTTTTTACCTAAAAATAAAACTGTGTCATGCTTCCTTGTCAGTTTCCTTCAGGAGCTAATCTAATCATTAGCATAGCTTCCCATCATCTCTTGCCTCAACCATGGTAGTGGTCTCTTACAGTTCTCCCTGCACCCACTGTCTCTCCTTGTATTCCACTTCTTCATTATGCATAGAGCACTCTTCCAAAAATGTGACTTATTAAGCTATTCTCTCTGCTCAAAAACTTTCCATAGCTCTCGTTGCCTCTAGGGGAAAAAAATAAAAAATCCAAAGCTCTTAACAGAGCATGTGTGTCTTCCAGAACTGCTTAAATCAGAACTTTTTTGGTTGCAAATGACAGACCCAACAAATTTGTTTAAGCCAAGAAAGAAGAAGGTATTGAATTTTGATCCTGGAAATCCAAAAATGGGGCTTGCTTCGGGCCTAGCTGGCTCCAGAGGTTTGAATGATAGTACCAGAGTTGGTGTTTTTTTTTGTTTTGTTTTGTTTTTTGTTTTTTTCCTCTACCTCTCAGCTCTGCTGGTCTCTGTTTGACTCTGAGCATGACTTCACCCTTGGGCAGACATTCTCCACGTGGAGTCTCAAGCCCTCATCATTGCAGCTCACAGGCCAAAAACCCCTCCTCTCTTCCAGGACTCCATAACAACGCTCCTGAGAGAACTCCCATTGTTTCTAACTTTTTATCTCTGTGCTGTGGCCAGGGACATGGGGTCCTCATTGGCCAGAGGAGCGTCACAAGACCAAATATGTGGTAGGAGCTGATGGGGCACTGTGATTGACAGTCCCACGAGAACTACACAGGATGGTAGAGGGGCAGCTTCCCAATGGAAGGAGGGATGCACTCTCGATGCCCCCCACGGGGACTGTGAGAGGTGCTTTGAGTTGTAAGGAACAGAGAGTCACCCCAAGGAATGGTGGGAGTTATTTGAGGTGTTCAGTGCAGTTTGAGTCTCAATCCTCTGTGCTGCAGGAGAGGCAGGAACATGTGCCCTCTCAGTCCTCCTCATTAGCGACTCAGCTACTCTCTCTGTGGGTCATCCTCCTCTTCACATGATTGAGGGCTCCTACCATCAGGCTCAGAGAGCACGGTGAGCCTAGGGAGGTGATGGGAGGTGGGTTAAGATGGTGGTGGCGATGGGGAGGGATTTTGACTTTGACGCTGAGAGAGATGGGGAGCCACCGAAGGTTTCTGGGCAGAGGAGGGACATGAATTGCCATACATTTTGGGGGACCATTCTGGCTGCTGGAGGGAGGCAAAGATGGAAGCAGGAAGGCCAATTAGAACTTTCTGTTTGCAAGCTCAGGTGAAGGACCACAGTGGCTTGATCCTGGATAGTCCAGTACAGGTAGTTGGAAGAGGTCATGCTCTGGATAGATTTTAAAGGTAGAATTGTCTGGTTTTGCTGATGAATCAAACGTGGGATGCAAAAGACAGGAGGAGTCAGGGAAGATGTGGGTTTTTGGGCTTGAGTGATACAAATGGAGCTATCCTTTACTGAGGTGAGGAGGACTAGGGGATGCCCTCAGGGCCTCCTTTGGGCTTTTCTTTTCGTGGTTAATGGCCTCTTTCTTTCCATACTTCCTAGTTTTGTTTTCCGAAAGAGGAGGATTGATTGGTTCAGCGTGGACTTGTGTTCCAGTCCAATTCTGTACCAGTAACAGAGTCACTGGTACAAATACATTGTCTACATGGGCAGGAAGTAGCTGTGGGTAGGGCAGCTTCCTTAAAGGAGCTGTGTGTGTGACAGGTACAATTTGGAATGCCCATGACAGTGTTCTAATTACATTTGTAGCTTCATCTCCTGCCACCTCCCTCCACAACCCCCCCCCCTCCCCTGGCACCTGATACTCCAGCCACATTGATTGTATCTGGTGTATTTTCATGACTTCCTGTCTTTGCTCCTGCTCTTCCCTCAACCCAGGACACTTCTGTTCATCTGTTTCTAACTGTCATACTTGGTGTGCCTCAGCTGGGAACTCTGTAGAGGTAGGATGGGGACAGAGCCAGCAGAGTCAAAATGACTTCTGGAGAAAACAAACTGAAGCAGGAGAACAGGCCTTCTTTGTTTCTGGGGTGGGTGAGTGGGGTTGCAACTGGCCAAGGATGATAGATCATGTTTTCGGGCCCTCAGGCTGATTCCAAGCTGAAATCAGTATTCTAGGAGGGACACCATATGAAGCTTCTGGGCAGAGGTGCTTACTGTAAACAGTGGAATGTTTGCTGTCCATCCAGTTCAGTCTGAGAGAGACCAGAAATAGAACAGAAGAGGTTCCAGTGAGACCCACATAAGAGGCCATGGCTCCCAAATTGATGGAGTGGGCAGGGCAAGGCTCCCTGTCTGGGGTGGACCTGGAGGCAAAGCCAGGCACTGGGGGTCTGGTACCCACTATATATGATGAGGGCAGTGTTCACTGGGCTGCCCTGGCCCAAGCCAGTGCCCTGGCAACTTCCAGAAACGTACTTGCTGGGCACCAGGCAATAGTCAGGAGTTCTGCCATGCTGGGTTTTCATGGGTTATGACCAGGATCTCCAAAGTGGGGTGCACGTCTTCCAGGGAGTGCAAGATAATCCATTTGGGTGTGAGAACATTAGAACTTCTATTTTCACATATTCCAAACTCGTTCTTTTAATATTTTATCTTTTACACGATTCATAATATGTTAGCCCAGTAGTATATTTATGGAATTTGTAAATCAGTAAATATACTTATATTGGGAGTACACATTCAGAATTCTTTTGGCTGAGAGGGTGTATGATCAAAGAAGTTTGAAGGCCACTCTTCTAGGAGGCTGGCGGTCAAGACAGCCAACACCAGGCAGGGTGAAGGGTGCAACTGCCATTTGCTGAGATGAAGAATCGGGAGACACAGGTGCAGAGGGAGGGGGAAAGGAATGGACTTTATTGAAGGTTTGCTGATTTGTTGGGGTCCTGTACATCCCCTAGAGGGTGCCGTGATATGGGTGAGCCTGGGCAGATTGACTTGAAAGAAAGGTCTCTGGGATTCTGATGGGAAGGAGGTGTCTAGGAGACACTGTCCCAAGCCAAAGGGGAAGGTCACTTCTTAGTCTGCCCCAATGTCCTGCTTGCATCCCTGGCAGCTCAGAGATTCAAGAGCCTTTCAAGTGGGAGGAAGCTGTGGTAGAAGCTGGGCTGGGAAGGTGTCCCAGGGGCACAGAAGGAAAGTTTCCAGGTGGAAGCTGGGCCCTTTGTGTTGACAAGAGTGTGGGAGGACCAGAGCTGGGAAGCTGCTGAAGGGATGGAAAGGCGATCCTCCCAAGTATCTCTGATGCAGCAGAACAATCCTGGACAGTCACCACATCCCCCTTCCCCCTGCAACCTCTCCTAAACAGAGAACAGAGAGGTGGAGACATACAGATCTTTCACTGGACACCTGGACACAAGAACAGCAAGGATGGCTAAAAAAACAATTCTCCTACTACCACACCCCCAGACCCATCCAGGGACATACAGACGAACACATAGATGAACAGAAAGCCATACCTATGCAGGAACCCGCCGACCGCCCCGCGACAGACATAGGCGCCTGCGCGCCCTCTCCGGGACACACCCAGACCACAGCACAAGGCGCACCAATTTCAGCCGCTGCTTGCTGGGGCTGGGGCTCCGCAAGACACTGGAGGCGCGTGAAGTCCCATGAACCAGCTCCTAGGGCCTCTGCGGGGCATTCTTCGGGCCCAGAAGTAAACGCAGAGCGAGGAAACTTGCGGCAAGCGTCTGCGGTCTTCGCGTTTCATTGCAGACTTCGGGGATAAAATTGCTGCTGCGCCCACGCGCAACTGCACTGGATAGGGAACGGAGGGAGGAGATAGGACAGACGACCACCCCTCCACCCACGTGGAGAAGGCCTCAGACTTCGGGTTCTGAGAGCCAGCACCCTAAATCTGGGTGCGGGTGTACTGGTAGGACCACAGAGTTGGCCTAGTATAGGCGCCTAACTAGGAGTTATTCTGAAGTTTCGGAGAGTAAGAACTTCCTGTCCCCAGGGCCGGGGTGCGTGGGGGAGGGTGGCTACTAAAGGGCAGGCTAGTCTCGGCCTTCGCCGTGGTTCAGCTGCCGCCAAGGGGGTCTCGGCAAAGGAGTTGGAGGTGGCAGCGGGAGTGTAGTTGGGAGGATCATTGAAGGGGCTTTTGGGGATCGACCAATGGAGGGGAGGCCCATCTCAGAGACAGGGAGAGACAAACTTGGAGCCATGGGGAGTGACATACAAAATTTTATTCTTTATTTATTATTATTATTTATTTCTTATGTGCACAAAAGAAAAAGAATCAAAACGAACCGACGCACTGAAAGTGGCCGAGGAGACCAGAACCGTCCGGGGACATTTAGCAGGTTAGGCCTGGGCCTGGGTCCGGGGTCTCTGCCCGGCCAGCCCCACAGGACTGGGATGGGCCGGACCTCGGCGCCCTCGCCGCCCTCGCCGCCCCGTTCGGGCCACTGGAGCCTGGCTGGGCGCCGGGTTCCCTTAAACGATTCTCTTTTCTCTTTTTCCTTCTCAAATAAAAAGGGCTCGCAGGGGAGAGAGATCTGGGCGAGGACTCCAAGCCTTTTCGGATTTGTTCAAGGATTTTTATTTATTTTCACTTTATTGACTTTGTTTCTGTTATTTCGAGTCGTCACGATCCACGGGTGAGGAGACATGCAGGGCGCATCGCCACTACCGAAAGAGCAACTACGGGGCGGGACGGGGCGGCCCGGCCTTCGGCCGCCCGGGGCGCGCGGGGCACGCCCGCGAGGGGGCGAGCCCGGGGGCTGGAGCTGCCACCTCGGATCTAGCCTGCGGAGACAGGGCGGCCGGGCCAGGTCTGGGGAGAGAGGCCGAGGAAAGAGCAGAGACAGACAGACAAGAGCGACAGAGACGGAGAGAGACAGAGACAGAGGGGGAGAGAAGCGGAGAGGAGAGAGGGGCAGAGGGAGAGAGGGGCAGGGAGGAAAAAGCGAAAACACGGAATTACAGAGAAAGAGCCAACAAAACAGGCCAGAGGAGTCCACAGGACCATGTTCGTCATTTTGCATAGAGATTTCTTTTCTTTCGTAATTTTTTTTTGTAACATAAAAAATGCCCCCCTCCCCCAGGACGTGCTGTGCTTTAATGGGCGTGTAGCTGTGTCCCCCCCTTCCCCCCCAGCGAGCGGCGACTCTCACAGCACAGACAGCGGGGCGTATCTACAGGCAGGGCCGGCGGGCGACAGGGACTCTACGGGGCCGGGCGGGGCGGGGCGGAGGGGGAGGGGTTATGTACACCGGGTTTCGCCTTCACACGACACACACCGTCTTTCCACAAAGCAGCAGCCTGGTGGGCTTTTGTGTTGTTTTGTTCCTTTTTGCAAAGACCATCATATTAAATAAATGTAGACTTTTTGTGGTTCTGTTCAGTTCCTGCCGGAGGAGGAGGCTGGGAGGGGATGGGAGGAGTGGAGTGGGCAGCCCCCCACTTCCACCCCGCAGCAGCTCAGACGCCAGCTCAGAACCGGTTCTTACCACCGGCAGATTGAGAGTCTGTGTCGGGGGAGGGGGCATCAAGTAACTGCTGGAGGAAGACCCCAGTCCGCAGTCTATGGAAACTGGTCCTGCGGCGGTCCCGGGAGAGCGTCCGATGGGGCTGCGAGTCAGGGAGGAGGATGCAGGGCGTCAAGGGACAGGCGAAGGACTGGCAGGAGGGGAAACTGGGAGGCCAGCAGGTGGAAGAGACGCTGAGGTAGGGGCAAGGCAGGGCTGAGAGCCGGGTCTCGCAGCAGGAGGTGCCGGGCCCTGGGGAACTAGGCAGGCCAGGAGGAGCAGTGAAGAGCCGAGAGTCCGGCTCGATCGGTGCGGGCTGCTGGGCCCCCCGATCCTTGGGTCCCAACCTTGGAAAGACCTGACGCCCCCAAAGCCCGTTCCTAGAGCCGGACCCCCACACCCCCATTCCATCTTCTGGGACAGGGCACACCCGGAAGGCGAGGGCAGTCCGGCTGGCACTGGGGGAAAAGAATTTTTCCCAGGGATTCGGCAGCGGGCTCTTCCTCCTGCAGAAAGTCGTTTTCTTCTTAATCTCCTTGGCCCAGCCCCTCCAGCGAAGCCTCCTGGCGCCCGAGCGTCCGAGGCGGGTGCCCGGGGCTGGGCCGCGCTGCGGTCCGCGCTGATTGTGTGTCACAGAAACATCCGGCGCGCGCCAGCAGGTCGCGCCCGAGTCCGGCAGGGTGGCTGGCGGGCTTCGGGGCTGGCTTGGTGGAGGCCGGGACGAGCTGGGCCGAATCCCCCTCACGGCGCCGCGCAGTCCAGGCAGGCGGGGAGGGGCGGCAGGCGGGGCTGGGGGCGGCGGGCCCGGGCCTGAGGGTCCCGCCCACGGCTCCACCCGTCCTGTCCGACCTTCGAGGGGGGTGATGTGAAGGGTTGCGGGGGTCGTGGGATGGGGTGAGGCTGGGGCGGTGGCCGGGAGGCATCGCGTCGCGTCGGTCCTCCCTCCCTCCGGGGTGGGGTCAGACGGGGACGATGTGGAGGCCGAAGCTGTCGGCCTGAAGCTTGATGTGGTCCCCGCGGTAACTAGTGGCGGTCATAGGCAGCGGCAGCAGCGGCAGGGGCGGAGCCCCGGGGGGCGGCACTATAATAATAAGGGGAACCTGGAAGTTAACACAGGAGAAGAATGGGCTGGGTGAGAGGACAAACAGGAGAACAAAAAAGGAAAGAAAAGCACAGAAAAGACCTCCCCTGGCTGGGGTCCAGCGGGATCCGGACTGGGAGACCTTGGCTGGGCAGTGGAGCCAGTTGCCCCGGAGAATAGTTGCGTTCACGGGGCATGAGAGGGACCCGATCTGGTGACGCCCGGCTGCGCACCCTCCAGGGGATCCGAGGGCGAGGGCGGCGCAGAGCCTTCGAGCGACCAGGGAGGGCACGGGAGGGCAGGAGGTGCGGGCGTCCTCGAGGGGTCCCCGGGCCTCAGTGCTGCACTAACAAGCCTGTCCCCCTGGCCCGGCCGGGTCCCCAGAGGTCGGGTCGCCGGGAGTGGGACCGTGCCCAGAAGCCGCGCGGCCGCGCTGAGCCGCCGGCCAGCCAGGTGGCGTACTCACTTAGTAAGGCGGGGTTGCTGAATCTCCAAGCCTCGTTGTAGGCCGTGTACTGGGGGTGGCTGTACGGGTTGCCGGAGAACTCGCTCCCTGCGGGAGGGTCGGGGAGTGGGGATCAGACGCCTGCAAGCCAGGGCGGACCCCACGAGTCCGGCCGGTGGCTTCTCCGCCCGCTCCTCCCGCCGGGTCTCAGGCGCAGGTGTCGCGGGCAGGGTAATGGCCGTGGCGGGCGGGCCGGGCGGAGGTGGGGCGATCACCGCGTCCGCGTGGAGAGAGCCCGGGGAGGCGGGAGGCACCGACGCGCTCGCACACCCACGGGCGGGACCTGTGGGCCGGTGCCCGCCCAGGGCTTCCCAGCGGAGGCGCTCGCGGCCACCCACGAAGGGTTTGTATTGGGGCGCGTCCACCCTGTCGCGCTGGGGGCCAGGGCCTTTATAGATGCCACTCCGGTTCTAGGAGGCATGGCCCCTAATGGGTGGAAATGGGAGTGGGGGGCGGTGGCGAAGAAAGGCCTTCGGGACATTTTTCTCCCAGAAAGTCCTAAGAATGGCATCAATGTGCAGTGCCAACACAAGAGGTGGGAGCTCTTTTGGGAGACACCGCCCTCCCGCCTTTCCCTCAAGAGGTTGGATGCGTGGGCTACGCGGCAGGGGATGGAGGCGGCGCAGGTGGACTGCCCGCTGGTCCGCTAGCGGTGAGCGGAGGGCCCGTGGGTTGGGAGCCGTCGTCGGAAGCTACCTCCCTCCCTCTGCGGGAGAAAGGCCAGGCCTCCAGGTTTCCCCCTCGCCCTTTCTCCTGTGTGATGACCCCAGACTGTTTACAGTGATCCCTAACCGCGGGTTAAGTAGAGGAGAAGGGGCCCCTCTCTGAGAGGGAGCTGGGGTGGGGGTGGGGGATGCAGCCACTGGAAAGCCTGTTTATTGACGAGGAGGGAAAGCATGCGTGCAGCAGGATAATGAGCTTCTGAGCTCAACTGTGACCAAGAGGAACTGAGCTATCTCCTTCCCCATCGCTAATGAAACAAGTGTAATTTCCTCATCAGCACTAGATTCTGTTTAACGACTCCCCCCTCGACACCACGAGCTCTCTGCGGCTCCCCTCTTCCCCACCTCCCTGCAGACTCCCTGCCCCCACCTCCCCACTCTTCCCTCACCCCACCTCTTTAAAACCTCCTCCAGCCCCCACCTGCTCACTGCTGGGAGTTTCTCCCTAAAATCTCCTTGCCTCCCAACAAGGCTTCTACTTTCCTTCCCCTAAATCTGGGCAGGAATCCCTTTACCCACACCTCTAACTCCCTTCAGCCCCTAGTCCATAAGACCCAGCAGCAATCTCCCTCTTTGCCGCTGCCCCTACCCCAAGCTCTGCTTACCCAGGGTTATACCTAAATGTCCCTGGATGGATGGGGCCAACCACTCTCTTCTATCCTCCCCATTCCCCATACCAATGAGAGTTGAACTTCAGGGAAAGGCCACATAGAGGGCGGCCAGAGGGAGTGAGTTGCTGGCTGAGTGAGTCTAACCCTCCTTAAGACAAGAGTGTTTTGGTGTTTGTGCACATAGGAACTTCAACTCTCTTTGGCTTCAAGACCCTGCTCCCAATCTGGGGTTAGGGGTTAGGTATAGTACAACCTCCAGCTGCAGTCACCAGACCTTAAATACAGCCTCTGTCTCTCTGATTCAAACAACCCAAACCCAACTCCTCTGATTAGGGATGGGTCAGAGCCCCAGGGAAGCAATGGAAGGCTGGGTGCCTCTGAAGAGGTATAGGGGTGTTCTAGCCTGTCTCACTGCAGCGACTCTCCCTGCTTCCCGCCGCAGCCTGACCTCCATTCCTCTTAGGGACTAGCTCCCTACTGTCTCTGGGTTGGGGTTGGGGTTGGTTCTCAACATTGGTCTTCCCTTGTGTCTTGGTGTGGACCAGGGTGGCTTTGTCTGAGTGACTGACATGCCCCTGGAAATGGTTCTTGGCTCCAAGTTTCCATGGAAACCAGGGCAGGCTCTTCCAAGCAGTGTCAGCTGGCTGGGGTGGGCTGGGCACTGAGGGTGGAGCTGAGGCTGAGTGCTCCTCGGGCACAGACTTGGGTGGGTGGGCGCTGTGGAGGGGCCATGACATACAGTGGGTTGCACACAAGGGGGCACTTCTGCAAGCTTCCTCCCCGGCTTGCTCATGAGGGAGGATGAGGGACCAACTGCAGCCTCTAAGGAGAGAGAGGGACAGAATAGCAGTGGTTTGCAGGGAGGGGACGTTGTGTCTCCCCCCACCCCAGCCTCAGACTACAGACCATTCAGCAGCTCACCCACAATTTAGTTCCCCCCACCTAGATTAGGCAGCTGCAGCATTGTCACCTACCAGGCACCATTCCTGCCAGGGTGGAGGTGGGGTAGCTTCCCTGGCCAGTGGGGGGCACGTGAGGGGGGTAACCAGGCAGAGTGGTGCTCGCCATGTCACGACCTGGAAAAACACAAAGGGGAAGGGGTGAGGCCTGGAAGAAAGGGGCCTGCCTCTACTCACACCAGGGTACTGCACGGAGAGGAAACTCTTGGAGAGGAAAGAGCTCTGTGCAGACGTGCAGGGGTATGTGTGCCACTGTGCACCTGAATGCGCCATCTGAGTGTGCCTTTGCATGTGTCTAAGCTAAATGTCTATGATCAGCTGTGTGTACGCATCTCTGTTTTGTGTAGCTCTTTGTGTCTCTGTGTATTTGTGTGTGTGTGTGTGTGTGTGTGTGTGTGTGTGTGTGTGTGTATCTGCCTTTGCCTGTGTCTCTGTGCATTCCAAACCCAGATGGAGATGGGAGGGAGATGACCTGGTTTTACTCCTCCTTCTCAGCAAGATATTCAGCTGTGGTCTCTCCAGCAGCCAAATGGACCTCTATCATCTTGCTTATCTTTCCTCTCCCTAACACCCCATCTTTCCTTCAGGCTTGGAGGACACCCCACCATCACCCCTACAGGGACTGATGGCTATTCCTTGTCCTCTCCAAGTGGAGCTGCAGGTCCTGGTCCTGGCAGGTGTGGAGAGCAGGGGGGCAGCCAGTGGGCTATTTTGCTGTTAGTGTTTATGGCATTTACATGATAGAAAACCACCCTGAAGTGAATCAGGAGCTTTGAGCCAAAAGTGCAAGTGGACCAGATAAAGTTCCAATGAGCAAAATCTGCTCCCCCACCAGCTGCTGGACTTCTGTCCCTGGAGGGCTCTATCAGCTAAAGCCTGGAGGGTGGGAGACAAAGCGAGTCAAGATGAGGGTGCTACCCCTGGTCCACCGACATGTCCTCTGGGACACAGCTGCACATGACTGGGCTCCCTACCTTGCCTGCATCCTCCATGGCTATGAAGGGGCCACCACCTCCCTTTGCAATTTAGCATGCTCTGATCTCTAATAATAATTTGCTTTCTCCCCTCTGCCATAATCTCTTTATCCTCTCCTGGACCTCCTGGAACCCCCTTAACCCCTCCAGATTCCCCTTATTCTCCTCACTAGCCAATGCCACTCTATTACTCTAATGCCTCTGTCTATCCTTGGGAAGGCAAGGCATGGCTGGAGAAAGTAACAGAACTATGCATACCTGGGCCCGTTCACTTTCTTTTCATCAGCTGGGCCATAGTCATTATTCTCCCAATGGCTATTCCAAAGCATCTCTCTCTCTCTTTGCTACTCTCCCTTTGAAGATGGCCTCACCTCCCTGCATTCCAGAGCTGTATGAGTTTCCTCATCCCTACCTTGACACGTCTGAGTGATTTATCCTTCCCTAGCTATACAGAGCTACAGCTCAGGTTTTTGCATTTCTAGTACCCTGCTGAACATTTTCCTTGGCTGTCCCTCTGTTACCTCAAACCTAACTGGAATAAAAACAGATTCATCTTCCCTCTGTCGGTTCTTATGATCTTGAATATCATAAGACCAAAAACTTTGGAGTCCTTCTTGACATAGCCTTCTTCCTCCCATTCTAGATGAAGTCAGTCACCAAGTATTGTCAATTCTCCTTGGCAATGTCTGTTACATCTGCTCAATTTCCATTTCTTCCACTACCTTCCTAGCTCAGCTTCTAAGCACCTTCTTTTTGCCACAGAATATTTTTGCTTGCATTCCCTGACTCCACATTCTTCCCCTCCTGTCTGTCCTAAATGTGGCTGCTTGGCTAGTCCTCATGAAACTTTGCTTTCATCACACCACTTCCCTTGTAAAAACTATTACTGATTCCCTGTAGTCTATAGTTTGAAATGAAACTCTGTGGCTTTTAAAGCTGCTAAGGTACTCTCTCCATCCAACTTAAGATTATCACCTCTCCTGGTTTAGTTTGACTGTTTTCATGGCTTGTGTGATGTGAACCCCCTATGCTTTTGCCATGACCTTTTCTTCTTCCTTACGGTTTTCCTCTCCTTCCCCACTGAAGCCTTAAAATCCCTACCATTCTACCCATCAGGGAAGTTTCTCTCTTCCAAACTTCTACAGCATCTGTGCTGCATGGTTTACCATGCCATTATATTTCATAATATATGAGCCCTGATGTTTCATATCATAGCTTGCTTCTTCAAACAGATCATAAGCAACCTGAGGGCAGGACCCTGTCTTCTGCTTTATCCTGCATAGTTGAGAACGTGGTAGATGCTCAATAAACACTTGTTGATTAATCGTCCATCAATCTATTGCACTTAACAGCCAATTCCTGATGGGTTATCATTTTTTTTATTGTTTCATGTATATTGGTCTCATTAAAGAAGTAAAGGCTTGGATAAAATGTAAATATTAGAATATGCTTTTTCTTTAAAAAACAATTTAAACAATAGATTATGATTTTTTATAGGCTGATAAGAGGTTTACAGTGAGGGACTCATATATTGTGACTTTATTATGCAATAGAATGACTTTCCTCTATACCTGTCTAATATAGCCAATATCTTTCATTTCCTAAAACTCGAGAACAAGCAGAGTAGAACTGCCAAACAAGAGATCACTTTTGACTCCTAGAGAGACAGAATAAAGGATTTGTGTTTGCTTTGATGTGGGTTTTCTTTTATTGACTTCTGTTGTCATTGAAAGCTACACTCCTCCTGACTGTCTCTCAGTGGAGTGGACCTGAAGTAGACAATGACAGCAATATCAAAATCAATTCCTAGAGAGATTAATAATATGGCATTTATTGGTCAAAAAAAAGAGAAAGGCCCAGGACAGGATCGAGTTAGGGAAGACGCAGAAGTTTTGAAGCTGAACAGATATAGAAACCTAATTCCTCCTTCCCTGTCATCATAAAGTCTGCAAAGCAGCAGGAAAAGGGGTGTGCCTCTTTCTTAATAAACAGGAATTTAAATGCATCTGAATTCTGGTTTTCAGTTTTATGATTCCCACAATCTGTCACCATGAATTCCTTATAATCTAAGGTTTTGTCACGGAATCTCCTACCTCACTTCAGGAGGAAGGAAGACAGGCTGGATAACTAGAAAGATGTTTCCAGCTAACCTGGATGCAGTCCTATTGGAAAGTTTTATTTCTACTGCCTTTCTGTCTTGCAAAATGGCAACTTCCCTCAGGTAGGAACTTTTGCATGCTGAAAGTCACCCACTGAACAGCTGATTGAAAGGCACATTGCCAAATTCTATTTAGAAAACTGAAGTTGGGCAGTGCCATGTAGAAATTTTTAAAACGTGAAAGAAGAGTCCCAAGACAAGGAAAAAGCACGCAAGCTTCCTCGTGTTCTGCATACAGCTGTGCACCTGCTGCTGCGGAGTCTATAACACCAGTATCTCCACAAAGGAGTACCCTGTTCAGGACCCCTGAGCCAGCAAAGGTGCTGGCCACTGCATACAAAGCACTCTCAATTGCTTCATTAGCACACAGGTGACACTTAAAGAGCAGAAAAAATTGACCAAACTCTTGCCATATATTCTTCTGGAACACCATTGTCAATAATGGAAAACACATACTGCAGGAAGTTTTCAAATTACTAAGACTGTCATACCATTTGCCCAGCAGCATTCTTTGAGCAAGCCTCTTTTAGTGAAAGAATATGAATGGGTAATGGAATCTGTGCAAGCAAGAATCGACAGAGCACTGGGCCTTGCTGTACTATAGATGGATGGAAAAACATGAGTGCAGACAGACTCTAAAACTGTACAACAGCACAGCACCTCCTTTATACAAACAAGCAAAAGCACAGAAAAAGGAGAAAACAGTTATGTGGCAGAATACATCAGTTATAAAATATGTGCCACCCAACAGAAAGCAGTAGAGGATTTTTGTTGCTCAATGACAATGGCCAGTAACATAAAAACAGCATCAGAAATTACAAATGGACAAAACCCCACATATTATTACAAGAAGATGGGCATTTCATGTTGGACACTTGCTTTCCAAGGTTACAAAGTTGTTTTTTGTTTTTCGTTTTTTGAGATGAAGTCTCGCTCTATCGCCCAGGCTGGAATGCAGTGGTGCGATCTCGGCTCACTGCAACCTCCGCCTCCTGGGTTCAAGTGATTCTCATGCCTTAGCCTGTAGCTGGGACTATAGTTGTGTGCCACCATGCCCGTCTAATTTTTGTATTTTTAGTAGAGACAGGGTTTCACCATGTTGGCCAGGCTGGTCTCAAACTCCTGACCTCAAGTGATCTGCCTGCCTTGGCCTCCAAAAGTGCTGGGATTACAGGCATAAGCCACCGCGCCTGGCCAAGGTTACAAAGTTTTTAAAGATGAATAGCCTTCCAGATGATGAGGTAACTTCCTTGTTTCAAGGGTGAGACAATGAAGGCACAAAGATGCATCACAGTTTTCCCATGACTACACAGCTAGTAAATGATACAGCCAAAATTTGAAGCCATGTTTATACCACACTGCCTTTTAATAACACGAAGCCAGATACTCCCCAAAAGAGCCAAAGAAAAGGAAAAGAAGTCATCTGACAAACAAAGTCTCATATCGTCATGGCTGTGGATAAAAAGGACTCAGAGAATAAAATCCCGATGCCAAAAGTCTATAATAAAACTCCATGGGGTGGAGTATTAATCTCCTGTGAGAGTTTTCTGAAAAACAAAGAGGGTCTTCAAGAAACAGTGGTAGTGGAGAATCTTAAAGTCCCCAGAAGTGTTCAAAGCACTGTACTTGATGAGGATGTCTTCTCAGTTCAACTGCAGAAGTCCCTGAAGATTCTAAAGCCAATTTCTACAGCAATCACTACAACTGCATCAGACAGTGCACTTTCGTCAGACATTCCTTACCAAATGGGCCAGATCAAATCAACTGCTTTGGAGAATCTAAGTGCAGCTCCCCTTACAAGTACAGAGAAAAGCAAAGTGAAAGACTTTATTAAGAAAGTTGAAAAATTGTAGTCATCAGGTAATTTGTGCTACTTTCACCATCAGGTCTAAGATTCAAGGTCAGAGCTGTGTTTCTACTTGGGCCAGGACTACCTAGCATTCATTGAGCACCTTCTATATGCTGGGCGGTGTCCTTAACATTTTATATGA
This sequence comes from Homo sapiens, assembly GCF_000001405.40. Lineage (NCBI taxonomy): Eukaryota > Metazoa > Chordata > Mammalia > Primates > Hominidae > Homo > Homo sapiens. The sequence continues at coordinate 100,819,641 of NC_000010.11, read as the reverse complement.
TGTATTATCTCATTTAATCTTCATATCAACCCTATGATGTTGATGTTTTTATTTTTATTTTTATTTTTATTAAGACGGAGTCTCGCTCTCGTCACCCAGGCTGGAGAGCAGTGGCACGATCTCGGCTCACTGCAACCTCTGCTTCCTGGGTTCAAGTGATTATCTTGCCTCAGCCTCCCAAGTAGCAGGGATTACAGGCACCTGTCACCATGCCTGGCTAATTTTTATATTTTTTAGTAGAGACGGGGTTTCACTATGTTGGCCAGGCTGGTCTCCAACTCCTGACCTCAGGTGCTCTGCCTGTCTTAGCCTCCCAAAGTGCTGGGATTACAGGCGTGAGCCACTGGGACCAGCCATTGATATGTTTTTAAACTCCCCCCCCTTTTTTTTTTTTGAGACAGAGTCTTGCTCTGTCTCCCAGGCTGGAGTGCAGTGGTGCAATCTCCACTCACTGCAACCTCTGCCTCCCAGGTTCAAGTGATTCTCCTGCCTCAGCCTCACGAGTAGCTGGGATTACAAGCGCCTGCCACTGCACCCAGCTAACTTTTGTATTTTTTAGTAGAGACAGGGTTTTGCCATGTTGACCAGGCTGGTCTCGAACTCCTGACCTGAGGTGATCCACCCACCTCGGCCTCCCAAAGTGCTGGGATAACAGGGTGAGCCACGACGCCCGGCCTTTAATCCCCATTCTATAGATGAGAAATAAACTCAGAGGGGCCAAATATTACGTCTGAGATTTCACTGCTAGTAGATGGCAGAAACTGGATTACAGAACAGGCTGTATACTTGGGAAATGATCCTGGAATGATATTGTTCTCAAATAGTGCAGACCCAGAAAATAGATAGGTGTTTGGTCCAGGAAAGTAATATGGGATCATGCTAAGTGAATCCTTCCTATAACAGAACATCTTGTCACTTCTTGTTTCTTATGTGTTTCAGTTTCTTCCACTTTTTTACAGTGGGGGTTTTAAATTGGGGTTAACTGATCCCTCAAGAACCCATAGATCACTTCAAGGGGTCTATATAAATCTATACATAAAATGTTATGGACATTGTATATCTGTATCTTTCTGTGTAGATGGTACATGACTTTTATCATATTCTCAAAAAATATGGCTTAAAGATTAATAAGCACTGTTTATAAAAAAGTGAAAGAGCCCCGTTCTTTGGCATAAGACACTGATTTGTTTGCAACTACTTGAATTGTATCAATAAACAGGATGATACAAAGCACAGCAAAATAACATGTGAAGTAGCAGGGAGTTGCATCTCAAGTCAAGGAAAATGTCAGCATTCAGAAGATCAAGGAAATAAAAAGGAAGCCACGAAAGAAGCAGAAACTGCTGCTCATGATGGCTCAGATGAGACTTATTAGACATAGATTTATATAGCAAAAGTTCTATCGAGGAGTTCAGAGATGCTTTTCCTCAGCATCTTTCTCTGAAAATGAGCACTTTTGCTACCCACTTGACACTGCGGAGGACCCTAAGGCCAGAAAACATAACTCTTGTTTTACTGCCCTATCCTCAAGTTCTGTCTGCTTCTCATAAGGTAGCGAAAATGAAGACATTAGATTTCTTCAAGGCTGGCAGTCTATGCCTGCATTTGACATAGGCATTTATAATACTTACAAAAATACACAGTTATTAAATTTGTAATTGCTGCCTAAATATATAAATGCATAATTGGTATTTACTATAACAATTACGAGCACCTTATGACCAATTCAACGTATATCTATTACACTAAAGTAACAAACTTTAAATCCACACAAGATGTTTTAAAAGGAGAGGAAAATAACTATCTACATATTTCCTTTCATTTCTTATTTCCCAAGCTTCCAAATCCTCCCAGGATTTGAGTTGTCCTCTAGGGCAGAAGGGACTATGGGACAGCCCACAGCCCCAGGCTCTGGCCTCAGCCCCATACCCCACCTGAGGCTTGCCTGCTCCAGGTTCCAGCAGAGGGGGCTGTGCCTCCAACTCAGGGTGGCTGCTCTTCCAGTTGATCTCAGCTCCCACTGCCACCTTGAATCCCTGGTGTGTCCTAGGCAGGGATGTTACCCAGATCTGCAGGGGCTTAGTGAGGTCTACACCTTGACAGCCAACCGGCCGGACACAACCAGTCATGCTGTTTCCATCCCTTCTCCCAGCACCCCGCCCTCCTCTGGGCTGTGTAGCCTGTTGGCTCAGGGCCTCACAGGAGGTGGTTTCCTTCTAATTCAGCTGGACCATGGATGGAAATGCAGCTTCAGCATCCTAGGATAACACCAGGGAATGTTGGGGAGAATCACATTTTCAAAGGGCTGAGAAGGAACTTGGATATCTTCTAGTCCAACTCCCTTGTTTTACGGAGGAGGAAACTGAGGCTCAGAGAGAGGGGAAGACATTTCCAGTCCTCTTCCCAGTTGGCAACTTCCCAGTCCTCTTTCCAGAAGGCAACGTCCCTGTGTTGCCTTCTCTGGCTCCATGAGCAAATCACAAATGAAGATTGGAGTTGGGCAGGTACTGGCACTCAAGAGGTTGGGCCCAGGCTCAAAGATGGGCTCAGAGCATGAGAGACCCTCATGCTGGGTGGGCAGAGGTTAAGCCTGTTTGCAGAGTCTTCTGATACTCCAGGCCTCCCAGTTCCTCTCTGGCTTTATTTTGTTCTCTGAGAGCACTGAATTGTCAGCTCTAATCCTTCCAAAAGCGCAGTGTTTTTCAGGCGCTCTGTGTAAGTGAAACCCTAATCCCAAGGAAAACGGCCACTTAAGCCTCTGCAGCATTAGGCTGTTCTCCGAGCCCTGCAGGATTTCCTCCTTCCCTGCCTGCCAGCCCAGCCGCCACCACCACTGGGGAGAAGAGGGGAGGATTCAGGCTGAAGGCATGCAAAGCCCTCTCAGAAGTGACAATAGTGGCGGAGCTTGTCTCCCAAAGCTCAGGGTTGCAAAAGCACTAGCTTGTTTGTCCTGAGGCTACAGCTAATTGTGGAGGTGGAAGGGATTCTGGCTACCCTGGGAAAAAAGTGGGGGGTCTTCCTGTCACCTTGGAGGTGGCCGGCCCTCTGGGGGAAACAGGTTTTCAGGTCTTGCCTAGGTGGCTTTGAGGCCACTGAGACATTTCTGAGCCCTTGGTACCAATACATACCTGTTTCATTGGGACAGCAGTCTTTAGGATTTCCGGTCATTCAAAAAATGTTGGGTTGACTGACCTTACTTTTACTTAGCCAACATTTTCTTCTTAAAAAGTACCAAATAACGGACTAAAAAGCTTAGTGCTGGGAGATCTCTTTTTTGGAGAATTCCCCTGTGGGACACATCAAGTATCTAAATGACATCTACAGAAACCAAAAGGGTCCCGTAACCTGACGAATCATGAAAGCAGTGGCCAGTATTCTCAACTGGGCAATCCTTTATTGGCCTGAGTTGGCTATTGTTATGCACTTGATAGCAAGATCATTGATTTCTTAGAAAATATTTTGATTCAAATTCAGACTGGCCCCTTTCTCTCTCTCTCTGATCTCTGATGAACAAGTGAGGCCATCCTTGGAGGAATAAGCACTCCATTTGGCATGTTCAGGTTTTTGGGCCTCACGGACAGAGGGAAGAGATGAAGGGAGGAGGTAAGAAGAAAGGCCCAAGGTTAAGGGCCAAATTTGAGCTCAGCGTAGAAAACACCAGAACTACGTCTTTGCTAAGACACCCCAAACCCTTCCTACCTTTGTCACCCTCCCTACGATGCTCCTCCCTCTGCAGCCCCATTCTCAGCCAGGGTACTTCTGCCATGGCACCCTCCTGGGAAGGGCAGCCCAGCAGCACAGGGTGGCCGGTAGGCACAGACAAGGACATGGGATTGGGACCTGAGATTGAGGTGGCACAGCTTTTATTCTGGTCAAATATGGCCTGACTCTGATCCCGACAGTGGATTAGGGCCTCTTCTTTTCCATATCCTTTACCTCTATCAGTGGACTGGATAAAGGAGGAAGGGAAAGAGGCCTGATCCAATGACTCCCTAGGCTGCAGGCCGAGAGCAGCCGCATATCTGTCAATGTCTCATTGCTATGGAAATGCCCCCATAATTAAATCAGAGCTGAGGTTGGGGGCTGGAGGTCCTTGGGGATGTGGCCAGCAGACTCAGGGATGTTTGAAGGAGGCTAGCCTCTTTTCTTGGGACCCTCACAGCCTAAAGGAAGGGTCTAGGGCATGTGAGCACTGAGGAACAGCCCTCTGGCTTGCTTTGGCCTCCACAGTAAAGGGATCTCTGACTTGCCACACGTCTGAAGTTGTCTTAGCCCTCTCCTTTCAAGGAGAGGAACTATGATGTCTGTGCCCTAAATTCCTCTAGCTAATCAGGGGCTTTGAGCTGACAGACAAGACTAGGAGACTCCCAGCCTCCTTGAGAAACATTTCTCAGTCTTTATTGCCCTCTCCTCCCCCGGGGGCTGGCCAAGGGCTAAGCTGTTTGTTTTATGGAGGGAAATGCAGTTGCATTGGAAGGGGGTTGTTAACTACAGGAAAGAGGCAGTTCCTGGAGGTCCTCAGGATGCCCTGAGTAGGAGGAGGAGGTTTCCCAGGGTCCACACCTCTATCTGCTAAAAGGCCACTTTGCTGACCATCTCAGATGTGGGCCAGGAGGCCGAGCTTCTGAGTTGGCAACCCTTTTCAGAAGCTACATCCACACTGCTCACACTGGTCCCTGCTGCTGTCCAGCTGTGAACTTTGCCTCTCTGGCCTCCCCTACCTCTGCTCAAATCAGCCAGCTTCTGGGAGACCAGCCTCTTCTGCTCCCTCTTCCTGCCTTGGGCACTTCCCTCTTGGGCAGCATCCACATCTCTTCCTGGATCTTAATTACAGCTTCCTTCAAAACTGCAGTCTTCAGCAATTAAGAGACATTTCTCCCAAGCTCTTGAATAAAACCACCTTCCCCCAACCAGGATGGGGAAGCTACGGAGGCTTCCCACCTGCCCCCACCCCACTGGGGAGAAAGGTACTGTGCCCATCTCTAGCTCTCTAATGTTCAGACATTTTCTCAAAGAAAATATAAGATTTTCTGCTGAGGCTTAGCAGTCTGGGAGCCTGGACAAGCCTGGAACAGGCTCTACTTTCAGAGTTGCCTGAGGCTCAGCTCTTTCCATGCCTCCTGGACCCCAAAGCAATAATCTATAGGTATGGTCCTCATTCTTTGCCCTTTTTGATCTCCATTATCTGACAATTTGGTGAGCAGTGGTGGGAAGGGACTGGGGGATCTGGATCTGTGGTAAAGATACAGCTGATACTTCCTTTGATCTTTTTTTTTTTTTTTTTTTTTTTGAGATGGAGTCTCGCTGTGTCGCCCAGGCTAGAGTGCAGTGGCACGATCTCAGCTCACTGCAAGCTCTGCCTTCTGGGTTCAAGTGATATTCCTGCCTCAGCCTCCGAAGTAGCTGGGACTACAGGCGCCTGCCACCACGCCCGGCTAATTTTTTGTATATTTTTTTAGTGGAGACGGGGTTTCACCATGTTAGCCAGGATGGTCTTGATCTCCTGACCTCGTGATCCGCCTGCCTCGGCCTCCCAAAGTGCTGGGATTACAGGCGTGAGCCACCGCGCCCGGCCCCTTTGATCTTTTTTAGAATATTAAACATGCTGAGTTTATAGCACTTTTGGATTATTCTATTGTTCCCAGGTCTTGGGGGGATGTTAACTGTTCTGTTTATTGCTTCTACTAACTTTCCCTTTTGAAAGTTTGTATTCACATGAGATGTGTACTTTTTTTTACAGTAAGCTCATCATTAGTGGTGGGGTTTTTTCTTCCCCCTGTGGGAGTCCCATGTGCCCTGGATTTTAGAATGTCTCTACAAAGAAGGTTTGTCATTGCTCCTGGTGAGGTTTCAGAATGGGTTACTATCCTGTACAAATTTTTATGTAAGTTCCTGGCTTGGGTTTCCTGCAACATACTCATGGTATAAATTTGGACTCTGATCTGGCATCAGGCTTGGCGTCTCCATGTCTCATGGTGACCTTCCATTCTGCCCCCTTCCTTGTTTCCCTGGGCTACTCAGACGAGTGTATGTGTTTGCCTTTCACGGACAGTGTGGTCCCTGTTCTGTTCCTTGCTTTATGCAGGATGATACTCAGTTCTGGCTTCCTGATTCCCAAAGTCACATTCCCTGACTGGTGTGTTACAACCCCATCCTCTCCCAGTCAGCATCTCCCTCCAGTGTGATGCCAGCGGCCTCTCCAATACTGATCTGGCTTTGAGTTCCCCTCTATTTCTGGCACCAAAGAGTGAGATTTGCTGCGTATTAACATTTTTGTTGTTATATTTTATTCAGTTATGTTTTGGTGAGGTAGCCTGCCTGGGTCCCAGACATCAATCTCATTCCTCCTTTACCTCTCTGTGACTAAAACAAGGGCGGTGAGAGCTGCACTTGCTCAAGGCTCTGCCAGTGCGCGGCAGCAATGCCCACTAGAGGCCAGTGAAGCCTGTGGGTGCAGTGGCTCCAGGGACTGGTGCTTTCCCTAGCTTCTAGAGCGAGCCTGTCCAATCCACAGCCCACAGGCCACGTGCTGCTCAGGACAGCTTTGAATGTGGTCCAGTGCAAATTCGTAAACTTTCATCAAACATTATGAGGTATTTTATTTTTGTTTTTGTTTTTAGCTCATCAGCTATCTTAGTGTTAGTGTATTTTATGTGTGACTTAAGTAATTTCTTCTCCTTCCAAAGTGGCCCAGGGAAGCCAAAAGATTGGCCAACCCTTTTCTAGAGAGCATGGAACTGCACAGTCTCTGACTTCTCCAGCACTGTTCCTTGCATCTGGGCTCTCTCCTTCGGGGTGGACTTGCACTGTGTCAAGGGACTCTCTAATGCTCAGAAACATCCCCAGTGACTTTGGGAATCCTGGAGTAAGTTCTCATCTTCTCCTCCCAGATCAACATCACTGCCAGTGTCTCTGCATGCTCCTTTGTCACTGGAGCCCCGGCCAGACATGGGGAGGGGGGGTCAAGGTGAGAATGCTATGGAGAACAGGGACTATCTTTTCTTCCAGGGATGGGAGACTTTAAGGAATGAAGCCTCCTGCATGCAGTTGGAGCGAGTCCTCACTGCAGATGCCCTGACCCGGAGGGCCCTGGGACTACTGAGAGGTGGATGGCAGCCCCTCTGGGCTCCTTTGGAGGGTCAAGAAGGTGATGAGAGGTACCAGCCACAGCCAGCCAACCTGAAAAAGCCTGGGGCCAGAATGCCCGTGACCCATTCTCTCATGTAGCTGGTCCCTCTTTCTTTATCACTTAGGAGAGACGAGGCTCCGTTCCAGACCAGCAGCCTAGAGCCGTGGGCTGGAGAGAAGAGATGCCGCTGAGCTAGAGCAGCCCAGCGGCGGAAGGGAAAGTGGGTGATAAATTTAAATAACCAGCTTGACTTGGCAGCTTGCTGAGTTGTGATGCAGTGAAATTAAAATCTCGGCAGAACTTGCAAACACTACCCAGCAAAATCAGTCTCTCTCCTCGGTTCCCTGATGGAAGGTGGGGAGGGGAGGCTATGGGGCTGAGCCCTAGCCTCCGGCAGCCACCCTTGCTTGCAATGTGATTAGCTGTGTCCTGGCCCACTGGGCCCCACTCTCCCCTCCACACAATAGTCTAGGTTCCTCTCTCCTCTCAGTCCTGACCTTGTGGAATAGCTGCATCAAGTGGCTGGTGAAGTTTGAAATCAGCCTCCAGGGCCAGGAGGTGGCAGGAATCTCAATAAGGTCTGGCTTTTCAGGTTGGGCTAGGGCATTCCCTCATCCCCTAAGGTTTGCAGCCGCAGCTGTCAGTCCTGGGGAAGAAGATGAGCAGGGTGCCTGAGACGTGGAGGATAAAGAGGGCTCCTTGAACACCTCGGCACTCCTAAGCCAGGCTATGGGCACTGGGTGACCTAACAGCTCCCTTACCTTTAGCACACACCTCCCCAGAATCACCTACCCACCTAAAAGAGCCTCCTTTTCTCTTCTCCCACCAAAGCCCTTAATATTTGCCAAGAAAATAAGCTTTTAAAGACTCTTTGAGGTCAGTGTCCACAAATACACTAAGGGCCTCTCCCGCACTCCAGCTCTGCCTGGAGCCCAGTTCTCACAGATGCCAGTATCTTTCTAGAAGAACTCACCCAAAGTCCACTCTCCTGTTTCTGTTCTCCTTGCATCACTGCTCACTACTACCCACAATATCCTGGCCTGAAGGCCAACATGCTGGACCCACTGCTGAGATGGCATATGGAGTCTCTGAGCAATGCCCCATGGCTCACCTTGACAGTACCTCTAGCAAATTCTGTTTGTCCCCATAATAAACACATCATAAATCATTCATCTTTAATAGATTATGCAAATTAGGAGGACATAAAATCAACAAAGATCAATAACTGCAGCAGTTTAATTGCCAGCAAAAACATTTTAAGAATGAGCATAATCTGCAGCTCTTTCTTGGGTAATGGCACTATTAATCCAAACAGTGGATCTTGGCCTAAGTGTGGAAAAATCATTCCCTACCCCTATCCCCATCTTCCCTCCCCCACCTCTCCACACACTTGTCTCTTTTTGGTAATTTCCAGTTTCTGAGCGAGTTTCCCCGTCATTACCACTGGTGAACAGCTCCGAATGTTAATGGTTCTGCTTTTGTTACTCCTCGCTTGATTGAAATGTCGCATACAGATTGAGATGTTAGTGCTAACTTGCCACCTGGGAATGTCAAGCTGGGTCTGAAATGAACTTTTCTCACACTTGGATCCAGATGGATCAGCCGGAGATGTTCCCAGGCTGAGCTGGGACTGTTCCAGGGCCATGGGGGGGAGGCGGGTGGGGGCTGCTCAAGGTGGAGGCACTTCTCTGTACCAGCCCCTGGGTCTCCTGTGGCAGGAGCCCTACCCTGAAGATCCATAGCTCCACCCTAGGAAGCCCTTGCCTTCTAGACTATGGCCTGAGCGCTGGGCAGCAGATGGGGTTAGAGAAGTCTCCCGGGTTCTCTTTGAACAGTGCCTGGAGTGGCCATCTTTGGGAAGTGACCACTGTACTTCTGAGCAGGTCAGGAGAAAGGTGGCCTGGCCTGGGCCGTCTCTCTGCCTTGGGTCAGAATACCTAGCAGGTCAGAGAGCTTCCCAGCTGGGCGAAGGATGGCTCATGCTGAGGGCCATTTGGTCATGGGCTGTGTCCTGGCCCAGCTAACCCAGCTAAGGTCGTCACTCCCGAAAGCCCAGTCCAGGTCTCCAACACTTCTAGAATTCAACCTCTGACTCCCTAGCCAAAGATCTAGGCTGGAAACAGTTGTACCAGTACAGCCCCTTAGGGAGAGGCTGGGAAAACTGACAGGGCTCTCCTAAGCCCCCAGGTGGAGGCTGGGTGGCCACTGAGCCCAGCTCAGGCTCAAATGCAGCCGCACTCAGACCAGCTCACAGGCAGAACCAGGGCCCAGTCCTAGAGTGGGCGGTGCCTGTTCCCTGCCTTTGCCGCTGGCTCTGCAGCCCTGCTGCTGGGTCCGCAGGCCACCTCCGCTTGCCTCGCTCTGCAGGTAACGCCTCAGTGTCTCCCAATCCCCACCGAGACCCTTCTCAATCATCCTGTCTCCCAAGGAACAAACGGCACATTGGCTTTAGTGTCTCCAGAATAATTAGGTGAATTTTAATAACACCTCAATGCGTGTCTCTCCCATTTGGGCAGTCTCCTGGCCTGGAAACCCTTCTGCAGTGGCACGTGCATTCCACAGCCTGGAGCTCTGCGGCCTTCCCTGGACTCCACCTCCCCTTCCAAACTAACTGGCCCTGCTGCTCTTCATTTGTAGGGGCTCCTGGCCATGGCGCCCCTAGCTCTGCATTTGATTGTGGGCCAAGCCTGATCCTACCTGGCCTTGAAATCAAGCCTTGGTGTCACTGACCTCTCTGGGAAGCAGGAGGAAGGCTGGAATAATTGTACTCATCTCAAACTCCACAGAGCTGGGTGCCATGCCCTCAAGCCCAAAGCCATGATCACCCATGCTGCCTGGAGGGAGCGGTAAGCGGGTCCCCCAGGAGCCTTGGAGACCCAAGTGTGGAGGCTGGACACTGGGTACCCATGCTCCACTCTCACCAGCCTGGCTTATTTGCTTTCTGCAGACATCCTAACAAGAGGCTCATGATTCTGGGCAACTTGGGAGAGGGAAGAGAAATAGACAAAGGGAGAGGCGAAGGACAGGAGGAAGAACTGGCAACAGCCCCTCCTAGCATCAGCCTTTCCAGGTTGAAGCCCACAGATGCCCTGACCCCAGTTTTTTTCTCCCCACATCTGCACACCCCTGTTCAGGAAGCACCCTGGTTTTAGAAGCCTCGTTCTCTCTGTAAATATCACGGTGGGGGACCTGCTCCTCACACTGGGCCTCAGATGGCATGGGCTGAGGCACCCTCCACTGAACGCAGTGCCCCCACCCTCCTGGAAGCCCCCTTACCAGTCACAACTGGGTATGTCTGTGTGCCTGACACGTTGCTGCCCAGCTCAGGGTTGGTGGATGCAGATAGACTCGACTTGACTTCATCAAGCCCAGGGGTCAGGGCTGGGAGGGAGTACTCGTTCCCCTGGGAGGAGAGAGAAAAGTGACAGCTCTCTATTGATGCACGCACAGAGAAAGGGCTCGGTGTGCAGATGGGGAGGAGGAACAGGGGAGCCCGCCCAGATGGGGTAGAAAGAGATGGTGGGGCAGAGGGGAGATGCGGGGGCTTGGTGGATGATGGCAAGTTTTGTGCGGGTAGTAGACCTGACTTGGTGAAACCGGAGGCACAGCACCCTTTACACATTTTGGGCACTTAATGCCAGCACCCTTTATGTTTCTGTAGCATCTCCTGCCTAAGCACCCCTGCGGGTAGGGTGTAGTAGTGGGGATACCCTTGTTGAGAGGCATGGGATGTCGAGGAGCCTTGGGGAGGAGGGGGAACCATGACATGACTGGCAGAGCCAGTAGCTGGGAGAAGGGCCTAGTGGGGCCTTCAGCCTGGCACTGCTGGCTGATCGGGTATGGGCGCCCCTTTTTTAAAAACAAACAATGACAGCCCCATGGGCCCCTCGCTGTCTGCCTGTGCACTGGGGTATGAAATTGGGGAGGGGGAGAGTCCACATGGCTAACAGAAGGGTAGGAGGGGGCCAGTCATTGACTCTGAAAGGGTGTCCTGCCTGAAACACTCGGGTAATTGCCTTTTTATTGCAGCCACGGCCAAGCCAGACCCCAGAGCTGGGCAGACCGGGAGCCTGCACAAAGCAGGAAAAGTTGCTCTGATTAATATTACGTTAAATTAAAACTGATTTCCTGCTCTTTCGGGTCTGTTTTTTTCCCTTCCGCTTCCTGGCCCCCCTAGAGTACCCCCTCCCCTCCATGGCTGGACGGGATTGCCTCGTCATTTCCAATTCCTTCTCGTATTGATCTTCCTGTAGAAATCAGTTTTGTAATTAGCTGCAAATTAGGCCTTCTACTGGGGGTGAAGCTGCCCCCTGATTTATCACCAGAGTAATTCGCTGTGATCGGAGAGAAATTAAAATGAACTCAATTAGGCTTCGGATTTGCTTTATGGGCCCTGCTCCGAGTTTCAGGGGGAAAAATGACTGTGCTGGTGTTTAATAGTCTAATGAAAGTAAATAAAGGTTATTCATTGTAATACAGGCGGGGACTCAGGGAGGGTGCACTGAGCCGCCCGCCTCGGCCAGCTCCTCCTTTGTTGGTTTATGGCTCAGGGCACCTTAAAAAGACTTTTGATTTTTGTTTTATGAAGACAAACAGCTTATGGGATAAAAGGACGGGCGGGGAGAAAGGCGAGTGGCTGGGAGCTGTTGGAGTCTTAAGAGTGGAACTACAGCGTTCAACGCTGTGGGGCTGCACTGACGTGCATGTGTGGGTGCGTGTGTGCATGCATGCAAGCACAGCAATGCTGTCTTGTGCTGTGACTGTGGGCCTGGCCTGGGCTGCATGTGTAGCAGGGATGGGAGTGTGCCCCTGTGTGGGAGCGGGTGTGCTGGGGGCTCCACCCAGCGTATGTGGGTGGAGGCATATGCTAGGGGTATGCTGAGCTGGTGATCTGGGGGCAGCACACACCCACTGGCTCCATGCGGCTGCCGGGGCTAGCTGTGAGTACCGTGGGCTGTGGGTGAGGGAGCAGGTGGGCGGTGGTGTGTGAGCACAGTACCGTGGGCTGTGGTCGGGGGAGCAGGTGGACAGTGGTGTGTGAGCACAGTACCGTGGGCTGTGGGTGAGGGAACAGGTGGGCGGTGGTGTGTGAGCACAGTACCGTGGGCTGTGGGTGAGGGAGCAGGTGGGCGGTGGTGTGTGAGCACAGTACCGTGGGCTGTGGGTGGGGGAGCAGGTGGACAGTGGTGTGTGAGCACAGTACCATGGGCTGTGGGTGAGGGGAGCAGGTGGATGGTGGAGTGTGAGCACATGCACACCAGCACATAGAAAAGTTCGGAGATGGTTTCTGCGTTGTGCGTTTTGCTGGTGTGTTACATGCTGTGCCCCATGCTATGTGTCCTGGGCTGCTCAGTGTCTGCAGAAAGTGTTGGGTGTAAGTGGGAAGCTGCCAGCCTACCTAGGGTTCCATTGAATTGCTGGCTTGGGGAGCAGGAGGCAGGCACAGGCAGGCTCTCCTGACACTGGGCAAGGAGAGCTCCCCAGTCTAGCGTAGACTTTCTGTAGGACCCTGAGGGGGTGTGGGCAAGGGACACAGCAAGAGGATGTTCCTGAGTACTCCATGCAAGAACCACAGAAAAGCGGAGCTAGAAGGGACTTGACAAACCCTACATCCAAGCCCTTCATTCTATAGATGGGGAAACCGAGGCTCTGAACAGAGATGATTTACCCAAGGCCATACTCTTGCACCCAGAACTCATTTCTAATTACCATATACAGACCATAATGATTTGTCTTAACGATACCATACTGTCTCATGTGAGCCTGTTCACACTGCACACACACAGAACACACGTGTGTAACACATACAATGCTGGCTATGCATGTGGTGTTTAGTGAACAAGTTTTTGAGAGGCCTTGCTCTGCCGGCTCCTTTCTACTTCTGCAAGCAGAAAGCTCCCTCCTCACCTGTTCTGATTTGATGTGCTCTGATGCCTGGAAGACGTCAGGGTAGGAAGGACGCTCAAAGACCCGATCCAAAGCTTCCAGCTGCTGCTGGGTGAAGGTGTCAGCTCGCAAGTGCTTCCGCAAACTGTCCACACCACTCTGGGAATCTCCATTGGGGACTGAGCCCTCAGACACATCTGGAGAACACATGGACACTCGGGGCGTTAGCGCCAGGCCAGCAGAGGCACAGGAACAGTGCAGGGCAAAGAGGTGGGCATCTGGTTCCGGGCCCAGGAGCTCTGCACCCCTATGGGACCCCTTACTCTCAGCCCCTGGGCCAGTGGGGCTGACACCAGAGGGTGGCCCTGCCTCAGAGATCTGGCTGAGGAAGCCCAAGGAAGAGAAGGACCTGAGGACCTGGTAAGAGATGGAGCGGTCACACTGTGGGGTCAGGAAGGATTAGGCAGAGGTGGAGCCAGGGGGCTCCCAGGAGCCAGCTCCCTGGGGCATGTCTCCCTGAACCACCCCCTGCCCCCAAGCCAGGGCCAGCCTGGGGAAGAAAGAAGCTGGGTGTCTCAGACTGGCATTACTGAGCCTGTGGAGAATTGAACTCGGCTCCGAGATGAATTTCAGTTCCACTAATTCCAAGGGTTGAAAACCATCAAATTTCCGAGGCCGAGTGTAACCTGGAGACTGGGTGAAGTAATCAACTTCGCCCTGAGGGAGGAGGGGCTCTGAGGCAGAGCTGAGGCACTCTGCTTGGGTTGGGCCAGGACTGAGGCCAGAGGGAAACCAAGCGGGAGGAAAGAGGTGTCGCTAGAGCAGCAAAGCTCCCGCTTGGGCAGAGCCCACAGAAGGGCCCCTGTGGATGCCTCTATGCCCTGGCCGCCTTCTCGGCCTCTGTCTCCAACCTAGACCCAGGCTCAAGCCTCCTACAGGAGCCAGTTTCTTGGTCACCTGGTTCCTCCTGCAAGTCTCCAGAGGGAGCAGAGTCTTATCACACCGGTGCCTGCTCCCCTGAGTCTACAGGCCAATCCTGTCTCCATGTCCCCTTTCCTCAGGCGTTCTCAGCCCTCCCCTATCCTTGCCTCCCAGCGTCGGTTCCTTGGAGTTTTCAAGGTGTACAGTAGGCAATGTGCCTGCTCTGTGGCCTCTCTCTGAACCCACACCTTGCAGCCCCCCAAAGTGGGGTTTCCCCCCCAAACCCCATACCAGCTTGGTCACTCCAGGCTTCCCTCAGCCCAAGACCAGCTGAGGAGCCTTGGGCCTGGGGCCAGCCCATGCCGGAGGCCCCAGGGTGTTCCTCTGGGAATGTTATATATATCAGTTTATAGGTGATTATACGATATGATATAATCAATATTGCATTATATACAGTAACACCATACAGTATCATTCAGGAGACCATAGAAAATATTACATATTGATTAACTCAACCTGCAGCCATCCTCCCTTGCTGGCCTCCCAGACCGAGCATGGGGTTTGCTTTCCTAATGTGACCTCCCATCTTCCCTCCATATCTATTCTGGAGGGGGTGGGAAAGCAAAGAAAGTGTGTGTGTGTGTGTGTGTGTGTGTGTGTGTGTGTGTGTGTGTGTGTGTGTATGTGAGAGAGAGAGAGAGAGAGAAGGAGAGAGAGAGAGAGAGAGAAGGAGAGAGAGAAAGAGAGGGAGAGAGAGACAGAGATCAAGACCAGGACCACATCTGAAGAAGACAGACAGAAGCAGCTTCAATGGTATTTGTTCCCATGAACACAAAACTTGGTGGTTGTGGTTTCTTCTGCATAAGGCTCTGGAATCATTTCAGTCTTACGGGATGTATGCATCAACATATGAGTTGAAAGTTGAAGTGTGGTAAATTTATTTTTCCCTTTTGTGTGAGTATTGCGTGTCTACGCGCTTGTACATATATAAACGTCCAGATAAACAAGGGTCTGCGTGTGTGGAAATAGAATGAGAAGCTTCCTGAAAGAATGTGTGTGTCTGTGTGTGATTGCATGAGGACTGTGAGGCCACATGCCCCGTTTCTCCTGTGCCTACTTCTTTTTTCAGGATGTGCCATCATCCTCATTTCACTCCCTGTAGCTATTTGCGTGTCCTATTGTGTTTGATTCTCCCTTCCTGGAGCCCTCCTACCTTTTGGGGAAGCCGGACTCTCAGGGCTGAGGAAAGCATCAAATATCTTCATATATGGTTATTGTAGGGGCAGAGAGGGTGTATTTGTGAGCGTGTGTTCACACATTATGTGTGTGCATGTGTGGCAGGACTCTCCTCATGCCTCTGTGTAGATTTGTGTATATGCCTGTCTGTGTGTGGCTTGGCTCACTGTGTCTGTGTGTGTGTGTGTGTGTGTGTGTAGGGGCTGAACTGAAGCTTTGTCCTCAGGTCACTGGCTGGAGGAGTCTCTTTGCCTTCATTTATTCAGGGGCCCTTCAGATCTTGACAAATCTGTCACTCTAAATTTGCGAGAGATTATGGTGCTCTCTCCCCGGCCCGCAGAGAGGTGATATATGATATCTGCTGCCCCTATTGATTGCCTGATCTGGTGGCAGAGGCCGGCGAAATGAACTTGAAATGAACATCATGCCTCAACTCATTGTGCGTATAATACACTACTTAATCCCACATTTTTCAGCCGCTATGGAATTCAATTGATCAATCATGTTCCACTGATAGTACTGTTTTAGGGGTTATTGCTGCTCCCTCCACTCACTGACCTTTTTATTTATTTATTTATTTTTTTGTATACTCAGGCCCTGGTGGTAAGACAGGTTACAGAGGCAGCAAAGGAGGGGAAGGGGGAGGGAAAGGAGGCAAAGGCTAAGGAAGCCTGCTACTGGAAGAGGTGGCAGTGGGAGGCGGGGAAGCAGAGGAGAGGGAAGTGGGGAGGAGAAAGGAGGCGTTAGAGGAGAAGGAAAACAAAGTGGTGTGATGAAAGCATGCGGAGAACCCCCACCCCCCAGAGAGGCTGGAGGAGGCTTGCGGGAACTCCTGTAGGAGAAGGAAGGCAGCAGTCATGATGAATGGCGAAGGAGCACAAAGAAACTTATGGGGTGCAGGGAGGTGAGCCGCAGGGCCCAGGAGAGGGCAGTGGCATTACTGGTGGGGGACAGCCAGCCAGCCCTCCAAATACACCACACGTACCATAGGCTCTCAAGGGCTCTTTCCAGAGGAGGGGGTGGCATCCTTCCATCAGCTAGGGAAGGAAGGGAGGAATGAAGGCAAGGAGAGAGGGCAGGAAGGGAATGAGGAAAGGAGGTTGGGAGAAGCCCTGGATCAGAAGGTCCAAGGAGGATAAGCTCAGGGAAGGAGGAAGCCCAGAGGCGTGGAAGGGCAGAAAGAAGGAGGGGAAGAAAGGGAAGAAGCCTTCCGCACCAGAAGCTGGAAGTGCTGGCTGGGGTGAGGACACTTACTGCAGGAATAAAACCAGCTGGCTCTACTTTCGCTGAAGACTGGGTGTCCTGATACCTTCTCTGCCCAGGGCCTGGATGAGGGTGGCTTTGCAGGGGAAGGAGAGGAGGAGGAAAAGAAGAAGAGAGTAAAGGAGGAAGAGTCAAAAAGGAAAGAAGGAAGACAGCTGTCAGTGCTGACCACCTAGAGGGTTCTCCCGGGAAGATGGGGAGCGAGCTCGGCATGGGACTTTCCAAGGGCAAAGTCTCAGACGGGACGGCAAGGAGGAAGAAAGAGACCACTGTTAGGCCCAGCTGTTGAAGGGCTGTCTGGCAGAGCTGGGCTGAAACAGAGGTGGAAGCAGAAGCCGATCTTAATCTAGGTTTCTAGGATGTAAAAGCAGATCTTAATCTAGTGAGCAGGGAAGGAGAGCGCGTGAGTGATTAGACACCATCCATTTCAAAGAAGATCCCCTATCCAACAGCCCCTTTGCCCCCAGGCCCAGCAGCCAGTCAAAGAGCACCTTGTGGCAGGGACCGTGACTAATGCATTTCTGCAGCTCCAGCATCAGGAATGGCCCCGAGTAGGTACTCAGACTCTCCCGGGTGGCATTCAAAGCCATACCTCTGGCAGAAGGTTTTGGGACTGGCCATCTGACTGGCCTGGCACCCAAGGACACCCAGTCTCTCATCAGGTAAGCCCCACACATCCCTGGCTAGCAAAAGATGTGCTATCCCCACTGCTTGTTAGCCTCTAACAGCATCAGCTCTGACGCACAGGCCTTTTCCACTCTCAGCAACACCATCCTGCCCATCTCTGGTGCCTCTACCAATAGACAGAGAACACTGTGTTCCTGGTGAGCAGCAGAACTTAACCCCGGGGCTGCTGAGCTGCCATCCAAAGCAGGTGGCAGAGGCTGCTTAAGACTGGGGCCTGGAGAACACATCTACATTTGAACTCCCTGCACCAAGAGGGCTGGAGGCTGCTGGTCATGTGTCCTGGGCTTTCAGGAGGAATTCTGATTTCCAGTATTCTTCCCCATTCTCTGGCCACATTTTTAGATTGGGGCTGGAAAATATGGTGGCTGTGGGTTTAATAAGACCAAACAGAGCAAGGAAGGGACCGTGTGCTAGTCAGTCCCCATAGAGGGAGGGTTCAGCCTCATTCTCCGTCTGCCCCCTGCCCAGCTCCCATTCTGTAGCAGCTCACAAGTATCAAGAACTCATTACATGCCATTGCTGTTATTTACAGAGCTCATTTAATCCTTCCGACAACCCTGTGAGGGAACTACTATGATAACCATTTTAAAGATAAGGAAGCTGAAGCAAAGAGAGGTTAAGTAGCTTGTCAAAGGCCATGAAGCTAGTAAATGACAGCCAGATTTGAATCCAGGTCTGTCGGAGTACAGAGCTTGCCCTCTAAATCATTTCACTCTGCAGCCTGGGTGCCAAACACAGTGGGCCCAGTTGAAGGCCACTTGGCTCCATCCAGGGCACAGCCTTCCTCTCGGCATCCCTCGTTCTTTGCCTGGCACCCTCCCCAAATGGAGGCTACAGCCTGTGGCACAGGTGCTGGCTGAGTGCAGACTGTGCCCAGATGATTAGAGGATGTCTGGTCCAAATTTTTCATGTTACCATAACTAGCAGGGGTGGGCAGTGACTTTTCCAAGGTCACACAACTGGGGAATGGGACTCCCAGGACTGGGCCATTCCAGGTGCTCTGTCCACTGTGGCATGAGCACTCTCAAGGGGGTGAGCTACTACAGGTCTTTTTGGAACACAGATAGTATGTAAATAAATTAATTCGATTAAACAAACTGCTGAGTCAAAACTTTGACATAGATTATTCTTTCGAGGATAACAAAGCTCATATTGTCTTCTTATCTGACTGTTTCCTATTTGCTTAGCATTTAACAAAAGGTCTTCATAGATCTTAGGTTATATGGGCTTCCCAACCACTCTCCAAGGTAGGTAGGGATTTTAATCCCTTTTTACTGGGGAGGAAACTGAGGCTCAGAGTAAATGAGGTGCAGGTGAAGCGAGGGCAAGTGACTGGCTCAAGGGGACATTTGCTGGGGATCCTGGCACAGGGCAGGTGCCCTGACAGCTGTGGACTAAATAGACGGACAGAGTGGCTGCCTGCCCAGCCAGAGCCCAGAGTGTGGGGCTACTGACAGCAGGACCCTAGTCTCCAGGCAAACGAAGAGAACTCCAAAACCAAAGATCAACTTGACTGGAAGGAGAGCTGCCGGCATGGTGACAGTGGTTACTTCCCAATCACAAGCAATTTTTATTTTCTTTTCATCTAAGTTTTTCCATACCATCCAGGCTTTGTGCAATTAGTATGTGCTACTTCTAAAATCACTATTAAAAATGTCTTTACTCCTCAACCAAAATATCTCATCTCCTCATTCATTCAGCCCTGCACTCACTCCCCATCTATTCCTGGGTGGCCCTGGAGCTGGGCCCTATCTCACACCTCTCACCCCAGGTCAGGGCCCTGGCACTGGCCAGTCATGAATGGAGTTGTCCAGTGGGTTCTCAGCAGCTTGGGGAGGGAGACACCCCCTGAACCCTGTCTTGGGAACAGGGCTAGGGACAGAAGGGTCACTGCAAGGGACAAGAGACAGTTGGGGGTGGTGGTAATAGATAAAATGAAATAATGGGCCAGGCATAGTGGCTCATGCCTGTAATCCCAACACTTTGGGAGGCTGAGGCTGGAGGATTGCTTGTGTCCAGGAGTGTGAGACCAGCCTGGGCAACATAGCGAGACTCATCTTTACAAAAATAAAAAATTAGCTGGGCATAGTTGTATGCACCTGTGGCTCAGCTACTCAGGAGGCTGAGGCGGGAGTATTGCTTAAGCCTGGGAGGTCAAGGCTGCAGTGAGCTAAGATAGTGCCACTGCATTCAGCCTGGACAACAGAGTGAGACCCTGTCTCAAAAAAAAAAAAAAAAAAAAAAAAGAAAGAAAAGAAAAGAAAAATAAAGAAAATGAAAATGAAATGATGTCATTTGCTTGGGCAGAAAGCACCAAGGCTCATCAAAGTCTACAAAATCAGGGTGGGATGAACGGGGTTGCCCATCAAATCCCAGGAAGCAAGATGAGGTATTTGAGAAGAATTTAAGTATAGCAAAGAATTACACTAACTTTGGCCGGGCGCGGTGGCTCACTCCTATAATCCCAGCACCTTGGGAGGCTTGAGGCAGGTGAATCACAAGGTCATGAATTCGAGACCAGCCTGGCCAACATGGTAAAACCCCATCTCTACTAAAAATACAAAAAATTAGCTGGGTGTAGTGGTGGGCGCCTGTAATCCCAGTTACTTGGGAGGCCTGAGGCAGGAGAATCGCTTGAACCCAGGAGGCGGAGGTTGCAGTGAGTTGAGATCATGCCAGCCTGGGTGACAGAGTGAGACTCTGTCTCAGAAAAAAAAAAAAAAAAAAAAAGAATTACACTAACTTCAGTTTTCTAAGCTCAAATACAAACATCTATCTGTCTATGGAGAAAGTAATGATATTAGGGCTTTCACCTACACTCATCAACCTCTTCAAACTTTACGAGGTACTTATTACTACTCTCATTTTCTAGAAAAGGAAATAGTCTTAGAGAGGCAAAATTATTTGTTCAACACTGCACAGCTAGGAAGCAGCAGAGCCTGGATGTGAACTCAGGGATGTCGGACTCTGAAGCTCTCTCCACTCTACCATGTTTGCCTTCTCTGTCAAGGACCCATCATCATTTACTGAGCACTTACTGTGTTCTGGGCAGGCTCAAGGTACTTTATACACATTATCCACAGTCTTCACAGAATGCTTGCAAAAGTGATACTGTTAGTTCAATTTTACAAACGAGGAAACAGGCTCAGGGAGAGTTCAAAATATGTGCAAGATTGCACAGCTGGCAAGAAGCAGTCTTGGGAAAACTGAGTCTTCATCCGCAGGCAGAAAATGACCTCAAAAAGTGATATGGGAAGAAAAGAGAAAAGCGTGGAGGTGGGGGGACCAGTGGGTGATGGGCCTTGGGCCTCAAGGGCTGGGGGAGCAGTGGGGCTCAGGGGCCAGCTGTGCTGGGGATGGGGGCTCTGCCCGTTCTGATGGTGGCCTCTGCTCAGAAGGTGCTCTCTCTGCCTAGCTACTCCACACATTACTTCCGCCTCTGAGGGGTTCACCCCCAGGCTGCCCCCCAGTCTTCCCAGCTGCCAGTTGTTGCAGTTTCAAACTCAATTGTTCTCCTCGGTAGTGAGGCAAATGGAGTCATTAATTACCTTCTATCGGCTGGGCTGAGTTCAGAACGCGATCAATATCCCCGCTTGTCATTCAGGGCAGCCTGCCTGTGCAGGCCCAGCCCCACCCCCACGGCGGCACAGCAGGACCAGGGAGGTGGAGGTCCAACTGGGAACAGGGAGTGAGGTTTGGGAGCTGAGGAATGGGGTGGCTCCCCAGAGGTCAGGTGCTGTCCAGACTGGGAGAGGAGGGAGGATTGATGGATTGGGTGGGGGAGTCACAAGGGAGAGTGGAGGAGGATAGAAAAGGAAGGAGTGTTCAGGAATGAAGAGAGAGGTAAGGGAGATAGGAGAAGGGAGGGAAGAAGAGAGGATGAGGGGAAAGTGGGATTCCGGGAGTGAGGGAGGAATAGATAGGAAAAAGGAGAGAGGAGGGAAGGGGCTCCAGAGGGCCGGGCTGGGAAAGGAGCTATGGTGACACTGCTTGTCCAGGGAGATGGATGATATGCCCCATTGCCTCCCATCTTTAAACTGGACATTCAGTGAGTCTGGCCTGGCCACAGTTCCCAAGCCAAGCTCAAGAGGTGGGCATAAAGTGGGCCGGGTGCAGTGGCTCACTCCTGTAATCCCAGCACTTTGGGAGGCCGAGGTGGGCAGATTGCTTGAGCTCAGGAGGTCAAGACCAGCCTGGCCAACATGGTGAAACCCCGTCTCTACCAAAAATATAAAAATTAGCTGGGTGTGGTAGCATGTGTCTGTGGTCCAGGCTACTTGGGAGGCTGAGATTGGAGGATCACTTGAGCCCTGGGGATGGAGGCTGCAGTGAGTTGAGATCATGCCACTGCACTCCAGCCTGGGAGACAGAGTGAGACCCTGACCCTGTCTAAAAAAAAAAAAAAAAAAAAAAAAGAGGTGGACATGAAGAAGGCTTTGGAAATCTGGCCCAAACCTTGGCTCGGGGCAAGACCAGGTTCTGCCCAGCCTTCTAGCCCTGGGAAACTACCTGCTGTACTTGACCAAGCCTAGCTTCTAAACACTCAGTGAGTTCATGAATAGGGAGAGGCTGGGGTGGCTGTGGGCCTGTCTGACCTCAGGCTTGCTGTACCCATTCACACCCACCGGCCTCTAGGGACACTAACTGTACTAGTGACCCTAACACAATGCTGGACCAGAAGTAACATCTCCTGGATTGAAATCCTAGTTTTGTTGCTCACTTGCTATAAATCTCCTGAGCTTTTCTGGATTGAGTTTCCTCAGACATATACAAGAGGGCTGTTAGCTCCTCCCTCACCATTAATTTCTCCTTTCTCTGCATTCTAACAGCCATCTATCCAAACCTCTATTGTAGAAATAGTACTAATAATAACTAAAACAGATCCAGTTTCTACTTGGATACCAGACACTATGCTTAACATGCATGCACTGATGTAATCCTTACAATAACAGCAACTAACATTTATTAAGTGCTTAGTATATATCAGGCACTCCTCTGATAATCTTACATATATTAACTCACTTAATTTTCACAAGAACTTAAACATTATTGTCCCCATTTTGTAGATGGGGAAATGAAAGTGCAGAGATTAAGGAACTTTCCCAAGGTTACACGCCTCACAGATGGCAGAGGAGCCAGAACTCAACCCTGGCAACATGCCTCTGGCAGCTAAGCTCCTAACCTGGGGAAACTGAGGGATAGAGAGATTAGGTAATTTACCCAGAACAACTTATGATAGCCAATAAGTGGCAGAGCCAAATTTAGAATCTCTTCGTATCACAGTTATTATTTAATGTTTGTTTTCTCCTCTGAACTGTGAATTTTGAAGGCAGGGGTCCCATAGTTTTCAACTTTATAAACTTCATGTAGAGAAAGTGATCATGAATGTTGGCTGATTTGTTGACAAGAATTCCAAAAGCAAAGATTGGTCAGTTCTTAACTTGTTATGCTCAACATTTTACCTTTTAGAAGGAAAAAGAAGCAACAAAGGAGGCTGCTACTCTGAATTCAGTGTCACTCATGTTCTACAGCTGGAAAATATGAAGAGAATTTAATTGGATTCCCTCTTAGATATTTAAAATTAAGACAAAAACCAAAAGCCAGGCTCAGAGAAGTTAGGTAATTTTCCCATGTCACATAGCTAGTCGTCATAAGAATGGGAACTGAGGTTCCTAGCTCAGATCCCTTTCCACTATTGCAGGCCACTTAATTCTGACCAAGAAAGAAAAACTGATGAAAGGGAAATGATGGGGATGCAGGGAGAAAGCAAGCATGTCTAGAGTTGGCAGTAGCTCAGGAAGGGGGTGCAGGGCAGAATCTGAACTGAAGAAAGCAAAATGCTCCATGCTGGGGGAAAGACATGGCCAGGGATTCCATGGCAAGAGATTCTAAAAGAGACCATAATTCCACGAGGATGGGATGCTCTAAAAATGAAATTCTGCTTCTATAAGCTCAAATAATCAACCTGACAGCATAAAGGGAGTGGGAGTGGGGGAGGGGTGAAAAGAGAAGGACATTTCAGGAAAATCACTGTTGTTGCACACAGATAAGCTTTAAAATATGATGATCCCAGATTTTAAAAGGACATGTACATCGAACAGTGGAAGATTATGCAGCCATTAAAAAATCGTGTTTTCAAAGAATATTTAATGATATGTGAAAATGGTCCTATATTAAGTAATGTTAGGTGAAAATGGCAAGACATGAAGCTGTTTATATGGTATTGTTCAATTTTTGATTAAAAAATTATATATACACAAAAAAGAAAGAGAATGGGAAAATATACCAAATTCAACAGTGGTTATCTCCTGGTGACGACATTGTGAGTGAATTTTTAAAAATTTACTATCTCTTCCAGGTATTTCCCAATGAGCATGTATTGCACTTAGGATCATAGAAGTCACTTTTTTTCCTCTTATGCAGGATACATGACAGATGGAAGCGGGGACCATAACCAAGGATGGATATGAGGGTGGCATGAGCCTGTCAGGAAGACAAAAGCTCAGAACAAGCTGAGACAACAAAAAAGGGCCTTGGAGAAAGAAAGAAAAGAAAGGCAGGTTTTGGCTCAGTCCTAGGGAAGAGGATGTAATATTGAGAGAGAAGGCAGAACTTCTCAACCTTAGCTTGCTTTTGTCTTCTCCAAATGAAAGAATCTTCAAACTGAGCCCAGTAGGAGGGCACTAGTGCCCTGGTCAGGGAGGGGCCAGGCAGGTAACCTCTGGCCATTTCAGTGAACTTTCCCAGGTCCACACAGGACCCTAAAACTGCTGTTGATGATCCCTGAGATGTCACAAAGAAAGGGTGAGGCAGTGACAAGCCCAAGGCCATCCTGCCTGTCAGAAAAGGGGGAAGAGGTACACATATGCAAATGACACTCAAAATCATAAATTCAGGATCAGGCTCTGGAAATCCTTTAAATGAAATTATTATACAGTTAATTTATGGGCAACAGAAAAGAAAATGGTGATATCCCAGAGCTTGCACGCACTCACAAAAATAAGTTGTGGCATATTTACTCCATATCAACGCTTAGATCAAATACCTCCCTCATAAACACTTCCCTAGTTGCCCTGAGTGGAAGCAACTGCTCCTTTGTTTTTTTCGTTCATCATATGACTTCATGCCTTGATCACGGCATTCATCACATTCTGATTATATAATGATGTGTATGTCTACCTCCCTGCTAGATTGTAAGTTTCTTGAGGTCAAGGACTGTGTCCTATTTACCTTTGTAAATCAGTCCTGCCATACTTTGTACATAGCAGGCACTCAATTTGCTCATCGATGTAAACCAGATTTTTAAAAATAATTTATTAAGGAAATTATGTGGAAGTAGTGAGTGTTAACATTTAACCAAGAATCTCCTTCCTAGCATAATGGACAAGATGAAAACAAGTAAAATGATTGATGGCTGTTGGGCTCAGTAGTTCCCAAAGCATTCATTCACTTACAGCAGCCAGGAGGAGGTCCCCATTGGTGGGCCATGTGGCTTTCCTGTGTTTTCAAGGAAAATAACTCTTTTGCAAAAAACTAGTTGGATGATGATATAGAAGACATCCTTATGACCTTAATCGGGTAGAATTAAGAACCCAAACCAACAAGGTGAAATTCAGCAGGGATAAATGGAATGCCCTATGTTTAGGCTAAAAAAAAAATCAATTACACAAGTGCAGAATGGGGTAGACCTGGCTTGATAGCAATTGATGTGAAAAAGATCTCGAGGTTTTAGTTGACCACGAACTCAATATGAGCTTGAGTCTGACATGGCTGCTAAAAAATCAAATGTAATCTTAGGCTATATTATGGATGTAGAGTCTCCAGATGGGAGAGTGGCAAGGCTCTACTGTGCCTGGCATTGGTTAGACTGTCTCTGGAGTTCAGTGTTCATTTCAGAGGAACTTTAACCTTCAATAATGAATTCTGAGATGGGTAACCAGGATGGTGAGGGAACTCCAAGGGCAGGAACCATATCATGTGAGAATCTGAAATCCACCCAGGACCCAGCCCAGCATTTGCCAAGAGCTCAGTAAATAAGGTGGAGTGGATGAAAGGGAGGGAGGGAGGATAGGGAAGGGAGGGTGTCAAATGGAGAGCTTTACCACCACCACCATTCTCTGTGGCAAATGCCATTACCTCTATTTTAAAGATGAGGAAACTGAGATTCAGAGATATTATGTAATGAGTCAAAGTTCCCAGAGCAAGTAGGGAGTGGAGATGGACCCACATCTGGACATTTGGATCCCACGTCCCGTGGTCTTCCCTCAACCCGCATGACTTGGTATAAAGTGATGCTGCAAACAAACAATGGCCACTGTCCATCTCTGACATATGTCCAGGCAGGGCTGTGGCCTTTCAGGCAGAACTGTTGGAGGAAAGAGTTCTATGGTGAGTGGCAGATAAGACAGGATGACCCTTAAGAATCTGACACTCTGCCTTGTCACCATCCAGCCCAGCCAAGGCCTCTCTCAATCTCAGCCACTCCCAGGCTCCCAGGCTGAAGCCCCATTTCCTGCTTGCCCTTCTAGTCCATTTCCCCAGATTCCTATGGAACACACAGCCATGTGTCTGGGCATTTAATGAACAGCCAATTGTCTGAGTGCAACAGCCTTGCCTTCCCCAGCAGGCTCTAAGCTCCTGAGAGTCACATCCCGGTTCTCTGCTCCTCTCATACCTCCCAACACACTGGGCACCTGGGCCCACATTGATACAAAGATCCCCAGAGAGGCCAGAGAGGAAGGTGTCAGTTTCCTCAGTATCCTACCGATTTACACACCAAAGCAGTCAAGGACTCTTAGCTCACTGAAAACTGCCGAGGACAGAGGGATTGTCTGAGGGGCCCCTTAGGGCCCTGGCATTTCCTAACCAACCGGTAGAGAAGAGGGAGATATGGAGGAAACCTAGAACCCCGGGGAATTGTACCAGCACATTTACTTTCCTCACTTTGAATAACTTAGCTCCCCCGAAAAAGAGCCCCCAGGTTACCTGTGGAGAAGAAGAGCGTGGCACCCCACTGCCAAGTCACAGCCAGCCTAGATGTGTGCGATCCATGTATTAAGAAGTGGAACGGTGGAGAGTGGGTACCGACAAGGAGGGAGGTGAAGGCCAGAGGCCTCAGGAAGGGAACACACAAGTTGTGGGAGAGGGAGGACAGACCCGGGGAGGAAGGAGAGGGGTGAGCCTTGAGTGGGTTTAGGGGAATTCCCCGAGGAGATCAACTTTCCTGCCTGGGAGCACTGGTATGCAGTCCTGCTGGCCTGCTGCAGGGGCTGGTGGGGAAGGAGGGCTCACTGAGCGTCTAGCTCCTGGGACCCTAGCCCTTTCCCAGCCTTCTCTGGGCTCTCAGGGAGCGGGTGGGGCCCTCTGCCTGGTGCTGTCCCCGTTTGGCTCCAGCAGGGGCCAGAACCAGTTAGAAATCTCTGGAACCAAGAGGAAAGGGGGCTTTGTTAGCTCAAAGGACACAAGCAAGGCGAAAAATTACATACCAGGCCGCCCTAAGTATGCTTGTTTAGAGAAACTGCTTGCATTTATGAAGTCTTTGGTGCGGAAAGCAGGGTTGCAAATGACTGCATCAGAGCGACAGTAAAGGCCATTAATTTCCTGTTATGTTTTCCTGTGTTGGGGGCTTTATTAATTTAATTTTACACTGTCGAACAACAGCGAGAGCTGACACTGCCACACCGCCAGGGCTGGGGTTTTCTTTTTGTGTGTGTAGCAAGGCTTTGCCTGACATGCAAATCAACGCTATTACCAGAACCAATAAAGATGTGTGGAGGGAAGAGGGGAGGGAGGGGGAGGGAGAGAGCAGGGGGGAGAAAGGACCAACGCCATCCTTGGCCAGTTTCTGCCTCCTGTGCCTAGCACCTCCTGGCTTCCCAAGGCGTCCTCCACAGTCAGCAATTTCTGAGCATCCTTCGCTATCCTTTTGCCCTCTTCTCCCCATCCTCTGCTTCTGGATGGTTCTACCTCTGTCATCCTCTTCTGTCTCAGTTCCTGGTAGAATTTGAATAGAGCAGACATGGAGTTCCCAGAAAGAGAAGGGAGATAGACTTCTCACTGTCTGTCCCCAGCTGAGGTATGTCGCAGAAGCCATAGGGGCAAGCAACATGATGGTGCCAAGCCCACAGGCCAGAGCAAAGGCCTATGCTGCGGACTTCCTCTCCAGGCATTTTCTCCCCCACACTCCCCTTTCATCTAAAGTCAAGGGTCCTGGCCCACTTACACATTATTAGTGCACACACGCACGAACCCATGTGCTTGTGCACGTGAAGAAGAGTCCAGAAGAACAGATACTCCAATATTCCAACTTGCTTTTAAGTCCCTCTGTGAGCTTTCATACTTTAACATTGTCAACCACTTATTTCCTTTGAATTACCAGGAAAAAAAATACGGTCTCTATTTCTCCTTAAAAGACTCCAATAATTATCTTCAGTGGCTGTAAGGCACCCACATGGTTCAGACCAAAATGCCAGAGAAAAATGGATCCCCAGCATCCGAAGAAAAAGCAAGTCCCTAGAGGTTCCTTTGTATAGCATTCTGGTCCCTTTTGCTGCCTGGACCACATACCCACTGCCCAAGACCACCCACACTGTCCCTCACCCAGGCGGCTCCTACAAGCTGGCTGCCCCAGGTGGCCCACAGTGCCCTCGGCTCCCCACACCACCAGTCCACCCAGGTGCCCACACTGCCCAAGGGCTCATGCTGGGCACTCTGCCTAAAGAGATGGAGATGGCAGGTGAGGAGGGAAGAAAGGAGGAAAGAACGGCTCCTGGAGTCACTCCTACCAAACCTACTGTCCCCATCCCTCCATCCCAGGCTTCCCAGGCTGCCTGGGCCGAGGGAGATCTGTGTGAGCCAGCAAGGGTGTGTGAGTGTGTCCGCGCATCTCTCCCTCTGTCACTGGCTCGCTTGCTCTCCTGCTCACACTTTCTGCTTCAGGAGCTGTTTGGCAGGCTCTGGGAGGCTGTTGGATGGAATCCAGCTCTCCCTAGGAGGAAAGCATAAACTTCATAAACTGCATTTACTTTAATGCAGGTTCCTGGAGCTGCTTTCCTCTGGCTTCTCTTCCCTCCCCTTGTCTGCTGTCTGGATCACATTCTACTGCTGCCCCTGTGTGTACCCCAACCTTACACACATGCACACACATACACATGTACACACATACACATGCACACACACTCTAGCCAGTCCTCCTGAAAAAGGTGAAGCCTGGGGCAGAAAGAGAAGGGCAAGGTGTAAAAGCTCTGCCTGCAGGATAAAGCCCCAGCCCCAGTCCTGGAAAGGCCCCCAGGAGATGCCCACACACTTGTCTCCAGTAGAGATGAGCACAAAGGGTGCTTTGAAGCAGGCAGGCGGAGCCTCAGGGAGGGAGGGGATGCTGACATTTCATGGGGGCAGCCAAATTAGGAGCCACCTGGAGGATGGGCCACAGGGCTCCAAGAATGGGAGGGAGGGAAGGCCAGGCCTCCGTGCAGGTTGAGGTTTGTGAGGCCTCTGTTGTCTAGTGCTGTCAAGGTCAGCAGGTTCAGGTTCACCGAAGGGTCAGGATGGTTTGAATTACTGGCTCCGCTGCAACTCGGCTCTGAGGCTGCAACTTGGCTCTGAGGCTCGTGATCTGTCTCGCAGCCCCTGAGCCAGGCCCAGCCCTCCCCCAGCCCTCTATGCCTTTCCACCCCAATGGGGCAAAATGGAGAGGGTCCCAGACAGCCCTAAGGCCACCATGGCTCTGAGGAAGGCAGGGCAGGAGGGGTCCTTTTCTGGGCTCCAGGGCGGGCAGCAATGGTCAAGGAGGCTGCCAGGACCATTCCGCTGGCAGGCAGGGATCTGGGGTCTCCCTAGCCTACATCCTCTCCAAACCCTTTTTCCAGTGGCCTGCGCTTCTCAGCTTCCTGCTTGTCTGCAGAGGAAGAGGCGCCCAGGGAGGTGAACTCAGGAGTAGCAGGGCCCGGGGATAGCTTCGGCGCTCATCTCCTCCTTCCTGCTTCCATAGCCTGTGCTTGGGGAAGAAGGGCAGAGCTGAGGCAGCAGATTTCCTGCTTGGTGCCCTTGCTGGGTGGGAAAGGAGAACAATGCCTACCTGCAGGGCTGGAAGGTAGTTGCCAAGTGAAAGACTAGGAAGTTGAAGATGTATTCTGACAAGATGGGTGCTCGTCCACGAGGGTGCAAACATGGAGCTGGGCAGGAGTACCAGACAGCCTTTGCTGAGACAGTGGTATACCTACACCCGCCCACCCCAATTTCCAGCGGTGGATGGACACATACAGTCTCCTCTAGGGCAATTCTGTATATTCTCTCCTGGTAGGGTGGAATTGACCTCTCTATTCTGAATTTCTGGCATTGTATGAAAAAATATATACTCTTTTGTGCTAAATCCCAAAATACTTCCCCAAACAACCAGATGGAATTCTTCATCCACAACAGCATTAACTAGTTGGGAAGCAAAGGTAGTTGGTGATTTGGCTGCTGTCTCTGATATAAAGGCAAGGACTTATATGCAGATGCATGCACCTATGTTGATCCACACAGCCAGGGCTAAACCCCTGTACTTCCCCACAAAAAAAGTACAAATCACCTATGCACAGGGCCCAAGATAAAGGTCCTTCTAAAACATCGACAGAACCTACACCTACCTCTGGATAATGACATAGTCAGTATTCAACAGGCTCACGGCCAACTCTACCCAGAGAGTTTGGCTAAAATATGTGATCCAACTAAGACAGAAAACCTCCCCCCTCAGGTATGAACAGTTTAATTTCCTTGGTTACTAGGGAGATATAATCATAGCAATGAATGTGTGTTCATAAATGAGTTTTTTTTCCCCCTGTGTTTTGGTGAGTGCTGACCTTTGAACCTCAGCTCTTTCTTGGACTAAGTGGACCTTAGCCAGGTTTTGGGTATGAGTTGGAAAATGAACATAGGTTGAGCCAATGCAGTTAAAGTCAGAAACTTGTCTAGACAGATGGTTACCATCATATAGATTTGGTTTCTGGACTTTCATAGGGCCTGTCTCCTAGGGAGGGGAGAGTCTGTGATGTGCTAGATAGTACAGTGTGTGAAATCATAGAATCCCACCAATAATCCACAGAGCACCTCTCCTTAGAGAAGCACAAACTCAGGCTGGGCACAGTCGCTCATGCCTGTAATCCCAGCACTTTGGGAGGCTGAGGTGGGTGGATCACCTGAGGTCAGAAGTTCAAGACCAGCCTGGCCAACATGGTGAAACCCTGTCTCTACTAAGAATACAAAAATCAGCCAGGTATGGTGGCAGGTGCCTGTAACCTCAACTACTCAGGAGGCTGAGACAGGAGAATCGCTTGAACTGGGAGGCAGAGGTTGCAGTGAGCTGAGATCTTGCCATTGCTCTCCAGCTTGGGCAACAAGAGTGAAACTTCATCCAAAAAAAAGAGAGAGAGAGAAGCAAAAACTCTGCTCAGCTGCCCCCTACCAACATAAATGCCTTCTTACAGTGCTGAACCAGGGTCTGGGAGGAGAGCAAAAGCAGAGAGAGGCCCTGCAATTCCCTACCCACGATGTAAGCTCACTTTAGAAACCTGGGAGCACACTCCTTCTCCCCGTCTTCTCTAGCAAAAGAGTCGGATGGCTGGGTGTGCATGTGTGTGTGTCGGTGTGCATGTATGTGTGTCGGGGGGGGTGTGTGTGCATGCAAGAATTAGGTGGTAAACAGACATAATTGTATCCAAGTGCTGGGTTTTTGTTTACCCAATATGGTGCAACCTCGCCAAGTCTCCTGGGCCCTCCTCAGCCTCTCTCCAAGCTCCTTCAGGCTGAATCCCATCCCACTAAAATAGTGTGTACTCAGCAAAACTTCTCCAAGCTCTTCCCAAGCAGGGAGCACTCAGATCCCTCTCTGGTTCTGCCAGCCCCCTGCATCTGGACCAAAATGCCGCTGAGAGACTCAGGCCCTGTCTCCTTCCTCTGCCCCCAGCCATACCCAGCCCTCACTCAGTTCAGAGCAAGCCCACCAAGGAGCGCTCACCCACCGACTTCCCCCATCAGCCTCAGCCAACATGGCAGGCTGCACCCGAGTGCCCAGGGCCTGGGAAGCCAGGCAGTGGCAGCCTCTGGTCTTCCTCGGGGTCCTCCTTGCCTGCCTTTACTGACCCCAGCCCTCCTCCCACTGCCCCTCCAGAAGGAGAGCCGGGAAGAGAGCTTGGTGACCAGGGCACGCCTGGTTTACATTAATGAGATACACCGAGTGTAATCCAGCCATGGAGGCAGCCTACAAAAGGAGGCGATCGCGGGCGGCCAGGAGCAGAGCTGCTCAGGTAATTGGTTTATCTATCTGGAAGCAGGGGGAGCAATCTCAGCACAGACTAGCAGTAAAGTCTCTTCCTTAAGGCTATTTCCTTTGTCTTTTCAATTGCTTGCACATCCATGTGAGAGAGGGAGAGAGTGTTAAAGAGAGAGGGAGAGGGAGAAATGTTAATTTGTGAATTAATGGCTTTTCTCAGCGGAATTGTAAATTCAAATGTCACCTCACACGGTGACACCACGGCTGGTCTGCTGAAGAAGCAATGATAAGATCCCCCACCTCCCTCGGTGCCCCTCCCTCCCCAAAGATAGCTGTGGAGTGGAACATGCTACTTTTAATTTGCAATAACAACACAACAGAGGTATGCAGTAATGACTGCCTTCTTCCACCCTCCTGGCTTCCTTCCCCCATAGTCCAGTGGCTCCCCCATTTCCTCGCTCCTCACACCTTTCTCAAACAACACCTCACTTTGCCCTGGGTGCCCCCCACCCAACCCCAGCCAGTGCCCGATCACATGAGGGGGTGCCTTTGGAATTGACGATGCTGCAACCCTCTCTTCTCCTTCAATAATCAGGGAATTAATGACCCTGAAGTTAAAGTGAGGCTGATACCGAGGCCCTGCCCAGCGTTGGGAAAAAGCCTTCATTGTTTTCAAGCAGGAGGCGGGCAGCAGTGAGGAAGATTCATGGATGGAGATTGAATATGCAATTTTCTTTCACCTTGCCAAGAGCTGCCCCTGGGCTGTGCCTGGCCTAAATTTTTCCTTTTACCATCTCTGCCTTATCCGGCCCTCCCACCTCCCTTCCATTCTTTCCAGAAAATTACCTTCAAAATTGATTTCCACTTTTACAAACAAATATAATGGGAACACAGGAAAAAACTTGGGCTGTGATGAATTAGGGCTGTCAGGTGCTTCCAGGTCTCCTTTGCTTTTGTTTTACTACCCGATCTGCTCTTTGTTTTTCCAAGGGCTAGAAAAAGTGACCCCCCATCCACTGAGTGCCTGACCCTCCAGGCCACCGGGGCCTCAGCTCCCAAACCCCATCAGTGGCCCATGGCGGAAGTAATCCAGGCCCTGAGACTCTGTTAGCCTCCAGGTCTCCCAGTGGAAGCCTGAGCCAACTCCTCCTTTTCCATGCTCTGGCCCTTAGGAACCCACTCTCTGAATGTTCTCTAACCGCCACCCCCAAGCTATTTCCCTTGACCCCCACGCCATGTTCCCTCTGGCCCTCATACCTCTTAAAGTCCAGACCAGATGCAAACCTCCACCTCCTCTAATGTGGGCAGGATCAGTGTATACCTCAACTAGAGCAAATAAGAGACAGACAAACACTGAGAGATCCCGAAAGACAGGCAGGCAGAAGATTGGGGGCAGGATCCCAAGATCGGGAGACCAGACTCCCCTTCTAAGGGCTACAAGGGTTCTGAGCTGCAATTCCCTCACAGCCTGGCTGTAAGGGCCTTAGTCTCCCTAGTCTTGGGCCCTAGGCCACCCCTGGAGGCAGGCTCAGGACAGCCCCTCCCTTTATCAGCAGAAGGTAGGGTGATGCCTGTGCCCAGGACCATGGGCGCTCAACACACTGAGGCCTGGCTTAGAGCTCTCCCCGCTCACACAGTCACACCCGGCACTCTCTCCAAGCACGCACACTACCCAGGTAACTGCACACCTTCCCAGTGCATGACATTCCCATCCCCTTATACCCAAAGACCTCAGAGCGGTAGAACACATGCATACTCACACTTGCATAAACTGTGTAAAAAATTACATTTGGGTTTATAAAACAAACATACATTTTCCAAGGTAAAGAAATAAACTTGCATGTGGGAGCAGTAATGTCCACAGATGAATAGAGGGAGAGATGCCCACATGTTAGAAAAAGAAGAGGATCTTATGTTTATTTATTTATACACACCTAAAATGCCTGTGGAGGCTGAAAGATGACATGTGGCCCAAGTGGGTAACCACAGAGTAAATGAACAGATAGAAATGGACAAACGTTCTCCCAATCCCGGGTGTGAGGACGACAGCTTTCCTCCACTGCGCTGGTCCCATCCGGGTTAGCTAATCCCAGCATCCACTAAAGGCTGCCCTAGTTACAAGGAGCTGCACCAAGGTTAGGGCGCCTATGCCCAAATAAATTTCTTTCTAACACAACTTCATTTCCTCATGAAACATAAACCTGCCAATTAGGCTTTCTTTCCCAGATACACAAGGATGCGTCTCCAAGATGAAGTCAGCTCAACACTAAATTCACGACCTCATGGAATCCTCTCCACAGCCCCCAGGAAGGAAGTGCCATTACCATCTTCATTTTACAGAGGAGAAGATTGAGCTGATGAAGGTTAGGTGACTTGCCCAACTAGTGAGGGGCACCAGGATTCAGACCCTGCTGTGCTCACTCCAGAGGCCACATTCATTCCCACTGAGCCCCACTGCCCATCCATGCCCTGCTCTAGGGATGGCATGCTCACTCCTACCCTGTGCCTTCCTTCCTGGTGGGAGTCTTTGCAACCTTCTGCTGCCTCAAGCCAGGCTCGTAGACAAGGGCAGGTGCTTCTCATTTCCACGGCTTAATCCCCTCATTTGCTCCAAGTCTAACCTGAGCAACACTCTTGGGGACCTCTAGGATGGTAGCTAACTAAGGAAATAAACTGCTTCTTCCATTTATGGCTTCATCCAAAGCAGAAGGGAGCTATTAAAGGCAGTGACAGGACTCGGCCATCTGCAGCCATGCAACCTGCCCTGCCTGCAAACGCACAACTGCACCAGCTTGGCACCACTCAATGGCACAATTCATTGTACACCTAATGAATGGAATGCAAAATCATGGCCCCCTGCAATCTCACACCTCAAAGGATGATCCCAACACACCTCCCTCACACAGACCAGCAGATTCTCACCATATGACTTCATTTGGATTCTTGGACAAGTTGTGTAACTGCCCTGCGCTTCAATACCATCACCGATGAACAGCAATGTTTTGGGCCCCAGCCGAAAGCAACTGGGTAAAGGCGAAGGACTTCCAGTTTTCAGCCTGATTGTAGATAGGGAAATACAAGAATCTCTCTCCTCCAGCCACATAAACCAGCTCACACAGTGTTCAGGGAATTGGCATCCCTTCAAAGGGCCCAGGGAATCCAGCACTAACATGCCCACCCATAATTACAGCTAAGAAGTGAGGATTTTTGAATGATATGAATGGGGATTCTACCTTCTCGGACTGATGGACAGCCTGTCTTCTGGGTGCTTCAGAACATAACTTCCTCATCTATCTGGACTGTCTACCTGTCTCATTCTGGGAGCTCCTGGGCTCTTGGGATGAGGGTCAAAGCCTCTTGACCAGCACATTTCTCAAGGGAAAGTCAGGGGGTGTTTTCCATACTCTCAAAGGCCAAGGCATGGGAAGGGGTCTCAAACAGGCTCACAGTCACTGCCAGTTTTTCCCCAGAGTCACAGCTGATCAGTCCTTTCCTAATATCCCCAGGGAAATGATTGCTGCAGATACTAATAACACTGTCCATATTCCGAGTGCCAGTGCCAATAATGTTCTGGGCATTATCACTGTGAACACCAATAACTACTGCTGAGATTGTCTCCAATAATGCCAGCACTCACTGCAGTGATTGTCCTCACTAATGCCCATCACCGTGACATTGTTAGAGCTGAAGAATAGGCCGAACTGTACCCAGAGCAAAAGAGGAGCAGCTTCCTGGAGGACAAAGAGATTCACAGCTTGCCCTTGGGGTATGACACTCCTAGGAAGATGCCACAGTGCTTGGGGCCAAAGGAGGGCCAGTCTGGCAGGGTCTTTAAGGGTCCTCCTGGAGGGAGATGAGCCCCTCCATTCCCTCTAGGGTCTAGCCCTTTAATGTGCGTGCTCAGTCCCATCCCAACACCCCTTAGTCCCCTGGTCAGTATTCTCTTTTGCTGCAGTCCCGGCCCAGTCACTGAAGGACACACCTGGGTGTCTGCAGCCCATGCCCGAGGCTGCCTTCTGTGACTGGCCTGCCAGCTGCTTTGCTACCTTGGCCTGACTGCAGAGTTGGGCTACATCATCTTGACACATAATTATCTCCCTTATTCTTAATCATCTGAGCTGCTCCCTAATGCAAACTGGGCCTGGCTCCTTAGAAGCATCCAGAGTGGGGGAAAGGGGAGGAGGGGCTGCCACAGCTCTACCTTTGCTCTCTCCTCTCCCTTCCCACCAGGGGCTGGTGGATCAGGATTGGAGGGGGAGGTCAGGGAGAACTGGTCTCCCTCATAGGCCAGGCCTCCACCAGGGAAAATACATCTCCATTTGGCCTGGGGTTGGTCAAGAGGAGTTGGTAAGAGGAGGAGAACCGTCTCTCAAAAAAGAGTGAGGCCTCTGATATGTCTTGCCACCCGGATAGGCCCAGCAGGTAAATGTTTCAGAGGAAACTTGGGGGCACCGTAATCTCTTGCTTTGAAGGCTTTCACTGCTTCCTGCAACATGGCCCTGGTGCATCACTGTCACACTGCTGGAGCATGAGCTTCCCAAACCCAGCCCTGCTCCTGTCCCTTCCTGCTCAGACTACTCCTGCTTTCAGAAAAAAAAAAAAAAAAAAAGCCCAAACTCCTTCTATGGTCTAGACCTGGCCTGCTATCCTGTGGCCCTAACCTGTCTCCTCAGCCTTACTGTCCACCACATCTCTTTGTGCCTTCTATCCCTGCTAAAGCTGCCCTGCAGTGGCTGGCCAAAGGGCCTTCTGGTCACAAGGCTCAGTCTATCAGATAGAATTTCAGGCTACCATTGTCTCTGAACATTCTCCTCTTCATCCCTCAGGCCCCTCCTCAAAGAGCAGCCCTTCCTGGCCATGTACTCCCTCCCCAGCCCAGTTCCTGTGGCCCGCCACCAGACCTCCATCGCAACAGGATATCTGATGGGCCTATCTGCTCTTTGAGCTCACATGTTTAACATGCCCCACTAGAATGTAAGCTCCTTAAGGACAAGAATCATATCTTGTTCTGCTTTGGGATCCTATAGTACCAAGCCTTTCTTGAAACTGATGTCCAGGAAAGGTTCACTGAACTGAATTGATTAGAAACAATGAAGGCGATCAACCACTCAGGAGAGCGCCCTGTTCTGGGCCAGCCAGGCGCAGCCCTGGGTGACCACAACCTCATGCCAGTGCCTCCCTACCCCCAGCCTTTCTTGCCCCACAGGAGCCCATGCAGCAGAGGGCATACTTGGCCACGAGGTTGGCATACTTGGCCACAGCCTCAGACTGAAAAGGGAGAGTACAGAGGGGTATCTGTGGCCTCCCATGGGCTGCTGGGCCTCTCACCCCTAAAAAACACAGGGGCTGCTGGTTAAGGGAGAGACCTTTAGGGTTTGAGGCAGATTCTACCAAAGCACTTGGGGTGCCAAGGAGCTTGGCCAAGGCCTGAGCACAGGGAGCCTCAGGGAGAACTGGGACTTAGGGCCTTTCCCACAACCTCCCCCTGCCCATCAGGGGCCGCCGCCAAAACAACCACAATGAAATTTAGTGAATGGCAAAGGCCGTGGCGGCCAAATCGGTTTGGATATTTTGGAAGAAGGAGAAATAGAGCCAGACAAGCTGTTTCCCTGTGAAACGAGGCCATTAGGGCTTCTGGAAGGAGGCCAGCGCCAGGTCATCACTGTCTTGTCAGGCCTAGGCCTCCCCTCCACGCTGTCCCTTCCGCTGGGGGCCTGGCCTCTCCCACTCTCTTCCCTCAGCCTAGGCTGGGGGATCTTGGACTGTGGGCCCAGGCAAGCTCAGTGTTGTCCCTTTTCTCTGCTCCTCACTCCATTAGGCTTCCCCTACCGAGGGTTTGTCTATGTGTGGAATGACCACATAATTTATTGTCCAAACACGACATTTTTGAGAGAAAAGGGAGATGCTGAGATGCTGACTGGCCAAGATGCAGAGACAACAGGCATAAATTGGGACTGTTCTGGGCTAATGGGATAGATGGTCACCCCTTTATGCTCATTGTTTGAGGATTCTGCCTCTTTCCTGGGAGATGTCTTTAAAATCCTCTGAAGGCCAGGAGGTTACCACTTCTCCAGCGGGAACCATGAGAAAATGGGGGCAGGACGCAGGCCGGAGACACTGGTGTCTCTGTTGTTCAGGGTCTGCCAGCCCTGTGCCCCAGCTTCACGCATCAGAAGAGAACCAGATGGTCACCAAGGGACCCCCAATGTCACGACATTTGAAAAACACTTTGTCCCAGGATCATCCCTACCACTCTCCCCCTTATTTCTTTTCTTCTCTCCTCCTCCTCTTCCTTCCCCCTTCCCTTTGACACCCTTCCTAACAGCCTGGCTGCACCTTGAGGCATTTCAGGGAGGTGAGGGAGAGGGCCAGGGGATTTGGAGTGGCATTTCTACTCATGGAGAAGAAGAGGAGAGAGGGGTCCCATGTCCAGCTCCCTGTGAGGTTTGAACTGGGGGCGGTGTGCAGGTGTTAAAGAGAAAGGACACCAGGCTAGGCTGCACATGACATCACTACCTCACCTCCAGACAGATTGGGATCAGGTAAGGACAAGGTAGGTTGGCCTTTCATCCTCAGGCCAGAGACCAGCTGTTCCCCCAACTCCAAAACCTTCCCAAGGTAAACGGTTCTTGCTTCTCCTCCTGACATCCCACAGGGATCGATAGGGTGAGCCCTAGTGGCAGGTGAGGCAGCCGGGGCTGCTGAGCAGATGGTGAAGCTGATGGCCCCACTAGCAGCCACCCTCCCTCTCTCCAGGAGCCAGCAGGGCAGTGGGGGGACCTGGGCTTTGCTACTAAAATTGATCTCACAGCAGAGCAGCTGCGAGGCCAGGCCGAAACCGGAGCTTGGAGTCCAAGGACAAAGCATGTGAAGGGGAAGCCACACCTCTTCCCTCCTCCCTACCTTCATCACGTTTCCTCTTCTCACCATTGGAGCGAGGAATCCCCAGGATCCCATTGATGGAGTAGGATCCCACTGGGTCATTGGAGGCGCTGGAAACAGGAGGGGAGGCCGTGCTGGGAACTGGATGAGAGGAAGGAGGAAATGGCATCAGGATAGCAGTTTAGCAGTTGTGATCGTAGGCCAAAGCCCCAAGGCTGGGGGGCAGAGAGAAGCAGAGGACATAAGGAGGGATGAGGAGCCCACGTTCCTCTCATTCCTCTACTTCCTCTGGGGTCTATTTAAGAGGGGACTGCATTGCCATATACAGGCTATTATTCACTTCTGTCCAGCCCTGAGGTAAGTGGTGCCCAGTTTAACCCCAGGCCTTCTCTGCAGACCTGTGGATTTCACTGGGGTTCTCAAACTCACTCTCCTAAAGACGGATGGAGTACAGGCCCAGGAAACAGCAAACCTGTCTCCTTCTAGGCAGCACCTCCATGGTCCTCTAGAGAGCACAGCTCCTTGGATACCCCCTTGCACAGCTCATCCAATCCCTGGGGCTGGGCAAACCCTTCTAATGAAGCCCCAGCTCATTGTTCTCAGTCTCCTGGGCTGAGTCTTTACCAATCCTGATTTAGAGTCTGTGGCTTTCTAAGATCTGTCTCTGATTCTCCAGGAGACACAAGACTGGTCCTGATGTTCCCCAGGAGTGTGCATTTCTCTCTCTCAGCTGCTTTTGGTCTTGAAATCACTTGAGAAACTCCTAATTTCCCCCTTAGGGCAAGATTAGTGAACCCATTCGCTCTATGGTGATCAACTCAGGTACAGCCTGGCCCAACCCTCCCTCCCAGCACACACTGTAACACTGGCCTAGTAAACAACAGCTCCTGCCAACTCCTGGAGGGCTGGAACTAGTCATTTCTATTACCTGCTGGTCAAGACAGAAGGAGACAACTGCCAAGAGGAGCAGCAGGAAAAATGTAACCACATCCCAGCCCCTCAAACCCCGGGCCTCATCTATGGCTACAGTAGCACCAAGTTTCTCCTTGGGCCAGAGGGAAGCTAGTCTGTGTGCGTTGGGGACAGAGGAGGAGTGTTAGCAGGTGTTCTAGTAGGCCTGGGTCACGTCTTTGAGAGGCCCTAAGCATGGCTCAAAGAATGAGGAGGATGGAGAAAGGATGAGAGATACAGAGTGGGTGAGACAGAGGCTGAGCAATCAAGAGAGAAAGGCCAAGAGGAAAGAGGCCATGAGGAAGGAGGAAGACAGAACAGAGCCAGAGCTACACCTAAGAAGAAGAGAGAAGAGAGGGAAGGGCAGAGGGAGAAAAGAAGAGGAGCCAAGGGGAGAAGACAGAGGACAATGTTAAGAACAAGATGGAATGTTAAACAAAGATGGAATAAGAAAGTTGATATAAAAGAAAGAGGGCACAGGTAGGGAGACAGAATCAGATAAAAACAAAAGATGTTGGAGAATGAGGGAGAGGGAAGCAGGAGGAGGAGAAGAAGAAAAAGAAGAAGAAATGCTAGAAGAAAAACACTTAAGAGAGAGGAGAGGAGGGGAGAGGATAGGGACTGACTAAAGCAGGGCAGAGGGAGGTGACACAAGTGGGAGGCAGAGAACAGTCCTAGAGAACCAGTATCTCTCAGGAAGACCCTATGTGGACAGGAGCTCAGGTGAGAGGAGTTGGCAAATAGGTTGGGCTCTGGACCTCAAGCGGGCAGGCAGTTCCCAGGGGTGGAGCTGCGTTTCCTGCCTTTCTCTAGGTGGGATCTGGTTTCCTCCCCTTCCCTGAGCCCTCTTACCAATGGTGTGGCCAGGGGCGGTCACTCCTGTCCCAGCCCCATCCGGCGTTGGGTGGAAAGGCTGCTGAACTTTGGTCCGGATGATTCTGCAACAGCGTCACAACAGCATCACACATCAAATGCCCACTCCTATCCCGGCCAATTCCAGCCCAGCCCTGCAAAGGGGCTCTCTCCCAAGTTCCTCAGCGATTTCCTCATCCATCTGCTCCCTGTGTCCCTGCCCTCACTGACTGCTGCAAGGCACAGGGTTTTCCTTCTGTTGGCTCCGCAGATCCAACGTAATGCAGCTCTGGGTGAATGCAGCCTGCCTTATGTCCTGCTATGTGCATCACCCAAATTATTGTTTGATTTTTGGTAGCAAAGATCAGGGCAGAGACCCAGTGAGCACAGCATCCTTTCT
Organism: Homo sapiens; assembly: GCF_000001405.40. Lineage (NCBI taxonomy): Eukaryota > Metazoa > Chordata > Mammalia > Primates > Hominidae > Homo > Homo sapiens. Next base: position 100,779,183 of record NC_000010.11, on the reverse strand, counting down.
TTTTCTGCAGGGTGAGGACTGCCCTAGTGGCTTGTTGTCCACCTTTCTCTCCTCAACCACACACGCATCTCTTCCTGGTACCAGGACCTCCTGGGTTTTGAGATCATTTTGGAGCTGGCTTTCCTACTTGGGACTGTGTCACAGTCCTTCAGAGTTGAGAGGATGAGATTTCCCCATATCCTGAAAGAATGAGAAGTAGCCAGGGAGGGGCTGGGTCACAGGTGACCCTTTCTTTTGTCCCCAGGACTCCAACACAGCACACAGTCCCTTTGCCAGATGTCAGGCTGAACAATCTCTTCTTGAGCCCACTTACTGCCCTCAAACAAGTCAGAGCCCTGTTCCTATATGGCTGGCTGGTTTGCTGGCCTCCTTTTCTGAGGTTCTTACTTGGATTGCAGCGTCTTTGCCAGCCTGGTTGAAAGGTCTGGTGCCCTCCCTGTACATCCTGGGGAGAAGGGGCCAAATCAAACATTCCAGGAGCCTGCTTTTCAGGGATCTGAAAAACCGAGGGCTCAATGATGCCAAAGACCAGTCCCAGGGCCAAGACGGAGGAATGCTCCCCCTACCCACTGGTCAAATGAGGGGCCTTTGGAAGCCACTTTTCTGATAGCGTTCCTTGTCCCCACAGAGAGGCATGTGAGCCAAGCTCACCTCAACCAGCCAGGTGAGTCACAAGCCATGAGCAAGTCAGCTCTAAAAGCTTTTCCTGAACACTTGCAGGCAGTTGGGATAAGGCCCCTAGCTCACAGTGCTGGATATGAAGGTGGGGAGGGGAGACTTAATCCCCAAAAAAGCTCAGTTACCCGAGGGAATCAGGTAGTTAGTGCTGGAAACTTGGAGGAGAGGAACCATTCCCCTTGCAGGAGAGGGAACTGCGGAAGAAGTCGCTGAACAGAGGGAAATTGATGTAGATCTTCAAAGCCAAGTAGGGCTGAAATCAGAGGCACAGAGGATGGCGGAAAGGACACTGGGCTGCATGGCAGGGGCCCTGAGTCCTGCTTCTGATTTTGCATTTAAGAAGCCACATAGCCTTGGTCTCACCTCTCAACTTCTCTGGGCCTCAGTTTCTTCAGCTTTAAATGAAGGGGTTGGACTACAGGATCTCCACTGTCTCTTTCCCCAGTAAAAAATAACTTGATCCTAAGATGAACAAAGAAGTAGAGGGGAGGGCATCACAAGCTGGTGGAAGCGGAAGCCACGCGAGCCTGCTGCCTTCTGGGTTAATGCCCAGAGTGGTCAGCCAGAATGAGTGGAGACAGGCAAGGGACTAAGAGGAAACAAGAATGAAAACTTGGATGTGATGAGAACCATCACCATTTTCCACTTACTGAACATCTACTATGTGCCAATATTATACACAATTTATATGACATATATATTACTGTTAATTCGCACAACCACCTCCAAAGTAGAGACTATTATCCTCATTTTGCAAATTGAAAACCAAAGCTGAGACAAGTTTAAGTAGCTCACTCAAGATCACACTACTGGCTGGGTGCAGTGGCTCACGCCTGTAATCCCAGCACTTTGGGAGGCCAAGGCGGGTGGACCACCTGAGGTCAGGAGTTTGAGACCAGCCTGGCCAACACGGTGAAATCTCGACTCTACTAAAAGTACAAAAATTAGCCAGGCATGGTGGCAGATACCTGTAATCTTAGCTATTCAGGCAGCTGAGGCAGGAGAATTGCTTGAACCCGGGAGGCGGAGGTTGCAGTGAGCCAAGATCAAGCCACTGTACTCCAGTCTGGGCAATAGAGTGAGACTCCATCTCAAAAAAAAAAAAAAGGCCAGATGCGGTGGCTCATGCCTGTAATCTCAGCACTTTGGGAGGCCGACGCAGGCAGATCACGAGGTCAGGAGTTTGAGACCAACCTGACCAACATGGTGAAACCCCAACTCTACTAAAAATACAAAATTAGCCAGGTGTGGTGGTATGCACCTGTAATCCCAGCTACTCAGGAGGCTGAGGCAGGAGAATCGCTTGAACCCAGGAGGCGGAGGTTGCAGTGAGCTGAGATTGTGCCTCTGCACTCCAGCCTAGGCGACAGAGTAAGACTCCGTCTCAAAAAAAAAAAAAAAAAAAAAATCACAGTACCAATTAGGGAAGACTCAGAATGCAGCCTCTAAAATCTATGCTTTTTGTTACTTTGTCATCCTGCCCCCAACATGTAGGAACCAGGTTTAGAGGGCCTTAAGCCATGAGTGATTTCTAAACTAGGGGGGATCTCTACAAACAGATCCCAGTAAAGCAACATACATATACATGAGGCATGAGGCGATAGGGAGCTGGTCTCAGGAAAGAAAGGGAAGAATTTGCAAGACAAGAGGAAGGCAGAATGGTCAGAGTTTGGCAACCAACTGGAGTCAACCATGGTTTTACAAACTCAGATTTGTGTAACTGGAAGCTTGGTGGAGTTTACATCAGCAGGTCAGGAATAAGGCTATAGGGAGGTGACTGGTTTTGGAGGGAAGTGGTGATGTTGGTCCTAGATGTGCAGCATTTGAGGTGAAAGAGGAGCGTCCAGGGGCAATGCCCCTGCATCAGCAGGCACACAGAGGTATGGATTTAGGAGACTGTCAGGGACCGGGGAAAGGAGTGTTTAAAAGACAAGAGGCCTAAGGAGTGGATACTGGAGGACATTTATTTCCAGGGACTGGGAAAAGAAACTGACCTTGCAAAGGATTCAGAGAATTAATTGCAGAGGAAATGGCAGAACCAAGATAGGTCAGTTTCACCTAAGTCAGTGGAGAAGAATGTTTCAAGAAAAACACAACCTGCAGTGCCAACAGCAACATGGGGACCGAAGGGAATTAGGAACAAGAAGAAGCACAGATTTGGGATTCTGGTAGCCATTAGTGACCTTGAGGAGGAGTCTCAGCAAAGCGACTGGAGCAGGAGCCAGACAGAACAAGGTTAGGGAATGCATAGGGAGTAAAAGGAGGCAGGGCAGTAAACGGAGACTATTGCCTCAGAAGTTTTTGGAAAACGAAAGGAGAGGAAAGTATGGAAGGTGGAGGATGGAACGGGCAGCTAAGTGGAGGGAAGGCCTTCTTGGGTAGGAAAGACCTGGATAAGCTTGTAGACTGAGGAGGAAGAACCAGTGAAGAGGAAGAGACTGAAGTTGCCTAAGGGACTGTGGATGATTAACAGAGCAAGGGAGAACAAGGAAAAATGGAGTGCAGACTCCAGGGAGGTGTTAGCCAGAAATGGCATATTTTCAGGTGGCCAAAGCTTTGAAAAGGAGCTTTTACGGCTTTTATCTCTCAGCAAAGCAGAAGGCAAGGTCATCTCCCAAGAGTTGGAGGGAAGATTTGGAGTTTGATCACAATGGAAAAGATTGGATAGTAGCTGAGAGGCAGTGTACAATCATCTACAAGAAAAGTCTAGAAAGATGCTGAGCAGCTCAGAGCAGCTGCTCCTAGTTTACTGCAGCAACAGCTTCTGTGAGCTCACTGGGCCTGTGGGTGGCTCTGGCTTGAGGGCTGATGGGCTCTTGACTAAGGGAACCCCAGGGGTGGGGCTGGCTGAGAGAGAGAACTGGACGGGCTTGAGGAGTTTCTGTCTTTGTTACCCAGAGCCTCTGACCCCTAGGGCACTGGCGCAAATTTAGCTGAGGCAGCGAGTGATGGAAAATCACTACTCCCTGACAGCGGCTTGGTGGTGCATGGGGGAGGAGCTGGGCAGGGTGCCTGCTGTGAGTTACTAATGCTCTTGGTGTCCATCCATGACCTCAGGCAGTGGGCACTTGCCAGTCCCTAGAGCTGATCTCGGAGAATTTAAGAACTGGGATCATGGAAATCTGATGGTCATCCATTGTCCTCCTGTCTCCCATACAACAACCCAACAACTCATGGCAATTTCACTCGGGGCTAAAGGATGAATGAAGTAAAGCAGTTGTTGATGATGACGGCCTGATACCGTTTCCCCATGTTCCTCCTCCTCTTTCTCCAATTCTTTTTCATACTTGGCCTCACAAGACAGCCAGACACACATCAAACCTCCACGGCCCCAGGCAGGTTTGACCTGGAAGGTCAAGTTCTGGATATAGATCCCTGGAGGGTGCAGCTGGGACCCTGGAGGACACAGCTCTGCTCAGAAGCTGGGAGGTGTCATTTTTCCATTTCCACTGAGAGACTGCCCTGCCAGGGTGCCTGCTCCCCACTTCTCTTTCCTTCACAAGATGCTCTTTCTCCTCCACCATTTCCGATGAGAGCTCGCCCTTTCCTGGGGACCTCCAGGGCTTTGGCCTGGGCCCCGCATGGGGACTTCCAGGCACTTAGAGTCTCCCACACTTCCAAGGGAGTGAGAGCAGCAAAAGGAAGAAGGACATGGGTTCTGGGCTCAGCCTGCCTTAGTCGGAATCCCGGCTTTGTTACTTGTTTCCTGTGAAACCCCTGGCAGTTTCTTATTCCCTTCTCTGTAAAATAAGATAATACTACCATACACTTCATAGGACTGTGGCAAGGACTAAATAGGGACACTCCATGTAATGTGATTACTATGATGGTTGGTTCTATAAATGCTACCTATAATAACAATGATGACCAGTATTATTATTCCTATGGGTGACCCCTAGGCCCGGGTGCTTTCAATTTAGGCCGATGCAGGCAGGAGACCTCCCTACCCAGTATGCCCCAGACTGGTCAATGCAGGTGCCACTGAGACCCTGGGAAGAGCATTGAGAAGACAAGAAACAGCAGCAGTGGCGGCGGCGACATCTGACCCAAAAGGAGGTTGCGTCAGACTCTCAAGCAGACAGACTGGGGGCTGGACCAAGCCCCACTAGGGTCACTGGCAAGGATCCACAGGAGACCCAAGGGATGGCAGGGGGTCGTGGCAGGACTTCAGAGCAAAGGATGACAGGGCAGGTGGGGAGGCCACTCCCTTACTGGTTAAATTCCCGGAAGACCCCCACCTCTCACCAACTTGGATATCAACACAGTCTCAGGCTCTGTGAGTAAGAATGAAAGCCCTGCATGAAACTCCTATTAACACTGTGTTAAACTCAAGAAGAAAGAGAGAAGCGCTCCACCTTTTAAGAGAGCACCAGGCATTCTTACTCATCTTCTAGTTCAGCTCTCTCTCTTCCTCCTCCTTCCCCATTCTTTTCTCTGTGTTTCACTCTCTGTCCCTCTCTTCTTCTCCTTCTCTGCTCCTCTCTCCACTTCCCCTCTCTTTGTCTGTCTGTCTGTCTCCTTGCACCCTGAAGTCCCACCGTGGCTATGTGAGTTTATTGATTCCTGGGAGCTGGGGGAAGCAGGAGGCAAGGCTGGGGTGCAGGCTCAGGGGTGGAAATAGAAGGCTATAAATTATTTGTGACAGGAAAGCAATAGTGGCAGAGTGCTGAGCACAAGTCCTGTGTCACTATTAGATTCCTTTTAGCCTGATGACACTGTAAAAAAGGTTAAGTGTCTGCTGGAATCATACACCTGGGGGGCCGGGGCAGCCTGGGAGCAGAACAAGCCACTGAGAGCAGGTATATCAATTCTCCAGGCCAATAATATTCCTCTCATTGATCGCCACGCAAAGTTCAAAAATCTCATTACAGCCAGGCAGACCGGGAACTTTTTACAAATCAATAGAATGATATAATGTATGTATACTTAGTACAAATGTATCTATTCATCTATCCATCCATCCACCGTCCGCCTCAGGGTTTCCAAGTTAACCTACCCATCATATTATGTTATGTTATGTATGATATTATATTGCATTATATTATATGATAATACATGGTGTGCAAAAACTCCCTGAGGTGGAGACAAGAAGAGGTCCTATTAGCATTGAGGTGACCTCAGACAGCTCACCTTGGGAGGAGTGAGGTGGCAGCATTTACTGGACTAGGCTGGGCAGGCTTTCTAGGAGCAATGCTTCCTCAGGAGAGGCTCCAGTTTAAAAACAAAAACAAAAAACTGTCTACTGAGTATCTACTATGTGCTAGGCAATGTTCTATGTACTTCAAATAAATAGTTCACTCAATCCTTACAACAACGCATTTTGCACATAAGGCTTATTACAACTTGCTCAAAGTCACCCATTTAATAAACAGTAAATCTGGGATTTGAATTCACATAGACTAATCCCAGGGACTAATCCCTTACCTGCTAAATTATACTGCCTCCAGGGGAGAGACACCCAAAGGCACCAAATTGAAACTTCTATTTTCAGTCCCTTCTGAGAAATGAAGGGTGAGAGGTTTCCCTGAACCTCAGTTGTCCTCACTAGAAAATGGGAGTATTAACACCTGCTGGACCCAATTGCTGACAACCCCTGTACATTGGATCTCCAAGTATGTCACCATGAAATCCTTTCCTGCTGTCTAGAACAGACTTCCTTCCCAATTTTAGAATTATTCCCTAGAGGAACAAAATTACTTCCTAGCAGAGCTTGAACAAACCAGTGACATGACCAGGCTTGAGGCAGGCTGCTCTTAGGAGCAAGATGTCAAGTATCTGGATATATGTGTTATATACATGTATAAATCAGTTTAAATTGTCCTGGAGTAAACTGTCCACTTTAGAGTCTTTGCAGAAAATATTTAATCCCTGGTATGGGGAGGGTCTTTCCTGATTCAGTAAATCAAAGGCACTCCAGGGTAGAAAATGTGCCAGACTAGCTGGCCCCATTGCCCACTAAGCCAGACGAATGGTCATGGGGGCCTCTGCCAGTGGTCTCAGACTGCCTGGGCATTATAAACTCAATCATCCTAGAGAACAAAATGATATTTGCAGCCAGGCATGGTGGCTTATGCCTATAATCCCAGCACTTTGGGAGGCTGAGGCAGGTGGATCACTTGAGGTCAGGAGTTCGAGACCAGCCTGGCCAACATGGTGAAAACCCATCTCTACTGAAAATACAAAAATTAGCCGGGCAGGGTGTCACATGCTTGTGGTTCCAGCTACTCGGGAGGCTGAGGTGGGAGAATCTCTCAAACCCACGATTGCAGTGGTGAAGTGGAACCCACGACTGGAGTCGGTGGAGGTTGCAGTGAGCTGAGATGGTGCCATTGCACTCCAGCCTGGGCTGCAGAGTGAGACTCTGTCACACACACAAAAAAGATATTAAAAAGGATATTTGTGGCCGGGCACAGTGGCTCACGCCTGTAATCACAACACTTTGGGAGGCCGAGGCAAGTGAATCATGAGGTCGGAAGTTCAAGACCAGCCTGGCCAAGATGGTGAAACCTCGCCTCTACTAAAAATACAAAAATTAGCCGGGCATGGTGGCGGATGCCTGTAATCCCTGCTACTGGGGAGGCTGAGGCAGAGAATTGCTTGAACGCGGGAGGTGAAAGTTGCAGTGAGCAGAGATCGCGCCACTGCACTCCAGCCTCGGCAACAGAGCGAGACTGTGTCTTAGAAAAAAAAAAAAGAAGATATTTGCTTCAGCAAAGGATATTTTGCCCAGCTAATGCAGGTGGTTATTGCTTCAACACAAGTCTTTGAGAGCTGCCTATATCAGGCACGTATCCATGGCTTGGCCCCGAGGCAAGTCAGCAACACTAACAGCGGGAGACTTTTCACAGCAGAACCTTGAGTGAGATGTCATAGATCACCCAGGAAATGTTTACCTCTCCTGGAAATGGTCCCTACTCCTGAGAACTCTAAGGAACTAGAGTCTCCCCCTTTGTATACCCCAGGAACTGAAAAATTGAAATTTACTTCCTCCTCTCCACAGAAACACAAAGGAAACAGCATCTCTCCTGCACGTGGCTTCCTTTAAGGCAGGCCTGAATCACTTAACACACTGTTTTTGTAGCCTCTGGCTGCAGTTTGGGCTGAGTTTAGAGGTTTTTTTGCCCATGCTCACTCATATGCCCTGCAGGTTTCAGTCTGGATAACTGACCATATGTCAGGCAGGGTTCTGAACATGGCCACTGATAAGGGCCAGGCCATTCTTCAGAGCTGTGGGCAGGACCTTCCATTCTGGCTGTGGCAGGATGTTGCTGGAATACACAGGTTCCAGGTTACCAGGGTTCTTCCCAAATGTGTCAACTCTTGTTGACTCTCAGAAGTCATAGCTGAGCTCCAAGAAATGAAAGTCCTACCAAAAAGCTGGCAGAAGGGTTTCCTCAAACTACTGCCCTTGAACTACCTGCATTAGAATCCCCTGGGGTGCTTGCTAAAATGCAAATCACCGGGTCCCATCTTAGACCTGAATTAGAGTTTCTGAACTCTATTTGAGAAGACTAGCTTAAGCCAGGAGGTGAAGAAACCATCCTTCTGGTTGGTTTCTCAAGGGGATCCTTGGAAGAGCTGGGAATAAGTCTTAGTGAGTTAAGAAAGTTCCTTTCTCATACTCTATCGATCCACATTTCTCTCCATCTATTAACCCTGACTCCAGCTGACATAGTCACCAAAATTCAATAAGCTATCAGTTGCTCTGTGGAAACAAAACCATAGGTTAAAAATTGAAATAATTTCAAAATGGTTTTTGGTACATTCCAGGATGATAAATTCCCAGTGGGTTACTTAGATACCAGGCATATATTCTGCATCAACTTAGCCTTCCAAGACTGGCATTGAGGGCGATAATCTTTCCGCCACGTGCCCCTGAGAGCCCAGGCCAGAGACAATTTACCAGGCTAGATGGGCCATGGGGCTGGCCCAAGGGGGCAATAGTGATGGTTTATATGATGAATGCTAAGCATATGGATTGATTTAACTTCAAGATATGCATAGGTTTAAAAATTAAGGGGCAATGTGTTTAACTAACCATTTGGAAACCAGTCTGTGGTGCATGCCAAGCCCAGAGCGTGACAGACTAGCGCCTCTCACCACTGGCCCTGCCCTCATCTGTCAGAGCTTCTGGCTAGAGCTGGAATCTACCAGCTGTCCACCCCCATGATCCTGTTTGGGAAGCTCCAGAGGCTTGAAGACTGCTTGATATAAGGTGAACAAGGTACTGCTATAGATTCATTGCTGGGATAAAGTCTCCCACTCTGCACCTGTCCATCCCCCAACCCTGTCCCACCACAGGCATGCTCACCTCCCTCTGCAGTCACATGAGCAGCAGCAGATGTAGGGCCCGCTAGTGACTGCCTGGCCTCCCTACCTCTAGCCTTTCCTACCTTTCGCCTACTCAGGCATTCAAAAACAGTCCGTCAGTCTTTCTCTGTCTCCTGAAAGAATGTGATCTGGCTAAACCCTACAATCACTTCCTATCACCTATAGGATAAATTCAGAATTCTTCAGCCCGGCCTTCAAAATCTTCCCTTATCTGGCTCTATCCTAGCTTTCCAATCTATTTCTCTCTGTTTCCCTCTTCCTCTCAGGGTCTAACACAGAGCTGAAACCTTGTTTTCTTGCTTACTCAGTTCACATAGAGTCCACCCCTCCAAGCTCTGAGAAGGCAGATGTCTGCTATTTTTCTCACGACTGTCTTTCCCCAGCACCTAGCAATGGTGTCTGGTATAATGTAAGTACTTGATAGCTATTTGTTCAATAACAAATGAATATTATTATTAATAATAATAACAATAATATACTCTTGTTTTTTGTTTTTTATTTTTTTATTTTATTTTATTTTATTTTATTTTATTTTATTTTATTTTATTCTTTTTGAGATGGAGTCTCACACTGTTGCCCAGGCTGGAGTACAATGGCACAATCTCAGCTCACTGCAACCTCTGCCTCCCAGGTTCACTGCAACCTCAGCCTCCTGAGTAGCTAGGATTATAGGTGCACACCACCACGCCCAGCTCATTTTTGTATTTTTAGTAGAGACAGGGTTTTACCATGTTGGCCAGGCTGGTCTCAAACTCCTGACCTCAAGTAATCCTCCCACCTCAGCCTCCCAAAGTGCTGGGATTACAGGCATGAGCCACTGTACCTGGCCAATAATAACAATGACATAATCTTAAGGGACACAGTGGGCCAATATACACTTACTATGTACCAGGCACTGTGCAAAGCACTTTATATGGATTATTTAACTTAATTCTCACAAGTACCTATGAAGATTATTGTCCATAATCTACAGATGTGGAAGCTGAGACTCAGAGAGGTTAGGTAACTTACGGAAGGTCACACAGCTGTTAAGTAACAGAGCCAGAATTTAAACCTGAGTGTCTCACTCTAGAACTTATGCGGCTAACCATTGAGTAGAATGAGTCAGTCATATCAAGAACCGATGGTAGAATCTATGAGAGGCTAGGCCTGAATAGAAGAGCTGAATCTAATAATAGTAAAAGCAATAACTATCGTTTATTTCATATTCACTGTATGAAAGGCATTATAATGAATGTGTTTTCTCATTCGAATTCAACTATAACTCTATCAAATAGCCATCCTCTCTATTTTGCCTAAGAAACAACAGAAAGGCCAAGCAACTTGCCCAAAGTCACATGCTTAATAGCATTGGAGCCAGAAATTGTTTGTTTGGTTGGTGTTTATTTTTTTCAATTGACATATAATTATACATATGCATCGGGTAAGAGCCCGACATTGGATCCAGGCTTGTGACTTCAATGTCTGTAGGCTGAATCAGTTGATCTTTTTGGGAAATTTATATATATATTTATTTATTAACTATTTGGACATGAACAAATTTTTCCTTCAGCCTTTTCATATCCATGATTTTGGAAAATTGAGCAATTATATATGTAGACAATTAACAGAGAGCACAGGTAGCTGTGATTTTAAACACGCTTATCCTCTCCCATGCATGTGCCATAGCTGTATTTGATAAGCATCATGTCTGTGTTACTAACAAATCACAATTTTAGATTAAGCTGCTATAGGCTTCGGTGAATTTTATATGCACTGGTAGGTTTGGGGGGCAAATTTTCCAAATTATTTTCATCTATCTAGTTTCCAAATCATGTACATGATTGCAGGATGATACTACATATAGATGTGTTTCTCAATTTCTGTTTTGAGGATCTATTTCTATGATTAGTTTATCTTTATATTCAGGTCTGCTCCAATGCATTGATCTAAGATTTATAATAGTGGATATATTTATCAAAACCTGCTTCATGAGTATCTGCCAAGTTATGCCCATTTCTGTCAAATATGTAAACTACAGCGAGACTCTACACCATCATTGTTCCCTTCCTGGGGTGTTTGAGATTTTCACATCACAATCGTGTTTTTATATTGGTCCATGCACCAGTATTGACGTACATAAATGTGCATTTGTATACCTGTGTATCTCTCTGTCTATGGCCAGGATGGGGTGGGGGAGGGGGATGTGGAAATGAGAGAATTATTAAATGCCAAGTAGCTGTGCAATAAATTCCATTGATTTTATAAACTCCAACTTGTCTTCAGTCTCCTTCCATTCTTTATCCTGGGGGCATTGCAACAAAAACCTATTTTAAATACCTTTGCTTCCCACCTCCCCCTCCCCAAAAAAGTGTCAATATTTTATTTGGATTTTTAACTTCGCTCCATAACAGTTGTTTGACCTCCTGACTCGTGCGAGTCACATAAATTCTGGGACTTTATTCAGGAGCCATGTTCCTGCTATTGAATAAGCAATTTGGGAGGGTGAATTAATGACTTGTGCTGTTGCTGGAAAGTCCCTGAAGAAATATTAAAATTGCTTGCAGACTGAATCGATACTCCGTGAACACCCAGCATGAGGGCTTTGGCTCTGGAATGGCCACAGAAGGTAGGGCTGGGTAGAGGAAGGGGAATTCCTGCACCCAGCTTAGTGAGCTCCCCTCCCACCACCACCTTTCCCTTTATCCCTGGAGCTCTGTCATTTTCACTAACAGCGAAGTCTTATTAAACCCCAACCAGGATAGAACTGAATTGTCCTGTCTCGGGAAGCAGGCTCAGGGGACAGTTTACTCTCTTACTAGCAATGAGAGCCCAGAGGCCTTATTAGAGGTGATGGTCTGGACACGTCCACCTGCTGGAGAAACGGCATGGTGCTGCTGCTTTCTGGCAGGCTGCATCGTGCTTGGGAGGACTGCAGCTGTGATCGTTTTCTGCTGGGTGTGCAGGAGAATTGGGTGCTGCGCTATTGGCTCTGTCTCTGTGTGTGTCTGCCCATGTGGCTCAAGTGGCCACATGATTTCAGCCTGTGGGTATGGGTGTGCCTATGGGATACAGAGTTTGAACTGTGTTGTGCATTACCGTGTATTATTGCATTGTGTTGACGCATTCCGGCAGCTAGCTTAATGTTTGTTACTTGGTGTTTTGTGGTATTGTATTGAGGTGGCTGCACTTTGTGTAACACTGAGTTGGAGGAATTTGAGTATTGTTTGGTGGCAGTGTCTGTGTTTCTGCTTTGAATTATTGTGTTCATTGATCATATCAGCATCTTTTTTCCCTAATGTATGTCTCAGAGATTAGGTTAATGGGTGTCTCCTTGGTGATGTGGGTTGAGTAATGATGCTGGATCTGGGTGATGGTGTATGATTCGGTAATTGCTTTAATTGCCTTCTTGGTGTGGTTGTGGGTGAGAGGATCCATCCTTTAGCTTTTTTAGCTTACTCTGGCCTGGTCATTTGCACTGCTGCTTTTCAGAAGGAAGATTCTAGAGATGCAGGACAAATCTCTTCTTGATAACCAAAAATACGATTCTATTCTTCTTGGAAGCAAATGTCCCTGCTCTGCTGAACAGTTACGACTTTACCAAACGAGAACAGGTCTGCCTGATTTGGAGAGTTAAGCCCCTAGTCCAAACCTTATGCCAATTGAGAGTCTAGATCCCTGTTGGAGCTGGAGGAGGATGGACGGGAGTAAACTTGCCAATCCCAATGGGAACAGCAATATAAACTCTAGTTCCAAGAATCCCCATTCCACTCTACTCTGTGGCTCTGGCTATTAGTATCTTCTTCCTTCCCAGTATCTCTAGATGATGTGGCTCAGCAGTGGCCTGCACTGAGGAACACACACCATGGAAGAGTACAGAGATACACAGAGGTGTGACCATCTGCTAGGGTGCAGGTTTCCTGTTTTGAGCTTGTAAGAGACTGCAAAATATACAGAGTTCCCCAGGAGATTGCCTGTGCCTGCACTTCCCTTGATCCAAAGTAGATATGAAGTATGGCATAGGGGATAAGCATGTGGGTTTTAGAGCCAGGACTGCATGGGTTCAAATCCTACTTCTGCTACTTAGTCTGTGACCTTGAGCAAGTTATTTAACTTCTCTGTACTCCAGCTACCTCATCTATAACAATCCTATAAAGCCCTATGGGGTTGTTTAGGATGCTTAAATCAATTAATGCATGAAACATGCTTGTAACGGTTCCTACTGTAGTAAGCACTTGTTAACCACTATGATGATGATGATGATGATGATGATGATGATAAATATAAAGGCTTTCTGAGTAAAGCAGCCATAAGATTGGCCTGTGTATGTGTATAAACATGTACACATGTGTGCTAGTGTACATAAAATCCTAAGACAAATTAAGAGGTGTATGTGTGTGTGTGTGTGTGTTTTAAGCAGAGAAGTGCAAAAATTGCAGCCAGGTAGCACAGGGGCAGAGGGTAGTTCTCTCCCTGCCATCTGGGCAGTGGCAGGGGCTGGGGATTGACAGAGCTCACCACTGCCTATGTCCACACAGAGGGCAGCATCTGGCCCTGCATCTGGTAATGAATAGGCAGCCCTTGACTTGTTTCGTACTACAAGAAAAATGTAAGGATGATTGAGCTTTCAGGATTCTAATTTTGCTCATTAAAAACATTTACTTTCTAATTTGAAAATCAGAACCTTTACCAGCTAATAGGCATAAATGACGAATAATGAAATCTAGGAATTTGAGAATGATGCAAAAGGTATAAAAGGTATCAGATAAGTGACTCTGTAAGTATTTGGGTGTGGGTCTTACAGCCATCCATTGAGCTGAACTTGGTCACCTAACTAAGCCAAAGGGGCAGGGAGAACTTGAGGCAAGAATGGGATTGCACCTCAGTCTTGTTCCATGGAAGTTCCCATAAAGATGAGAAACACATTGTCATGAGTTTGGGAAACTGGGTTTCATATTTGCTCTTGTCAGGCAAAGAATAAATAGAATTTGCAGTTGTCCAGTTAGTTGGAGCCATTCATCAAATAGATTAAGCCCAAAGTAATTTTTTCCTGAAATTTTTTTCTTAAAAACTTTTACTCCTTAGCAATGGAAATAACTGCAATGATTGTCAAACTCCCATACTTCCTTAGAATATCCAGACATGCCAGACAAGAATAGACAGATTTCATTTGAATTTGTTAAGTATTTGCTCACTTCTCCCTTTCCTCTTTCTTCTTCCTTTGTCTTATCTCCATTTTCTCTCCTCTCTTCCCCTCCTCTTCCTGTTTACCTCCCTTTCCTCTCCCCTGTATGACATTTAAGAATCAGTGGAACCCTTCAAATGCATCAAATAAGGACTTTTTCCCCACTACCATTTCATTTTATCTTTTAAAAAAACTACAAAATGCAAAGCACCACAACCTACGAAAATGCCATGAAGCCTAGAAAATGCCAACCTTGAATTCCTCAAGCAATAGCAGGCTTCCAAGAGAAGGAATGTGCAGTTATACAAAGTACACACACACACACACACAGCCACAAGGTCTGGGCTCTCAAAGTTGACAAAGGGGCAATTATCTGACTAATTCTGCTCAATGGTCAGATTACTGAATCATAGAGGGTCTTTTTTTCTGGAAATACACTGAGTGGGTCCCCTTCCTAAATCCATCTGGGCTCACGAGGGACCATGATTCTCACTGGCATTCATGATACACAATTCTGTTCACAGAATATCCTTTTGGCTCTTCAAACTTTTTTATTTAAAAATATTTCAGGCCGGCCACGGTGGCTGACGCCTGTAATCCCAGCACTTTGGGAGGCCAAGGTGGGTGGATCACAAGGTCAGGAGATCGAGACCATCCTGGCTAACAGGTGAAACCCTGTCTCTACTAAAAATACAAAAAATTAGCCAGGCGTGGTGGCGGGCGCCTGTGGTCCCAGGTACTCAGGAGGCTGAGGCAGAAGAATGGCATGAACCCGGGAGGCGGAGGTTGCAGTGAGCCGAGATGGTGCCACTGCACTCCAGCCTGGGCGACAGAGCGAGACTCTTTCTCAAAAAAAAAAAAAAAAAAAAAAAAATTCAATGTTTGTGCATACACAAAGCAGAATGCATACACACTGAAATAGACGCATAACAAGAAATACAGACTTGATTATTACTACTGCAATAATAATAACTAGCATTTATTGAGCACTTAATACCTGCCAGGTGCAATTCTAAGCTGGTTTATGTGGACTCACTCATTTAACCCTCATGAAAACTTATGAGAGACCTACACAATTATCCCCCACATTTTATGAGTGAAGAAACTGGGGCCCACAGAGGATATAAGGTGGACCCAGTACCCTCTAGCCAGTGAGTAGGGAAGCCAGCTTCAAACTCTGGCAGTTTCTCCCCAGAGCCTGCTTTCTAACACTATGCCACATAGCTTTATGTGAATTGCCTAGCACATAGTAGGTGCTTAGCAAGCACCTACTTGCTTCTGAATGGATGAATGAAAAGATAAATGAAGAAAAAGCCACATGTCTTAAGAACCTGACAGTCTCCCTTAAAATGGCAAAATGGACTCCCTTAGAGAAACCAGGCCTAACAGGCAGCCTAAGCTTATTTGGACAAAGTGATCTACCCTCCTGGCCAACTTTCGGGGGAAGGAAACCTCTCACCAGCTGTGCTCGTTCCAATACTAACTACTCTAACCACCAGATCTCCATCTGACTTAGAGCCCAGCCCAGCCTCCTTTCAAGCCAGAAATCAGACTCGAACACATCAAAGATGCTTTCTAATGAGAACACTTTGTTTCCTGGAATATTTTTCTCTGAAAATAGGTGTTTCCCAATGTGTTGATTCTGAGCCTGGATAAAAAACTGAGAAATTCAATCAATTATGTGGACATTTCTAAATCGCCAGATCTTTGGCATCATATCGACAACCTTTATAGATGATTGACTGAAGTTTTGGTTTCCATCCAGATGTTTGGGAGTTGCCACAGTCATTAACCTGTTTGTCAGCAAGTGCTCATGAATTTCCAAGAGGCATAAGTGAACACTAAAAAGGAAAAGAGTAGCCCAGAATAAAACAGAAAAAGGAGGACAGGGGTAGCAGCTATTTGACAAAACCAGTCAAGCAGGCAGTGTTCTGGGAATGGGTTGCTACCTTGGAGATCCATTAGAAGGTGGATCCAGCTCACAAGAGACTCATGTGTTTAAAGACCTTTAAAAACCTCATACAGCTGTATCCTCGACTGCCTACCGAACTGTACCCAATCAGATCCCTGCAAGGAGGAACTGATGGATCAATCCCAGAGTCCAGCACAGACAACAGCTTGCCCATGGTGCGACCAATCCACCCTCTGCATACTGACACTCTCTGGAAGTCTGCATGCCTGTGTGTTTAGCATCTCTATGTATTGTCAGTCCAAGCTGTGGATTCTGCAAAGCTTGGCATAAAGCCGGTTTGTGACTTCGTACATGTACCCCTATTTGTGATTTAGTGCTCTGTCTTTTATCATTTCTCCTACCTCCATTTCCTTTCCTGCTTGACTTTTTAATGCTATTTACAACTTCCTTATCCAGAGAGCAGCATAGCTATCTTTCAGTGTCTCTAACTGATATACCCTACTAATTTTTCTTATGCAGGTTTTCTCTCCCCTCGACTTAATTTATGTTCTCAGTAAATAGGAAATTTAGATTGTTCCATTCAGTAGCATTTAGGATTACCACTTTTATCAAGGGATCACGGCACTAAATGACTCCTTGCAAGGGACATTTGTTTATTCTTATGAGAAACCGGCTCTCCTTATGTGCAAGAAGGCTGCGTGCGTGCAGGCGTGCATGCACAATGTCCTCCTTGGTTTGTGCCTCTATGCTTCACTGCCCCATGTCAATGCCACTTGGAACTGGCAGGAAGAGCCCAGTGAAACCCCGGTGTGGACAGCAGATGACCCTCAAACTGCTGGAGAGAAATCCAGGCCCTTGACCCTTCCTGATGGCCACTTAGTTTTGTTTTTTTTTTTTTAATAGAGATGGGCCTCACTCTGTTGCCTAGTCTGGTCTCAAACTCCTGGTCTCAAGTGATCCTCCTGCTTCAGCCTCCCAAAGTGCTAGGATTACAGGTGTGAGCCGCCATGCCGAGCCTGGCAGGGCTGCTTCCTCCAAATTCTCTCTCCCATGTACTCCTTCATCTCATAGCTTCAGAGGAGGCTTGTGGTGATATTAACAAGTAAGATTTTGGGGGTCTATACCCCTAGAGATGTGAGTTGGTGGGGAAGGAGGGTGGGAAACCAGAATAATGTCTCCCTATATTCCTGGTAATCTATTGCCTTTTTCTCCTTCTCTTCAATTCTTTCTACATCTTCTCCCCATTTACTAACTCTATTTGACCTTGAACTCTGGCCTCTCCCTTCACACAAGAATCTGTCACAAGGGGGATAGCACCTCCAAAGAAGCAGTCACCTGACCTGACAGGCCTGGAGACCAGTAGCCAGAGGGGCCAGCCCATCACTCCACTCCTGGAAATAAATCTCATTGTATTTGCATTTTAATTTTCCACATAAACAAAGGCCCAGAGTACTCGCTTGGGCAGCACCACTGGACAAATTTAATTAGAAGTGAAAAGTTTATAGGGCCCTCTTTAATGCGATTAATGCTCAGTTAGCATTTATCACATTCGGATGCTGGAATCGCCTTTTCTAAGCAGCCACTGGCCATGAAATGAATTTCTCTCAACTTTTTTTGTACCCACCCTGGGAGGTCATCTCCTAAGGGAGTCTGCATGGCCTTCCTGGCTGTCTCCATGGGGCCAGGAGTGACCTGATCCACAGAGCCAAGTTCAGAGGAAACGAGGGTGGGGAAAAAGAAAAGTGTATGTGCTAGGTGGGAGGGCGGAGGGTCGAGAGCGCAGGTGAGCATTGTTTCTAGGAGGAGCTGAACCCTAACCAGGGCTGTACTCTCTGCAGGAGCTAAGTGCTCAGCCCCAAAGATGGGTTAAATGGCTTCATAGCCCCTTCCCTAATTAAAAAAAAAAAGGTACCACACCCCACCCCGTACAGTCCATTTCTGTGGCCAAAAACTAGGACTTAGCGAGGCATATCTGTGTTGATCACATCTGGCTCCCACTTCTCTCTTCCTGACTTCTGCACTCTCTCTTCTACCCTCCCCTCGCTCTCATCTGGAGTCTGCTAGGTTTTCCCTTCCAGGACCATTGCAAATGGGTAGGAACCCGAGTCCCAACCCCAGTCACACCTCCTTCTCTCTGGCTCTCCCAGACTCCAGACAGTCACAGTCGGCAGGCTGCCTGCCCTAGTGTCAGCTCCTCAGAGAAGCAGCGGGGAGTGAGGAACATGAAACCTCCATTGGTCCCTAGAGGAAGGATGGCCTTCCTTATCTTATCAGATTCTCCTCACTCTTTAATTAGAGTCTTCTGAGATTGGCCCCCTAACCCAAACCAGCTAACCTGAGGAACGAGGAGGAGGAGGAGAAAGAGGAAGAAAAGTAAGGGACTGGGGGAAGGGATAGTGGTATCCACTTTGCAAATGATAAAAGGAGGTGACTATCTTGACCTTTGTCTCTACCTAAATACATGCTCCCTTTGAGGACGTCAGCAGACACACAAGAAACAACTGCTTCCAGTTCTCCTAGTGCGATACTACACACACCCTCCACCCTGGCCATCACACATGGCTTGGTTCACTCATCCAGCAGAGCAAATGCACACTACTCATAAGCGTTCACATCCCCAAACTTGTGCATGCACACAGACTAGATGTGTCGGGACCCTGTGTGTACCTTTCAGAACCCCCGTTCATTGACCCATCAGGATGTCTACTGTCCATTCAACCACGTGCTCTCCAGGGAACATTAACTAACATCCCAAACAGGCAGGCCATCAAAGTGATAACAGGGACTTTCATTCTGGGACCAAACAATCCCTTTAGCCGGAAGCCTTCTGAATAGCAAACCACCAACTCCCAGTTTGACAAGACTGACTCCTTTCGAGAGTTCCCTGGGAGCCAGGGCCATTTAGACAGCTTCCCAGGGCATAGAAGCCAGGCCTAGCTAGATACCACCAGCACACATAGTCTTTCCAAAGCAGAGCCATGCACAGAGGCTCCCAACACATCACCAACTTCTCTTGGGAAAACGCACTAAGGCAGGCACCACTGCTTGCCCTCCAAAATCAGGATCAAAGCTTCTGGACTAAGAGGCTGAATGAGTGTCTCCTTCCTGACCGCCTCCATGTCCTGCAGGCCAGAAGCTGCCTGCAGACTCCTCATGCCCTTCAGCTTCTATCATCTGCCTGCCAGGTATGGGCTGGGCAGTTGGGCCCAGCAAAGACCCCCAGGCCAAGAGGGAGCACCAAGACCAGGGAGAGCAGCCCCCAGTGCTCACTCCCATTTGCTCATGCTCAGGGGCCACTTTTGTTCTCCCTTTCTGCCTGCTCCCCTCTCTCCCAGTCCTCTCCAATCCTTCCTCTCTGATTTCTTGATTCTACTGTGCCTGCAGGGTGAACACAGTTCTCCTCCCAGCCTGCTGCCCTGCCTCAGCCCTGCCAGGAGCCACCGGTCCTGTCCCTGGCTTGTTCTGTTCCCAGGTGGCAGCAGAGAGAAATCTGTGGTTCAGGCAGGACTGAGGGCAGGCAGAGGAGGAAGTCCACAGCAACCTGGTCAAAGGCTCTGGGTGGAGATGGCTCTCGAATCTGCAACCCCCAGCAGGCAGGGGCCTGCCTCCCTCCCTTTTGGCTGCTCTCCTACTCTCCCTCTCCAGCCTGCCAGGGACTAGGCTGGAGCCACTGCTGGCCTGCCTCACAGCCTGCCGAGAGGGGCCACAGCCAGACCATTGCGGCACACTCATGAGGTTTCCTCTCAGAAAGGGCTGCATAGCTCCAGCCAGGCCGCTATTCCTCCCATGCCATTTCCTTCGCTCCATACTCTTCTCAGAAACCTGCTTACCTTCCTCTTCCCCTTTCTCCTTCATCACCTCTGGGCCCCTCCTCAGGGCCCATCAGCCTGTACTACCAGATGCCTGGAGCTCAGGTTTCCTCCCACCACCCCCAAGACCTTGCAGGGCCACTGAAGGCCCCAGCTCGGATGAGCAAATCCAAGCTCCCCTTGCGGGCTCTGCCGTGCCATTTCCTGCTCAGCCATGTGCTCCAATCCCGAACAACCCTGTCCAGCCCAAGGCAGCGCCCTTCCTTCCACCTCTCAGCTTCATCGCTTCCTGCCTCACTCTCCCAGTCCTCATCCTCACTTTCTGCCTCTCCCTACCCACACCCCACCTCTCCTCCTCCGGCTATAGGGAGTCATAATCTCTCCTCCACTGCCTTCCCCAGGAGCTTCTGGACCAAGGGACCCAGGAAATGTCCCATCCCCTTCCACTTGCGTGGATGTTACTGCCCTGGTCTAAGGCAGAGAGATAAGTCCATCCAGTCAGGTCAACCAAAGGCTGCTGAATGCTGGCCAATGGATGGAATCAGGCCCAAAGTTGAGTTTTATTCGGTCAGCAGAGAGTTTTTTAAAATCCGGTCTTCCTGCATCACTGCCTGCAGGCAGGGCCCATGTGCTCCGGCTGTTTGTCCAGTTCTCACCACTTTTCATCTCATATTCTGGAGCCTCTTCCTGCTGGGGCCTGGGAGTCTTTTGTGCTCATGACTCCTGCAGCCACAGCGCATCTCCATCATTGCTTTTGGCAAACCCCAGTCTGGACTTCTGGGCACTGCTTTCCTTCCCCCAACATCCCTACAACAAACCTGAACGTTTCTAGAATAGAATGGCACCTGACGGCCGGGCGCGGTGGCTCACGCCTGTAATCCCAGCAATCTGGGAGGCCGAGGCGGGCGGATCACGAGGTCAGGAGATCGAGACCATCCCGGCTAACATGGTGAAACCCCATCTCTACTAAAAATACAAAAAATTAGCCGGGCGTGGTGGTGGGCGCCTATAGTCCCAGCTACTCGGGAGGTTGAGGCAGGAGAATGGCGTGAACCCGGGAGGCGGAGCTTGCAGTGAGCTGAGATCGTGCCATTGCACTCCAGCCTGGGCAACAGAGCAAGACTCCGTCTCAAAAAAAAAAAAAAAGAATGGCACCTGACTCGCTCCCCCTGCCCTGCTCTCTTTCTATCTCTTTCCTTCTCCCTTGGAAAACACAAAATCTGTTCTCATTACATTATCTCTCAGAAAACAAAAGAAAGGGCCTCATTTCTCCCATGGTTGATTGCGGATGTGCCATGAGGGGACCCTGGCTCTACGGCCTCGCCTGTCTACCTCTTTCCTGCACACTTCCTCTCTTACCTGAGAGTTCCCAGCCTACAAGAGGCTGCTCCCTCTCCTACAGCGCCAGACCATTCTTCTTTAGCTTCCCATACCCTCAACAGCTCCCCTGTGCCCAGCCTTCCTCAGGAGACCTGAGGCTGCCTCTGCCATCACGCCTCATCTACACCCCAAGCCTTCTGCAGTGGCCAGCTCTGCATTTCTCACAAACAGTAAGCCTCTTCCCTATGCCCCTCACACCTGGATGATTGAGGAAAGACTTGCAGGCTGGCCCTGGGGTGAGCTCTGCCCACCGTTGTGTCCCAGGGCTGCTACCATGCCTCCCACTGCGGGACCACAGCTTTGGAGGAAGGATTGTGTTGGGAAGAGCGCCTTCTTGGCTGCTTATGCAATTGGTCCCTAACTAATCCTGCCAACAGGGCTTGGACCCAAGTATCAAAGTAAGGATGGACAGCTGGTCGCACAGCTCTTGTGGCATCATTGTAGCAAAGCCCCTCTTATCCAGGGTTAACTGGACTATAGAGTGTTACAATGCAAATAACTGAAGGAAAATGTGGCTCCAATTTGCCTAGACTGTGAAATGAGGAATCTTCAGCCTAGCCTTATTGCTGCTGCCACTTCGCCCAGTGGCCCAATGACTACTTGCCAATTGATCTGATGGCCCAAGTACAAGGTGTCCAGCCTTGCCTGTGACTGCAGGTCATGTCCTGTGAGCCTTCCTCCCTTTTCTCCTCTTGGCCTCAGGGCCTTTTCACCTAAAAGCAGACATAGGTAGGTACCCACAAACACACACAAATCCACACGCACAGAAGATATCAACTTCTACACTGCAAACCATCATGAATATATTCAAGCCATGCCTTGCTAGCCCCAAAACAAATAGCCTGTTCCACAAGAGAAAACCATCTCAACCTAGTAGTTCAGTGGTAGATAGAAAAACCAAACGTGATTTAATGTTTCAGCTGTCTAATATTTCACTTGCTATTTGGGCATTGGTTGTGAGACTCTATTTCCCACATCTCAGTTTCAGGAGCCCTTTCCCCTTCTCTGGACTCAACTGCATGGCTGGGGAGCTGCACTGGGGATAGCTGCACCTGAAGCTGCTTCCCCTGCAAGAATCTGAGCTCTGGACACCTGGCTTGGAGGGGCGGGGGAAGTGTGAGAAGAAACAGCAGGGATGCAGAGAACTGGCAGGTCGGATGAGCATTCTTTTAAAGGACAGGAAGTGAAAAATAAATTATTTTCAGTGTACAGATGCTCCTTAACTCACAACAGGGTAATGGCTCGATAAGTTGAAAATATTGTAAGCTGAAAATGCATTGAATACAGCTAATCTATGGAACATCATAGGTCAGCCTAGCCTACCTTAAACATGCTCAAAACATTTACAGTTGGCCAAAGTCATCTAACACAAAGACTATTTTATACCAAAGTGTTGGATATCTCATGCAATTTATTGAATACTGTATTGAAAGTGAGAAACAGAATGGTTGTTTGGGTACTTGAAGTATGATTTCTACTGGATGCTTGTCACTTTTACACCATTGTTCTCTTCTTAATATAAAAACTCCAATTCCAGGTAGACACAAGGAGGGGGTGAAGATAGACTTGAGTATTAAGAGGCAACCTGCAGAGTAGCTATTGTTGGACACCTAAGAAGCTGGGAGCGGACAATGGGGCTCTTTCATCAGTCCTGCTAAGAAGACTGGGAAGCAGGACCCCTATCCCATGTGGGCTCATAGGAACCCCCTTTTCAGAGGGGTTTTAGGGGGTATGGAGTGTGATTAATCTTCCACACCAGTTACTACTATTGTTCCTCTTTCTGTAGAAGCTGTAACATTCTAGTCCGCAAGCACATGCCATCATGCATAGTCACACTCTCCCATGTGCACCAGAACAAGCCCATTTCCCAAATGCTGTCCAAAACACATGTTCCCTACCACCTCAACTTCCAACATTGCCTGTCATTCCCTGGGTCTATTTTGCACAATACTCCCCATCTAATACCAACATGCATATGAAGCTATTGCTCTCCCCTGCCACATCTCCACCCCTTCCCTAATCTCCCCTACTCCAGGCACCCCTGTTTCCCTTCTCTAGGGGCTGCTCCTGTTTGGCCCCATCTCCACTTGGCTAATTCCCCCTGTGGCCCCTCTATTGAACTGTTGTGTTGTCCATTTCCCTGTGACAAGGGCTCTGGTTACAGAGTTATTGATTGGTTTTCATGCAGACAGATGGGCCCTTCCTGGGCTCCCATCGAAATCTCTGGCTGTATGGGCTGATTGTTGCCTCTCAGGGTGTAGGATTGCACTGGAGACCACCCTCCACGCAGCCTCCTTTGCCCAGGCCATGAACGGTAATAAATGGAGGCAGCCTGAGCGATAATAAAAGCAATTGAGTAGGTTACCTGTGCAGACACAAGATTTATGCCTCTTCATATTTGATGTGATTGTTTTATTGAGTTCTCAGAACAGTTGGGACACTATTTATTTATTCATTTTGGGTTTTCCCTCTCTTTTCTTCTTTGCGTCACCTTCTGAAATGCACCTGGAGCTGTTGTCAGGCCCAGTGCCTCCTGTCTGCCTCTTCTCGAGAGTTGCCAGCTGAGGTAGGAAGGCAGGGCAAGCAGCAATTGCTCTCACCAGAAACCCCTTTTGTAGCCTGAACACCCACAGAACCAGCCAACAGGGAGACAGTCAGACCAACAGGACTGTGGGCCAGGAAGCCCAGGCTAAAACAACTACAAAAACAAAAAGAGGCTTTTCAGGAGGACAACTCCAGCTCATTTTAAGGAATGAGAATTTCAACCATCATGCCTGTTTCAAATGTTATTCCAATGATGGGTAACCTCACAGTAGGGGACTGTCTCTGGGAAAGGACAGGTGAGCGAGGCTTCTCTGACAGAAATTGGCATGTTGGTCTGCTATTTGTGGGCCCAATCTGCTAGGCTCAGGCCACAGAAGGTGAGTTCCCTGTCCTTGTTTCTGCCATTCCTCTGTGGATAGAAGTCTTTTTCTGAACTCTCCAACTTGCCCTGTCTCTTTGCCATGAGACCAACAGCCCTGACCACCAAACAGCTACAAAGATATGGAGATGTGGTAGGCAGTACCACCCCTCTGGCCAAGCTTCATGCCAAGCCAGGTCCAAGAGTAGAATAGGCAATGTTCTGGAACCTGAGTTTCAGAGAGGGAGAAACAGACCCTAGCCCGGAACATATCTTCAACATTCACGGGGCTAGGATTAATAGCTCCCAGCTTATTTGGAAAGGTCTTTGAACGAACAACTAGTAGACCATTGTCACCCCACTGCCTGACCCAAGGGGAACAATGACCTGAGAATGACTCAAAGACCTGAGAATGACAGAAGAGGGACACCCAAATGATACAGGATGGAATTCCTTAACACAGCCCTGGGTTGCCACTGCTAGGAGAATGAATGTACTCACCTAGAGCCTAACAGGCTAAGAGAGAGTGTGGATAGTGGGAGATCCGTGAGAAGTTGATTCTGCCAGGGTCCACTCCAAAGATCTAGGGGCAGAGAGTGCCCTGACTCCAAAGAGTGTTAGGCAAGCTAAAAAAGTTAGAAGGTGACACCCTTATTGTCAGCTCTTCCCAAAAGAGCACCCTCGGGGGATTGTCAGTAACCCCAGACTCTATTTGGGGTCTGTGCCTGTTCTTTCAAAGGAGGTGTATTCTCTGCCCAGAGTAACAGCCAAACCAGAAGATTTTGGCATATAATCAGGAAAATCCCTCCTGCTTAGACAATTGCTCAGCTATGTAACTAGACGACTTTTTCCTTTTTCAGTAGCATGGATCTCCCTCCACCTCTCCCCTCTCCAGGCCATGTCCCACACCAGGTTTCAATCTAAAGTCCCCTGTTTATAAACACCTGCCCTTTACAGCAGCGGTGTACAAACCAAAAAGCTGGCAACTCCATGCTCAGCCATTGGTAACCCAATGTTTAGAAAGATTCAGATAAATTCCACATGCTAAGGAGCCCAGTCAAGCCTTGGGATTTTTGAACGTGGTTTGTGGCAGTGGGGAGGCCTTCCTGACCCAGTCCTCTGGTTCAGAGAGGCATTTCTGAGGATTTGCTAGTGGAGAATACAGGCTGGATGGCCAGGCCTTTATCACAACAGAATCAGAGAATGCCAAAACCATTTTTAAAGAGTGAAAAAAGCAATTTAGTTTATAACCATAACAGCATATTTCAAGTGTGGCGACAGCATCTGTTTTGGGAAGGAGAAGATGAAAAACCACTAGCTCAGGTGGGTGAGCATGTGTGGACTTCTTTTCTTGCCAACCACCAGCTCATGCACAACCTTACTCATAACTGTTATAAAGTACCCAACACAAGTGGGCAGGTCACTACCAACAAAGCTCTAAACTCAAGAACCACCCGTTCCCCGGTGCACCACACTTTGTGCACACAGGAAAATCTCCGGGCTCTTCCTACAGTGAGTGAGAATTCCCAGAACTGATAAAAGGCAAAGTTTCTGATATAACCAGCACTAGCAGAAACATCCTGTTTTTATCAGGCTTTTGGGTGAAACAATACATCTCAGATAAACCTTCCCTCTTCAGAGCAAAAAGCACCTACAGGGATGAAGATGAGAGCGTGGTTCCCCAGGTGGATTTCTCCAGCCCCAACTCAGCAGCACACAGGGAAGCCCCCAGAATTCTTTCCAAAATATGAACCATGAGAGGATTCTGGACAAAAGCAAAATTGGGAATAGTTTTCCTGCTCCTTGTAGACAAAGCCAGCCATGAAGCCTAACTACGGACCCAGGGTAGGCTGCCCGTGTTGTTGGTGGCTTACCTGTTCCTCTCCTCCTACTCCCTCTCCATCTCCAGCAACATCTGCCCACAGATGGCTATTTCTCCACACCCAAAGGAAGCCTGTGTGCCCCTCAGGTGATAGGGCTCTGTGCTGGGCAGGTTCTGCAGCTGTCACAGCTGTCAAGCTGAGGCTACTCTTTCCCCACCCTCATCTCACTTGTGGCTCACTTGTCTACTTTGTCCTAATTCTGGTGGGTGCACCTCAAGACCTCTGGAGCTTGATCCTAGGGTCACCTGGCCCTTGTTCTCCATGGCTTTTCAGGATAGAAGTATTTCCAAACTTATGCCTAAGCCAGCTTCCAAAATCATCTCAGCCAATGAGGAGTGCATGTTGTTGAGGGGAGGGGCAGGGGGTGTTGGACGGGGCCACCACACCTGACTTGTTGCGCCACTCCTCTACCCCATTCAAGAGAAACAAATTACCTAAATCCTACATGACTTGGGTTTCTCCAAAGGCTTGAAAATTCTGTTACTGACAACAAGCATTTCTCTTAAATGTTCTGCAGAAGACCACTACCCAGTCCCAGCAACACTGCACACAGCAGGGCCACTCTTGGCCCTTGGCTGTTCTTCTCTTGAGATCTCAGTTCCAACTCATGCCCAGGACCAGCAATCAGCCAAGAGACTGAGTCTCTACATGGCTCATAAAACAATGCTTTGTCCCCTTCCCCTCCCGAAGTGCCACTCTTGCCTCAGCCCAAAGCTGCCCCAGCCTCCTCTCCTGGCTTTTAAAGCAAAGGGCTTATTCCTCTCCCAAACCACCCAGCGTCTTTCTCCAGCTCCTTTGGAAGGTATCTGAATGTCAAATCGCTATGCTTTCAATACCTGGCTGAGCCAGGCCGAGGGAGCTGGAGGGTTTTCGGAGGGTGTATAATTAGCTGATCAGTATTATGTTACCCTGTTCATAACTGAATAACCATTTTAATACAGATGGCACACACTGGGATAATTTCTGGGGTCGCCTCGCAGTACATTACAGCACGAGTGTGGCAGAGGGAATCTTCTTTAGCCAAGGTACATTCTACCAGCTAATTTTACCTGCTGTTTTCAGGATGATTTGGGATAATTCCATATCATTTGCAAAATATTTAAAAAATCCTTTATATGTGATGCCAATTTCAGAATAAGGCACCATGTGAATTATTAGTTGCCCTGATAATGAGCTTATGAAGAATGCAAAAAATAACAAAGGTATGAACTGCTTAGCCCTCTTTTCATTTTGGGGTGTCTCAAAATGGGGGGCCAAGGCTGGTGTGTGACTTGTGCAGGGACTCTGTGAACAACTGTCAGTTTGTACAGTTCTGTGATCTTGAAACCAGCCTGGGTTCCTGAGCCCAGTGCTGCTTGTATGTTCTGTAGCTACCACAGATAGGCATATTGGCACACTGGCTAGGGTGGACATGCATGGAGTGTGCACATGTGTTCTCCCCGAGAGCACACTGGAGGGGTTTGGAGACCAGGAGACCTAAATATCCTACACGTCAAGCTGACTCAGCCCTGTGCTGTCCTCACGTGTGTGAGCCTGTCATCAGTGCAAAGACTTCAGCCTGGAGACAGGCACCTTAGGTGGTTGAGGGTATCACCCAAGGTTCAGTCTCAAAGTCTGGAGTTCTCCCTCCCTGCTTGGCACTCCCTCCTTGTCCAGCTCCTCTACTCCCTGCCAGTTGCTGGCTGGTGGTTGGCATTTGTTCTGCAAGCCCGGATCCCAGTGCCTACAGGCCAGAAATTTGTGTGGAGCTGGCTAGCAAGACCAGACTCCTGGGAGGTGAGCTTTGTGGGAGTTGGCAGGGAGGGTGAGGGAGCCAGGACAAGCGGCGGCCCCTGGGGAAGGAGCAGCCTTTAGAAAGGCCAGTCTGTTTGGAGGGATGAATAGACACTGGTCATTTTAAAGGCTCCGGCTGCAGGCTGTGATTGTCTCAAGATCCCAAGGCTGGATGCTCGTAATCTTGGAGTCTTAATTACCACAAACACTTGGATTCATTTCCAGGACGCCGGCGGGAGAAGCCTGGCAGGGAATACCCAGCCCTGAACTGCAGACAGCCCTGTCTGTCTGTCTAACTCTCTGCCTCACAGGTTCCCTTTCTCTGACAGAAGGATTTGGGGCTGGAAGCAGGGAGAAAGGGCAGAGGCTGGACAAAGAGCAGAGACTGGGCGTGGGACACCCCTGCAGGCAGGAGCCAGGAGCTGGAGTCCAGCCCTGAAAACCCGGGTGGCTTGCTCACCTGTTGATGGAAGAGACGCTGGGCACTGTGTCATTGTCACAGATGCCCTCGGCCAGGAGCCGGTCTCGAATCTCCCAGGCGAACATAGTCGGGTTCTGTCGTTTGTATTCAGCAATCTTGTCCACCACTTTGGGCGTCGCCACTTTGGGCTTGGAGCCACCGATCACACCCGGCTTGATGCTGCCGGTCTCGTAGTACCTGCGCCGGGAAAGCCGGCGGGGTCAGCCAGAAGCGGACTGTGGCGGGGCAGGGGGGCTGCAGGTTCCAGAGCTGCTGAGCCACTCTCCTGCCCGGCCGAGGCAGCGGAGTGGAGGGAAAAGGCCCAGTGTGGCTGAGCTGACTTCCTGAGGGTGCCTGGCTAGGAGGAGCGCCGCGGAGTAGGAGGACAAGGGGTACCATCCCTCCAGGGAGACGGCCACACCAGGGGCTGGGTTCGCACCAGCCCAAATAGGCACCCGTGGGAGTGAAAGCCCAGCCTTTCACTTGGGAAGAGCAAAACGAACAGCGCTGCAAGGTCTCTGGGAGGCCAGGGTTGAGGCACCACCTCGAGCCCTTTCCTACTGGGCACAGAGCATCTGTGGGAACCAGGACCCTCCTTCTGCCTCCCAAATGCTGCTGCTTCTCCTCTCGGGGACCCATTTTCACTCCCCCCCCATTCCTCTAATGTCTCCCACCCCGTATCTGCCTTAACTCCATTAGGAAAGTCATCCTTCCCTTTCTGAAGCCAGAAACGGGCTGCCTTCTCACCAGGGACCAGGGGCAGGGCAAGCACTGGGTGACACTGCGCCACCCTCGCTCCTGGGTCTTCAGCCACCATCTGAACACTCTCTCCAAAAGGAGCACCTCTCCAGACCCCTTTGGGGATCTCCCTCTCTGGCTTGGCACGCTGGACTTTTAGCCACGTCCTCCAGCTGGAGACCCAGGGCTGGCCGGGGAAGTAGGCAAGGCGTCTCCCGGGACAGCTGCGAAGCCCTCACCTGCCCAGGATTTTGCTGACACAGCCGTGGCTGACCCGCAGCTGCCGGGAGATGTCACAGGGCCGCACACCCTGGTGGGCCAGCTCCACGATGCGCTGCCTCACCACGTCGGGTAGGGGCCGGCCGTTCACAAACACCCCCCCGAGCTGGTTCACACCCCCGTGCCCTGCTGGGGAGAGACAAGAAAAAAACACAACACCCCACACACAGCAGGGACCGGCCATTAGTCAGGGTCCGCGGCCCGGGACGGGCGAAGGAAGCAGGCAGGGCGGAAGGGCATGTTCCCGAGCTTGAGAAGAAAGGTGGTGGACCTCCACGACCACGCGGAGGAGTGGGGACTGGAAGCACAGACGCTGGGCTGAAGACTGGGGGCTGGGCGAGAGGGCGACTCAGGCCTTGCGACGCAAGGTAGAAAGCAAAGGGGGGACTGGAGAGAAACCAGATGACAGAAAAGAGGGGAGAGGGGAGAAAATGCCAAAGGGGAATTCATGCCAGCGGAAAGGGCGTAAGAAAGCGAGGAGAGGAAGGGCCTGGCAGAGGACTGGACTAGTGCGAAGCAGCATCCCGCCTGCGCCGCAGGCAACCCGGGAGCTGTCCGCGCGTGCGGGGCTTGGAGGCGGACGATTTGGGGGCGTCGAGGCTCGGCTGACTGTTTATCCGAGCTCCTAGCACAGACAGGGGATAAGTGCCTGACACACACACCCCCCTTTGCTCTCTGCCTCTTCTTTAAAAAGTATTAAATTGTAATCGGAATTTTTCTACCTCTTTCCTGTGTTGTTTGTTTTTGATGGGAAGTTTTTCTAATGTTATTTATCTGTAGGGGGACCGTATCTCTCTTTCACCTCCTTAGTATCTGAAGTAGAGCAAGGAAGGCGGATGAGGCAGGGGCCCGGGGTCTGCTGCGCTCAGAGACAGGGAGGCAGAGCGGCTCCAGGCAGCAGGCAGAGAATGCCGGCTGCTTGGGCTCGCCTGCCTGCCGCGCCTCGCAGAGCCTGGTTGGGGCCCACCGTCTCGCCCAGGTGGCACGGCATAGGCCTCGCTGGCGAGTTAATAACTCTCGGGGCGCCCTGTGTAGCCGACCCAAACCCGACTCGAGTCCCTTTGACCCCTCAGACCTCGGCAGCCCCCCCAGGAAACCGAGCGGCTCGGGCTTTTGCTCTTTCGGCCAAGAGAAGGGCACGGGGTTTCCAACCCGGCTCCAGCGCGGGCTCCCGATCTCGGAACCGAGGCGGCCACTGGGTGCCAGGCCTGAGGGTGCTTCCTGTGCCCCATTCTCCCTGGCCTACAGCAGTCTAGAAATCCTGCACCCAGAGCGATCAACCCGTAGCCGCAGGTACTGAGCAATCCAAGCGCAGAGACTTCTAGCGGCCGAGTCGGGTCGGCCCGGACTGGCAAGCTGCAGCCCCTGCCCCGCTAGCCTCACGCGAGTTTCGGAGAAAGCGGGGACATCTGTGCCCCCCTCATTTCTCTCCCCTCCCTTTCTCGGGGGGTACCTAGAGCAAGCTCGGTGAAACCCTGGGGAAAGACCTCTGATCGCGTTGCTGGGAGAGACTGAAGCCCCTTCTTTTACCCCCTTGCCCACCCCGTTAATCTCCCTATCTCTAGCCCCACTTCTCACCCTCCCCTCCCTCCAAACCCCGACCATCAATAATTTAGGCCCCGGGAGAACTCGCGTTACCGGTATGAAAAGGCGGCAGCTGCGGGCAGATTAAAGATGAATAATTCAGCCTCCCCGGGCTCAGGGCCCGGCCCCTCAGCCCCAGTCTAAGGGGTGGGGATGGGAAGGGGACACGGCGGGAGTCCAGGGCTGGGGGACTGCAGCGAGTCGGCGCTGAGTCGGGCCTGGAATGCGCCACGGCCGCCAGCACCGACTCGGGCTGCGGTGTCTCACCCACCAGTCCACCGGCCCGCGGGCCCGCGCTGCGGCTCTCTCCCTCCGACCTCTGCTTGGCCGTGCAGAAACCTTTGGGTTTCAAAGTGGCTGCCCGCGGGCAGCCAGGACTCGGCGGACCCCCGGCGGAATCCGCAAAAAAGGAGAACGAGAGCTGTGGCAGCGGGCCGCGAGGCAGGCTGGCTGGGCGAAAACGGCGTGTGGACCCGGTTCCACTCCTCCCGAAAAGGACCGAGGCTTTCCGGCCCGCTCGCCGAGACCCGCGGAGGCCTGATGCCCTCGGCGCGGCTTTCCTGCGCTTGGAAATTACTTAGAAAAATATATTTTATCCCAGAAGTATTTTTAAACGCCCCCCCCAACCCCCGCAACGCTAAATATATGATTAGCGAAAAACACAGCTCTCCCTCCTCGGCTCTCTTGTCCTAAACACAGGTCCAAGCCGGGTCTAAAGTTTCCTTGTGAAAAGTTACAAATTATCCTTAATTATTAATCTGCAGATAGGGAGGAGTTTTCTATTTAGAATTTTAGCTTTTAAAAAAAAAAGCCTGCAAAAAAAATCTCAGAATAGTTTTTCAAGCTAAAGACATGGCATAAATTCAAATTTTATTAAAATAATTCCCTCTTTTCTCTATTTTTTTCTCCCTTCTCCCTTTTCTTCTGTAACATCATGTCAACTTTCTTTCTTTAATTTCCTTTCCCGTGTTTGGATTTCTCTTTTCCTTTCTCCTCAGCTTTGGCATTTGCTTTCCTTTTGTTCTTTCCCCCTCATTTTTTGCTCTTTGCTGACCCCCTGGCCAGGTTGCTGGCTGCGTGATCCTCAATGGGGAGTCGGCAGTCTAGGCAAGGAGCCTCCAGAGCTGAGAGCAGAGCTGCACTCTGCCGGGGGCCCACCTGGAAGGCTGCGCTGCTGGCTCTCTCCCTGACTTCGATTTCTTCTCGGAGCCCCTCTTTGTTTTTAGAGCATCCCCCAGGCAGAGGCAGGGAAAGATGACCATCGTGTCTTGACAACCTGGGATTCCCAATGTGAAGGGAAGGGAAGGCAAGGGAAGGGGGGTGGGAAAGAAAGGAAGAGGAAGAAAATATTTCAAACCAACCCACAAGAAGCCTATGCTGGGCTGGAAGGGCCTGGAGATGCTGAGAGATGAGGGTCAGAAGGGGGCACCCCACCCCCACACTCTTCTGCCCAATTGTCCTGACACTGAGGCTGAATACTCTTGGAGTCTCCTGGACCCCACGACTCTTAAGTTTGAGAAAGATAAAGATGTGGGGAGACAGGAGAGGGAGGCAAACAGAGGAAGAGAGAAAGAGAGAAAAGACAGAGAAAACAACAAAACAACACCCTGAAAACTGCCTGCTAATTTGCCCCCCAGCCCAGGGCAAGAGGCTGACTAGGGAGAGGGTGGCTGGAACCAGGGCTCCGAGGCCGTGGATCCCATGACCTAAGAAGGAGCGGATAGAAAGAGCAAAGGCAGGTGATAGGGATCAGGGAAGGTAGGAAGGCAGGCAGACAGAGAGGTAAGAATGGGTGACAGAAGGCAGGAGAGAAACTGGAGGCATTAGAAACACCGGGCGAGGGAGAGAAAGAACGAAAAGAGGGACCAGAAGCCAGGGAGGCCTCCAAGATGGGACCTGAGCGCGAGGGGCCGGGGCCACGCTGGGACTGGACAGGGTTGGGACGGAGAGCCCCGAGCCGGGACAGGAGCCGGGCGCCGGTACTCACGGTGCATCGCGGAGAAGGGGTCTGCTTTGCAGTGCATATCCATGGGGAGGCAGAGGAGCGGGAGCAGCGCGGCCGCCGCCGCCGTGTCGCCTCTCAAACTCAACTTCAGGACTTGAGGAGAAAAGGGAGGGACGGTGGGGGAGGGAGGATGAGTGAACGCCCGGCTGCTGCGGGGCGCGCGGGGGCGGGGGGCGCAGCACTGCGCTCCCCGCTGGGGCTCCTCCGGGTTGGCCGGAGCTTGCAACTGCAGTAGCCGCAACTTGCCACTGTCGGGGCTCGGGGCTGGGCGGTCAGCAGAATGGCCCCGGGGCGGTGGGCCGGGCCGGGGTGCACTGGGGGCGCATGGCTCGCGCTGCAGCTGCAGCCAGGGCTGAAGCTGGGCGGGGGAGGCGACTCGCTCAGCTCCCCTGGAACCTGGTCATCCGAGAGGCGGTGGTCGGAGAGCGCGCGGGGCGGGGGCGGTCAGAGGGCGCCGGGAGGGGAGCCGGGCCTCTCCAAGTGCTGGCGAGTTGGCGAAGTTGGCAGAGAAGTAGCAATCCCGGGGATGTCCGAGGTGGCGCCTGCGGGAGGGGAGCGCGCGGGCCAGGCCCCCGCCCCCGGAAAAGGCAGGCGCACGCCGCCGCGGCCGAAGGGCCGGGAGGGAGGGAGGGAGCCGAGCGGCGCTGGCAGCTCTGGGCTGGCCCCAGGTGGGTTGCGGCTGCGAGAAGACTCGGCCGGAGACTGGAGCCTCGGCTCCCGGTGTGTGTCTCTCTAAAAGCTGCAAAGCCCCCTCCAGACCTCCTCCCCCTCCCCGCGCCGGGAGATGGATGACTTGTCAGACAAAGGCAATAGATTCCACCACTCTGTGATTCGCCAGCGCTGGAGCCCCGAGCTTCGGCGAGGAGGGCCCCGAGCCTGTCACTCCGGTGCCGGCTAGGGGAGGGCAGGGGAGGGAGAAATGGGAGGGAGGGAGGGAGGGAGCAGCCGGCGAAGGAAGAGGGAGGGAGGGGAGCGGACCGGGGGAGGGGGAATGGGAGCCCGGGATTAAAACTACACTGAGAAACGAAACTCGCCGATAAGATAAACGCTAGATAAGGATAAAGAGCGGTCAGTCTAATGAATATTCAGGTAACGACAGAGGGCCTCGGAGCGCGCTGCGCTGTGAAGCCGGGCTCTCAGTTCTAACTCGCCCAGCCCTGCCATCCACTGGCCAGTGCCCGCCTGGGCCGCGCGGCCCCGGGCCCAGTGCGCATCCCTAGCCCCAACCCCACCACCCTCGGCTCTGAGTTCCCTTCCGTTCCTTCCCGGCTCTTCCTTCCTCTCTTTCTGGTCCTTCCCTTTGGCCTTTCCCTCCGGAGGTACCTTCCCACCCACGCACCCCCCACTTCTCATTCCACGGAAAAGTGTCCAGCAGTTTGTCTTGTCCCCTCCCGTTCCACGCGACTGTGCGCAGGGCCTCCCCAGTCCCCTTGCCCACCGGGTCTGGGCAGTCCAGAACGCTTGGTTCAGAATCGAGCTGAAGACCTCCGGCGAGTACCCACCTGCCTCGGTGGGACCCAGCGGATGGCGGGAGAGCCGGGGGACTTGGTTTCTGAACCCTCGGGTGACTGGGAAGGGGGTACAGGGGAGGGAAACAGTGCGGAGCTGCAGGTCGCTGGCGGCAGAGGATGTGGGAGACGAGGCTGGCTCTCCCCGGCTGGGGAGAAGAGGAGGCTGCGGACGCGGCTGAGCGCCGCCCGCTGCTAGCTCGGTGGATCCGGGGCGAGCGCAGGAGGCGCAACCACGGGGACGTCCCCACTCCTGCCGGAGCCTCCGCAGCTCTCTCTGGCACTAGCTCCCTTGCTCGCTGGGGTCCGCTCGCACGCACCAGGCAGAAGAAGCCCTTTGTCTCCTAACTGGTTAAGTACAGAATATCCGGGAGATCTTCATGAAATATTTTCCCTCGTCTCATAAATCATCTTGGCACTTCAGCTGATGTTTTAACTCTCTCTCCCTCCTTCGCTCCCTCCCCCCGCTTCCCTGGGTCTGCGAAAGGGCGGCTCGGCGAAGCTTGCGCAGCGCTCTTGCAGCCCGAATCCGAGATTCCTCCAGCCCCCGTCTGCAGCTCCGGGCGCCCCGCGGAAGCGCGGCGGACTCGCGCTCCCCTCCCTCTGGCCGGAGCCTGGGCGGCAGATACCATGGGGAGAGATGCACCTGCCTGACTCAGCCTAACTACTACTACTGGGCGTCTTGTACCCGGGTTTTTGGGATGCCCTTATTCCTCAGGAGGAGCTCAGGCCAGGCTCAGCGGGACGAGGTTCTGAGCCTCTCACTCCTGTGGGGCCTGGGTCCGCTGGGATCCTGGCATTTGCCCTCCCTCCTGTATCCTCCAGAGCCCAATAAGCTTAATCCACCTGCGGGGTAAAGTCTGGGAGGAAAACACTCCTCACCGCCTGCCCCTCCCAGCCCCTATCCCACTTCCCTTGGGTGGCTAGGCAGGTTGGTTCCCTTGGGCTAGAGGTTGAAGACGCAGGGCCTAGCCTCTAAGGTCAGTCTCTTCCTCTTGAGGCCTGCAGATGGCGCTCCCGGGTTTGCTTTGGCCTCACAACCCCACGAACACGCACTAACTTCGTGTAGGGACCGAAGAAGGAAAACAGTTCGGGCAGCCGAAAAGTAACAGCTCCCAGGCCAGAGTGCAAGGGATCTCAGGTGGTATTAGCTAGCACAGCCTTGGCTTTCCCCTCTGGGAAGTAATTAACCCAGAACTGGGGTGAAAGGAACGTTGAGAAAGGGTCCTTATTTAGAGGAGCTCAGAACTAAAGTAACCTTTGCCCCAGGTCTCTCCAAGTTGGTCATCCAGGAATTTGTCTCGGGGTGTGTGAACTATTGAAGGAAGAAAGCTGTGAGTAAACCCCCCCCCTTCCACACAGACACAGATTTTTCTAGAACCAGCTAGACATGTCCCTATGTTACAAGTACCATGAAATGTGGGTGCCCACAACAAGCATTTTCACATGTTGGGCGAGAAGGATTTTCCATTTTGTAGAGAAGGGGACTTAATGCGCCAAGTGTGCTGGAAGTTGTCCTCACACACCTGTCCTTCACATGCACCTTCTGAGGAGTAAAGACCCTTCTGATAGTCCCATTCCCAGGTAGCCCCTGAGAGTCCCCCCTGCTCCTGGGATCGTCTCCCCAGCACTGCACTAGCTGGACACTCACTCTTCCGCCAGGCCGGCTCCTGGCCGCTTCCCCATTAGCTCCAGCCCATTCCTGGGTCTAGAGAGTCAAAGAGTAATGCTCCCTGGAGATTAGGAACCCCTTTTCTCCAAAGCTCTGCCTTCTCCTGGGGCTCCAGGATGAAGGGCTGGCCTTCATCCAGTCACTGGCCGCTCCTCTGACTCCCCCTTTTCTGTTCTCTTTCTTCTATACAGTCTAGTAGAGGGGTGGGGGGAAGCAAGAAAGCAAAAAAAAAAAAAAAAAAAAAAAAAAAAAAAAAAAAAAAGGAAGAAAGAAGAGGAAAGGGGAAAAGAAAGAGAAAGAAAGAAAACAACCCAACCCCAAACACTACCCGGGCTCCGACCTGTCAGGGTTGGTTGCTTTTCCCGTCCGCCTCTAAATGAACCTTTTCTCTCTGGTGTTTTCAAAGCGGCCCTTCCACCCCCCAACCTAGGGGCATTTACACTTCAAACAAGGAGCCCGCCTCCCTGCGGAAATTTAAAGGCAAATAAACTTTTGGGGAGTTGCTCTGATACCCATCTCGGGATTTGCTTCATTAGCCGCCTCTGTGCATCTGATCTGCCCAATAAATCTTCCTTGTGGATCTCGGCTCCTTTGCCTTCTCGGCTCCCTTCCCTGCCAGGCTTGCCCAGGCGCCTGGCGGCCCCCAACCTTGCCTCCGCCCTCCAGGCCGAGCTACTGCCGGCCTGGTTTTCTGGCTGGGCCGCGCCTGCTCTGTCTGGGTGTAGGTGTCGGGGTGGCGGATAGGCACCCCGCACCTCGAGTGTACCCACGCACCGGCGCCCCAAGCCAAGCCAAGCGCGACTCCAGGGCTCTCAAATGCGTTTCTGGGCATGTTGTGCAAAAGTGAAGTGCCGGTGTAGACCTAGTCCACTGCCCGCTGCCCCGCTGCCACCCGCTCCCGCTGCCTTCCAGAAACCCTTTCTCCTGTTTTCCGGTTTCCAGTTCCCTGGCCCAGCGTTTTCTGCCCAGGCGAGAAAAGGCAGAAGCGTGGTTGCCTCTCCTCCTCCTGCAGGGCCCTGACCCGGGGCCCAGGCGCCCGGCCTCCAGTAGCTTGGGAAGGCGGCTGAGCCTTGGTGAGACGGAGGGGGCCGCGGGAGCATCCCAGCCGCGCCCCTCCCCCGTGGCCGGGACCTGCCTTCCTCCTTCCACTTCCCGGGGAGCGGCTAGGGGAGCTAGGACCGGGGTCTGAGGGAGGGGATTAGAAATTCCGAAATTAAATGCATCTCCCCAGGAAATGCTCCCCACAGCGCGGACCAAATTAAATGCATTAAAGTTCAGAGGGGAAAAAGCTGTTTAGAACCAAGGGGAGAAAAGTAGTCCGAAGGGAAGAGAAGCAGAAAGGGAGGGGAGAGAGGGAGAACAGAGCTGCAGCTCCGCAGCTGAGCTTCATTTCTGGATTATTCCCACTTTTAGAAGTCACCACCAAAAAGAAAAATAAAAGTTCTTCTGACAACCGAACTCCAGAGCCGACCAACCGAGGCTCACTCGCCCTCTGGGTCCCGGCGCACCCCAGGGCGCATACCCTCGGCTGTCAGATCCCAGGGAGCCGAAACTTACACCCCAGCCCCTTCCGCAGAAAGGCCTGACCGGCTCCTGCCCGGCCTTTCCCCCTCCTCCTCCCCATTCTCTCCCCGCCCTTCCCCCTGCCTGGCCCTCTGGTCACGTTGGAGGATGGTTTTTTTTTTTTTTTTTTTTTGGAAGAGCTTCTGGTACAATATGGAGCACCATGGGCTGCAATTTCACACTCCACAGCACATTCCCCCTAAAGCTACTTTCTTTTTTTTTTCATCTAAGACCCCCTAATTTCTGCTTCCTCGCTCCCTCCCTCCCTCCTGCTCTCACTCTTCTTTTCCTGCTTTTGTTCCCAATATTTGGGCTCCCTGCGTGAAGCCCGGGGGGCCTGACTCCCAGCTGGCCCCGCCCGCTCGGTCTGTTGGTCCTGTGGAGTCCAGGCGCACGTGCTGGGCCTTTATCCTCCAGGATCCCTCCCCCTTTAATCTAGCTTCCCCTCACAAGAGGTCTTTGCGACCTGCCCAGCCCTTCACAGGCCCTTTGAGGAGCAACAACAATGCAAGCCACTTGGCCACCAAAGCTGCCTCTTAGTGGCACGGGCCAGCCAGGTGGCTACCGCCCATGGGCCACTCTACTAGGGAACTGAAAAAATAGCGAAGCTGGGAGAAACCCAGCCAGCAGGTCTAGAGAGTAAGAGTGAAGGTCCTGTCCAACAGAGAACAAGCTAAAAGGGCTAGGAGCCCCGTGAGGCCCTGGTACTTCTGGCTCAGACCTGGACACAGCCTGTACCGCCTCCCTAGATACCCATGGACCTCCTAAAGGGGCCACTCACCCCACAGCCTACAGGAAAAAGTGACAGCCACTACATACACAGTCCCTTTGCTTCTTTGAGACTCAGTTTTCTCACCTGTAAAATGGGGATAATTACGCCTGTCTTGTCTACTCCATGGAGCTAATCAATAGGCATTTTGCAAACCCAGACATTTCTCTAGTAGATTATGGAGTAAATGGCCAGCTTTCTGAACTCTTACCCTTTCACAAAGAGGTAAAGGAGGGATCTGAGTGCTAAGGTAGGGCAGGAGGTGGCGTTTTCCACCCAACTTCAATCCTATAAAGGTTACTGGGGATTCCTCCCCGCGCCGCCTTCCTGTTTTATTTTGTTTCCCCTTCTATTGGCTATGCCACACCTGTCCAGGTTTATCGTTCTTCCCTCTGTCTATACCTCCTGCCACTCCTCCATTCCCACTTCCTGCACCCCCCTCCCAACTGCACCAGCGCAGCTGCTAGAGGATCGGTTAAATTCCTCACTGCCCACCCCCCAACCACCACCACCAACAGCCGGGTTAATTGTGGCCTCAGGCGCGGTCCTCTTCAGCCAGTCCGCCAAAACCGTCGGGAGGAGCTGGCCCATTGGCGGAGACCTAGGGAAGGAAATCCCGTCCGGTCCGGTTCCAAACAAAGAAAGTTGGTTCTCCCAGGACCTGCAGTTAATCAGTCAAAGCCAGAGCGGACAGGAGACGGTGGGGAGAGGCCTGGCTGGGAGGAGGCTCGAAGGAGGGAGAGACAGGAGGGGAAGAAAGAGGACCTTAGAGAGTTGCCGAGGGAACTGAGAAGCCACCACCTGTCTCTGGGAGGCCTGAAGAGGCTGGTTTGTGCGAAGCCGAAGTCCCCACCTGGCCAGCTGTCCCCTCCCCTCCTCCCCTAGGCCGGGCGAGAGAGTCGGAGGGAGGCTGAGTGTCGCTGGCGAAGTAATGATTAACTCTCTTAGCAGCCGGCCCGGAGCCCGCGGCCTCATCGGGCTGTGGTCGAGGGAGACGGTGCAGGCTGACCCAGGACGTCCCCGGCGTTACCTCCACAGTCATCGCCGCCGCGACCGTGGGACCTGCGGAGGGTGGGGGCAGGCGACAGCCGGGGGCGGCCGAAAGGGAACGGAGAGCAGGGCCAGGGAAGCACACTCCAGAGGCTGGGAGACCAGAGGGAGCGAAACAGCCACAGCCGAAATACAGGGAAAGGAAGGGTCCCCGCGGGTGAGCGCGCGCGACCGGGCCGCGCTGGGCAGAGTTGGAGAGGGGCGGGAGGACCCGCGCTGAGTTTCCCAGAGTTGCGAGCCGGCACCAAATCTACCGTCTCGGATCCATCCGCGGCGCGCCCGCCTTTCCTTCCTCCTCTCCCAGCAGCTGTGTGGATGTGAGGAGCAGGCGGAGAGCGCGCCACAGCCGGGAGCTGGTAAGGCAGGGGGACCCGCCAGAGAGACTGGGAGGCCCAAAGGGCAGGGCCGCCGAGGCGGGGACAGGCTGCGAGGTGGCTGGAGACAAAGGACCCGAACGCAGGGGAGAGGGGACCAGGGGCGAGAGCGGCTGGCTGAAACAAGGAGAGACCCGAGGAAAGGGGCGTCGTGGGACCCGCCTGGGTTTGTCCACTCCTGCCACCTCCGCCTACGTCCAGCCTGGAGCCAGGACGTCCCAGGGGTTCCTGGCCCGCCGTCTTGGGGCCTCGGGTCGGGGCTAGGGCTGCTGCTGAGAGTTGCGGTGGCTATGGGGGCCGTGTGTGTGTGTGTGTGTGTGTGTGTGTGTGTGTGTCCGCGTGCGCGCGCGCGACGGATTAGGCCCTCGGGGAAAGGGGGAAGGAGGGCCCTCTCTGTAGGGTGAGACCCCTGCCCCAGGCGACTGCCAGCCTCTGCCCTCCAAGGTCCAGAGCCATCCGTTCCCCGAACTTGAAACAAAAGGGCTGAACTGAATCCCTCAGGAGCCAGGACAGGGTCTCTTTCTGGAAAAAATGCTTTGGTTTGAGACTTGCATCTCAAGCGTCACCTACATCCAGAATTATTTCTTAACTTTGTGTAACTGTTCCTAAAAAAGAAAAGCTGCAAGGTAAATGTTGGAAAGAAAAAAATCCCTCAGGTTCCAGGAGTTCGCTCCGCTAGGTCTAGACGGGCTGGGAGGTCTAGACCCGCGGATAACGAATACATTGAAGAAACTGATGGAGGGAGGAAGCCCCTTTCAATTTCTGAATCAATTAAGGAGAATTTCTGATGTGTCTCTTTGGGGGCTGAGCGTCTGGATGAGGGGATCGTAGGAGTGTGCTTGAGTGTTGTGAGGGTGTGTAAAAAGTGCCAGGGGGTGGCGAAGGTAGTATAGGCAGACAGCTGTGTTCCAGGCGGGGCTGAGATGGGAGCTGGGGACCCATATCCAGCACCTCCCCCTCCCTCTCTCCCTTTGCCCTAAGCAGAGGCTGCTCCGAGGCCAAGGCCTCCGCAGCCTCTTCCAGCGGGGCCGCCAATCAATCCTGCAGGTCAACACAGCAGTTAATAACGGGGTGAGGAGGCCTGGCAAAAGAGGGCGGCGAGGCATCAGGCTGTGTCTCCCCCAGGCTCTGAAAGCCTGGCGCCCGAATGGGGAGAGGGAGAGGAGAAGTCTCCCAAGGTAGAAAGAAACCTGGGAACTCAGTGCAGGCCAGGGAGGGAGCTCAGGGCCCCAGAAGGCAGAGGCAGGGGACCAGCGTCAGGGAGCCAGAGAGCCAGCTGGGACAGAGCAGTGCAGAAAAAGGGAGGGCATCGAATAAACGGCTTATTTTTGTAAGTTCTGGGGGTATAGGCAGCGATAGCTGAAGACCACAATTGCCCTAGTTGCTGATTCAATCCCCTTCCTCCTTCTCTCGCCCTTTCCTGATGGTTTTCGCTGCTCCGGAACAGGCTCAGCGAGACTAAGTAAAACCCGCATCCTTCGCAAACCCGGCTGCGGCAGTTGCGCCAGGACGTCCGGCAGGCACGTTCGGTCACGCGCCTCTGTCATTGTCATTTTAAACTAGCCGGATGAGGTCCAAAAGGGCTCGGGGCCGTCTAGGGGGGCAGGGCCTCCAGGGAGTTGTGCCCCGGCCAAACGTGGCTACCGAAGAGATGAGGGAGGGGGCGGTGAAAAGAGAAAGAGGCAAAGGGAGAAGGCGGCTGGGAGGGCGGAAGACTCTGCAGCTCTGCTCTGCGGAGCCGCCTCGAAGTGCGGTTTCCTTTTCCCAAACACAGCCCTGTCTCCTGCCCAGCTCCGCAGCTCCCCCCCGCCTTTCCCGGAGCTGCTGCTGCCTGGAACACGAGACCCGCACCCGCAAAGGCGGGAAAAGAGGGAAGGGAAAGGAAGTGCGGTGCGGAGTCGGGCCGCTGGCCGCTGTGCC
The DNA here is from genome assembly GCF_000001405.40 of Homo sapiens. Classification (NCBI taxonomy): domain Eukaryota; kingdom Metazoa; phylum Chordata; class Mammalia; order Primates; family Hominidae; genus Homo; species Homo sapiens. Next base: position 100,737,429 of record NC_000010.11, on the reverse strand, counting down.
ACGCGCGCCGGGTAAGCGGCCGCCCTAACCCGTCAGGCCCAAGTAGGTGCAGGCGCCCCTGGGTAAGTGGAGAGTGCCCTGGTCTCTTCTGTAGTATCCTGAGGGCCAGAAAATTTGGAATAAGGACCCTGACAGGCACTCAAGGATGCTCCCCATCACACTGCCTTCTCTTTCCCGAGGTCCTGGGGAGGGGGCCTAGATGCCTTGCTGGGAGACTTGCTGGGACTGAGAACCTGGTTCACAAACCTCAGGCCTGCAATGCAGGCAGAGCGCCTGCCCGGAGGGAAAATGGAAAAGTTGGAGTCTCAGGAGCTTGAGCAAATGGGAAAGGGAAAGAAGGAGGGCAGGGGACAGGAGGTATCAAGGGGCAAAATAGATTCAGAAAGAGTTTGGGAGAGAGAAGCCCTGTGCAGAGAGGAAGAAAGGGGAGAGAGGTTCTCAGGAAGTCCCAGACGTTAGGTCTGTCCTTGGGCTGAATATTTATACGGTCGAGGGGGTGCACAGATGGGCTCTCAATTGAATTCCATCTTCAACACCATCAGAGATTGATTTTGTACTCGCTTTTAATTTTGCCATAATTAATTAGATCATTACAACTGTTTGCTATTGATCTCCCTACTTAAACCTCTGGTGCAGAGGGTCTGCCCAGAGCCCTAAAAGCTCAGGTGGCCACAGTTGACACTCCCGGGGGTTCAGGTTTCCCAGTGGGGACAAGGCCCTAGGAGGGGAATTGGGTACAGCCCAGGGATTGGGTCGAGAAGCTAGATCAAGGGTAGGGCTGGGGGTGGGACCTGGGTTATCAGCTGAAACAACTGGAACCTGAGCTGGGGGAGGGGGGAGCAAGGAATGAGATTTGGGAAAGGTGAGGAGTGAGGCAAAAAAGGCCTCAAATTAGGCCTTGACCTCTGTGGAATTATTTGGAAAACTCTGGAAACCTGTTCCAACCCTCTCCCTCCCCCGAAGTCCAAAACTAAACTTGGGTGCCTGGCTTCCCACCGCTGTACAACACCAGGGCACCTAAAGGGCAGTCCAGAGCTGAGTTGGCAGCCTGGGGGACAAGCGAAGGAAGGAAGAAAAAGAGAGCAACACTCTACTCCCTTAGCCCTTTGGGTAAACATTTTCAGATTCCTCTCCCCACTGGGTCCCCTGGGGCCTGCCACCTGTCCCCATGCTGCCCTTGATTTGGGGTTGGGGGGACACAGCCTTCTCCCTACAGAGGTTAGGCTCATCTACATTAGTGTTCATAATCGAATACATAAGACCCTACACACAGGTACACACAGAGTTTCCCCACCCACTGGCATAGGCGCTGGCCCAGCTCACACTCCCTGCTTACTGGAAGCGAAGGCCTTCCCAATGCTCCCAACTTGGAGGAAGTTGTGCAAAATATCTGTAGCCCAAAGTAGAACGAGAAAGTCCTCAACACACAACAGAAAGGAAAAAGCCAAGTTCTGCAAGCGAAGTTGTAGAACTCACATTTTCTGAGTGGAAAGTTTTCAGAAGGTTTAGAGGACACCGGGAGGGACGGCCCAGGAGGCCCCAGAGTCCGCAGAGCCTCAGTCCCCAGCCTTCACGTCGCCCGCCGGGTACTGAGCACAGGGATGAAAGAGGAGAGGAGCCCGCCCCGGCCATGGCCGCCCCCATCCCTCTCCCCTAGTCCTCGCCTGCGGCGCGGACGGGTCTCTGCCGCTCTTACCTGCCGGACCCGCGCGCTCTTCCATGCTAGGCTCCCCGCGGCCGCCGCGTCCTGGGGCTGGGTCTGGCTGTCCCGCTCCTCCGCGGCCCGACAACGCGTCTCGCCTTCGCCGCCGCCGCCGCCCGGAGATCTGGGCGCAGCCACCCAACACCAAGCGGCTCAGATAACCCGAGCCGCCCGCCGCCACGGCTGTGTGCTCCGCCCGCGCCCGCTCTCTCACTCCCGGCCGCGCAGAGGCTCCGGCACCCCGAGGAGCCCGGGTTCTCCGCCCCGCGCACACGCGTGCACACGCACCGAGGCCCCAGCCAGCCGCAGGCAAGCAGCCACCCTCGCTGCCTGAGGCGCCCACGGACCGCAGCCCAGCCTAGACGCCGGCACACCCTCTCACCCAACCCCCTCTTCTTCACTGTCACACGCCCCCCTCCAGACCCACAGCCTGGCTTCTCGCCTACTTCCCAACTTTGTGCGGTTCCCCTTCCCCACCACTCTCAGCTCTCGGCTCATTCCACTTTCTGGAACGTGAGGCTCCACAGCCTCCCTTTCCAGGATCTCCACAGACATGCCCTAACTTTCTCAGGCCACACAGTGGTTCCAGAAGGGCCCTGTCCCCGCTATGTTCAGGGTGGAAGTGCTCGCTAAATCCCTCACAGGTTCTCCTGCTCCAGGAGCTTTTTTATTTTTAAACTGAATAAAAGAAAAAAGTTCTGGCTTCCTTGCCTTTAAAGAGATGGCGAGGGCGAGGGGGAAAGGGAGGAGGAACTCACCCCTTCCAAACTCCTGCCACACTCACAGGGCCACCCGCTTGAGCCATGCCCGTCCATAGCATTCTGGTCCCAAGTCTCTTATACCCTCAGACTCACACCCTCCTCTTCCAGCACACTGATACTTCCAACCCTGATGAAAGGCCCACTTTATCTTTGCCCACATCACTCCCTCCCAACCTGGAATTTACACCTCTCACACCTTAGCCACAAGCTCTCCCTCAAAACTCTCACACCCTTTGCTCATCTGCACCGTCTTGTACTCCTACTTCAGACACACACACACACCTTCTAAGCACCACAGCTCCCACTCCTCCTTGCCCCAGGGTTCCCCTTCTTCATTTGCTCCACTTAATACCCCTACCCACATACCCTGGGCCTCCCACTTCACAGCCTGGCTCACACTCACGGGGGAAAACTGAGAGGCTATCAAGGAAAGTGCTGGGTAAACCCCCGTGGGCAGGCAGAGGCTGGGGCTGGCCCCATCTTGAGCATACTCCACCAGGCCCCAGGCAGGAAGGCACCAAGGCAAGCCAGGCAGCAGGTTCACCAGGCCCACTGGGCCAACTTCCCTCAGGAATAGGAAAGGGACTCCCACCACTTCAGCTGAACTTCCTCTAGAAAGGTTGTATAACTAGGGACAGGAAGCCAGAGGGGCACAAGAGCCCAGAGGCAAAACCTATATCATGGTTCTGTGACTTAAAATTTAAATATCTTTCTACAAGAATATGATATTTTTACCCTTTCAGGCAAATTATGGCCAAATTATCATCGTACTAATATTTGTGATTTAAAATATCAGACCATGGTGGTGTTTTTTTTTTCTTTTTCCATCAGTGATTTTCCAACCCAAGCACACAAATACTTAGAAGCAAAAAAAATTTTTTTCACTTTGTTATCCACGGAGCGACATTTCCAAGGACAGGGATGGAGAGCAATATGTATACATGAGACCTTAGTTACATACACAAAAATCTCACACCATCGTGACAAAAATCTCACACTGTTGTGTGGCCCCTCCATTGCATACATGTGAGATGATCACACATTGATTAGCCTCTCGCTGTCACCTATTCAGAACCACACCCACTCACACACAGGGACTGTGGCCTGCTGAGTCTCACCTTCACTGCACAGCTCTTTGTGCCCTTTTGTGGCCTTTTCTCTGAAATAGTGATGATAATCCTTGCCCTTCTAGCAGGCTTCTCGTGAGATAGTGTGTGTGCAAGTGATTTGTAAAATGTGAAGTATGACCACACATACTTCCGGTGCTTTTGCTTCTGTTCTGTCAGAGACTTGAACTGAGGCCCAGCGTACCAGACACATACAGCGGGAAGCACCCACTGGGAACCAGGTGTTTTGAACTGGAAACACACGTACTCAGTGTCCCCTGCCTGCTCCTGAGCCCATTGGTCACAGTTACCTGAACACAGGGCCCAGAGTTGGGGCAGTGCCAAGGCCAGGGCCTAGGCTCAGGGGAAGAGAGCTGAGGCCATTGTGCAAAGTCGCCTGTTGCATACCAGAGGGGCCATGAAGAGGAAGGTGACTTCTTACCTCTGGCTCTGATACTCTTCCTCCGGAAGCCTGCAAAGTGATGTCAGTCAAAGGGCCCAGCCCTGTACCTCAGCCTCCCTCTGGCCTCCTCCCTCAGGCTCAGCTTCTCTTTGTCTCCTGGCCCTCACCCCTGTCCTGCACTGTCTCTTGGGCCCTCTTGCTCATTGCCCGCCCCATTGATTGAAAGTCTCTCTCAGGATCTCCAAGGAGTCCCAGGAAAAATGATCCGCCAGCCTATTGATTCTTCATTAGAATTACATTTTCACGTGTGCTAAATTGGTTTTAAAAGCTTTTTCTGTTGTTATTGTCTTGTCAGACCCTGAGGTCCAGGGCAAACCAAGTTTAAATGTTGTGGCTTCTTAGGAGAAAAAATAATCACTGGGGCTGGGTCTGTGATTACTGGCTTCTCTGCCTTATTGTTGTCATGATGACAATTGTGATTTGGTTTAAGTATCTTTAGGAAAAGGGCCCTGCAGGAGGCTGCTCAGGTCAGGCTGGGGCTGGCTGGTGAGAAAGCTGAAGACCCTGAAGGAGAGGTATCAGGGCAGTTTTTCTTTTCCTGAAAATTAAATTTAGCACCTGAGCCTGTATTAATTTATTCTGGGACAAGATGAAAAGCAAAAGTTTTCAAAAAATCATTTTTTATTTCCTCACTCCTGTTCCAGATCAAATAGAGGAGAAATAAAAAACAGGACCCTCACGTCTTCTAGTTCCTTCCCTTCTCCCCTAAATAGCTGGGGAGCAGGGAGGAGCATCAGTCTCCACCAAGGTGCTGAGGGAGAGGTTGCAGCCTCCTGCTTTGTAGCAGGGCAGAGGCCTAGTCACAAGGACTGGTCATCATTATGCTTTGCACTGGCTAGGGAGGAATGAATCCGAATGATGGGGAACAAGGGGGAAGAGAGAGGCAGAAACTCCAATAGAGGGAGGAAGAGAGGAGAACCAGAGAGGGAAGGGTTCAGGGCCCAGACTGGCAGAGAGAGAGAAACACTACCAGAGACAGAGGCGGAGAAGCACAGGGCAGAGGAGGACAGGAATGGATGGGAGGAAAGGAGGAAAAAAGGAGAGAGGGAGACAGAAATAAGGAAAGAAGGGAACAAGAGAGACTGAGAAGAGGAAATGTACAGAGGAAGGAAATGAGAAGGAAAGACAAGAGAGAAAGGGAGTAAAGAGATCAAGGCAGGAAGAGGAGCAAGCCCCAGGGAGCCCTCAGGCCCTCCAGCCTGTTCCGCCTCCAGCAACCCCCTCCCCCAACTCCTTCTGGCCTGGCAACCCGCAGGCCATGCTGGGGAGTGGGTACCAGGCGGCAGCGGAGCCGAGGCAGGAGAGTGGAATGTCTTCGTGATATGTTTATCCCCTAATCAGTTCATTAGTTATAAACAACATGACATTAGAAGTTAGGAGGCAGTTGATATTAATTTTTATTTAACTAGTTGATGTTTAATCCGTCACGCCAGGCTGGGTAGCGGCGAGAAAGATCTTCCTGACACAAAACCAGTTAGAACTTCATAAGGCACAATCAGTGTCCGCGCCTTGAAACAAACAAGAGAGACAGAGACAGAGAGACAGGGAGAGACAGAGAGACAGAGAGACAGTGGCAGCCCTGCCAGAGATGGAGTCGGAGACAGAGACAGAGTGGAGGGCTGGGAGAGAGCTAACCCAGGGCAAGAGCTGGGGGAAAATAAACTAGAAAGGCAGAGAGCTCAGACAGCTGGCAAGGGGCTGACAGCCCTGAACCTGGGCTCCAAGCCCAGGACAGCCCCGACTTAATAGGGACCAGGAGACCAACGCCCTGGGAAAGTCCGGCCAGGGCAGTGGTGGGGTGGTCGACCAGGGCCCTGCCAAGCCTGGCCGCTGCAACTACTAGCGCCTTCCGACAAGGAAAGTGTTTAGTGTCCATCGGTCTGGTGGGTGGCAAGGGTCTAATGTCACAGCGAGGCGAGGCCCTGACTTTCGGAAACTCCTCTCCCAGGTCTGGAGGCCAAGAACTTCTTCCCTCCCTGCTCCAGGAGGAGCCGGCCCAGGCAAGAGAGGAAAGGAGAAAAGGGCGTGAACTTTGCACCCAGCGGTTCAAGTTTCACAAAGTTTGTTGCGGTCACAGACAGAGAGGGGTGTGTGTGTGTGCACGTGTAAGCTCGCCAGTGGCAAAGAGGGAGGAAGTAAGAGACGGCGTGGGGATTCTGCAGGCGGGGGAGGGCATTTCCCCGGGTTTGACTAAGCCTTCAGGCGCGTCCCTGCATGCGGGCTCCTCGGGTGGCGGCCCTGGCTGCAAGTCTAAGGTCCCCTTGGCTTGCCCGGATTAATCTCCCCCTCTCAACCCCGCCCCCGAGCAGGAGCACTCGGCTTTTTCCACCTTCACTCCGGGCACCGGCGGGCACTGGCTTGGTCACGGCTTCCTGAGCAGGCACGGGAGCGGGGGCGGGCTGTAGTTTTCCGCCGTCGCGAAGGACACTGTTTGAGGCGACAGAGGCATCTTCGCCCGCGCGTAGACTCAAGCCGAGCATCTCACTGTTTGCGTGCTAATCTGAGTCCACTGCGAAAAGGAAATCGCTGAAATTCCGAAGAAAATTGCCTCTCGCCGGTGGTTAATAGTTAACTCAGACGGGAAAGTTCCCAGGGAAAGGCGAAAGCCAGGGCGAGAGGTGCAGGGGAGGCGCCCCGGGAGGGCCTCGGCCAGCCCCGGTCTCTCCCCTCCCAGGCCGCGCTCGGCCCCGCGCGCCTCCCCTTCCCGGGCGACGCATCCCCCACCCCGTAATTAGCATCGTTTAGTTCACAAAACCTTTCCTGGGAGAAATCTGTTCTCTCGTTCCGGGGCTCGGTTCAGCACCTGATTCCGCCGGGTGAAGCGAATAAATCACTGCGGCGGCGGGGGAGCCGGACCCAAGCCCGCCAGACGGTGGCCGCCGGGAGAACGAAAAAGTGAGAAAGAGGCAGCGGAGCCAGGAAAAATGATGCAGGGAGACGGCGCAATCCTAGCCCAGGAAGAGTGAGGGGCCCGGGAAAGGGAAACCCAGAGGCAGAGAAGGGGCCAAAATGGAAGAGGGAGATACAGAAAGAGACAGAAGAGAACAAGAAGGAGAGTGACAAGGAAAAGCGAACGAAAAGAAAGGGAAAATGAGGAAGGGAAATAAGTTAAAGAAACAAGAGCGAAGAGGGAGATTAAGAAGGAAGGGACAGGCGAATAAAGAAAATAAAAGAAAACCAGAAGAGCAAACGCTTTTGTTTATCTACAAAACCCCCTTGCAGGGCGCGCTTTCCCGACCGCGACCCGCGGCGGGAAGGGGGCCAGGGCTCTCGCGCTGAGGCCGCAGGCCCAGGAGGCCAGGGCGGGGCGCTCAGCCTGTGCGCTTGGGGCGCTAGGCGGGGTCCCGCGCGGACCTGGATTCCAAGTTGAACTTCAGGGCGCGGGGCGCGCCGGAGCATCTGCCCCTGGAAAGAGTGGTGTCTGGGTGTGGGGTGTCGTCCTGGGTCCATGGCGGGGAAGGGGACGGGTAGATAAAAGGTTCACGGCTCGTTCTTGGGCACGCATTGGGCGCCTGGGACTTTCAGCCCTGGCGCGAAGGGAGGTGGGGAGGCGGGGTGGCGGGAACCCGTGGTGGGCAGGCTGTGGCCGCTAAGCACAGACCCCCAACGTCCCCGCAGCTCGGACTTCTCATTCTTCAGCCGGCCCTGGGAAAACTCCCTTCTTGCGGATCTAGTGTCCAGGCTGGCGCGCCGGGCCACAGATGCAAGGAAAAAGTAACGCAGCCAGAACCGCGACCCAGCGCCAGCGGAGGGCGCATTTCCTGAGCCGCCTTCCCACTGCGACTCAGAGACGCGGCTCAGATTCTGCCCGTTCCCAGGGTCTTCTCCAGCACCGGTGTCCCCAGGCCAGAGGGTAGAGAGGAAGAAAGAAGAGGAGAAAGAAGCGGGGGCAGGGGTGGGGTGGGGAGGAAAAGGGACGGGAGAAGGGTGGGGGAGGAGAGGGGGCGGTGCAGAAGAGAAGCAGATTGCAATGAAAAGTGGAAATGCAGACCGGATGGAAAGGAGGGCTTAAGGATGCTAGGAAGCTTCCCCCTTCGGTTTGACTAGGTATCTACGTAGACAGAGATGGGAGCGCCCGGTTCCCCGGCCTCACCATTTTGAGCCCCTGTGCTTTGGCGCCCCCATGATGTCGGGCTGAAGACTGAGACCGCAACAGGGCCGCTGCAGGCTCCGGTATGAGTGAGACCGAGATCACAGAGTGGAAGACTTCCCTGCCCACTAGGCGGCCCTGGGATGACAAACGCCCTGAAATTTTCCAGCCTTTTGAGACTTCTGGGTCGACCTGGTCCAACCCACTCTGCTCCTCCTCTCTCCTCCTGTCCCCTCCTCTGGCATTGGCTGGTGGGTCAGCTGCAGAGCTGGACTAGACGAGTGGAAAAACAAACAAAACAAAACAGAAAAACCTCCAGGAAGGAGACTGGCAGCTCAATCAGTTCCTACTTCTGCACGGAGACAGAATGCAACTGATGCCTAGACCAGAATTCTTTGGAAGTAGGAAGGCAGAGACTGAGCTGGGCTGACTCAAAGAATCAGGGCACCAGTCAGTCAGTAAACCTGGACTGGGACAATGGGGCTAGAGAGGTAAATCACACACTGGCCTTGTTTTCAAGGAAGACATTACCTGGTTGCAAAGAGAAAGAGAGAGAGCTATCAACCAATAAATTCCAGGAAAGTGTCAAGATAAAGGTGACTGGGATACAGAGAAAGGTAATTGGGAGTGTCAGGGAACACTTCATAAAGGGAATGGGGTTTTGCAAGATCAGTAGATGTCCACTAAATGCAGGAGCTAAGCAGGTGAAATATTCCTAGGCAGAAGGAGCATCAAGATAAAGGCATGGGGAGGGGGCAACAGCCTACCTAGCTGGGGAAGCAAAAAGGATTCTGTGAAGCCAATATATGGGTCAAGTAAGGGAAATAAGGCTGGGAGGTTGGCAAGGCCTAGAGCAAGGAGAACTTTTGCTAAGGATTTGCTTTTCTCCTTTAGGTCATGGATGCAATTGAGAGATTTTTTGTTTGTTTGCTTGCTTTGTTTTGTTTTTGTTTTTGAGACAGGGTCTCACTTTGTCACCCAGGCCAAGTGCAGTGGCACTATCACAGCTCCTCGCATCCCCAACCTTCCAGGCTCAAGCAACCCTCCCACCTCAGCCTCCCGGGTAGTTAGAACTACAGGTACATGCCACCACACCTGGCTAATTTTTTAATGTTTTGTAGAGATGAGGTCTTGCTATGTTGCCCAGGCTGGCTTTGAACTCCTGAAGGCAAGCAATTCTCTCACCTTGGCCTCCCAAAGCAGAGATTACAGGAGTGACCCACTATGCCTTGCCTGGGAGATTTTTTCAACAGAGGAATGAAAAGATCTGATTTGGAGGGGACTCTATGGACAATGAGCTGTAGGTAGAGAGAGCATCAGAGACTGAGTGAGTGGTCTGCAAAAGAAGATGTGAGGCCTCAAAAAAGTCTAAGGGATACAGAAGCATTAGATGAGAGAGGCAGAAACAAGATGGTCACAGATTTTGTGTGTGTGTATGTGTGTTGCAGGGTGAGATGCTAAATTAAGGTCAACCTAGGTTTCTGGGTGAATTTCATCTCAATTCTGATTCCTCCCCTGTACCCTCCAACTCTCTTCCCTTGCAAATCCTCACCTGTAGTGGTTGTGAAGTGGAAACCCACATGTCCTGTCTCACTTGACAAATGGGTTTTTCTCCCAACCTCATGCACCCTTTACCGGGCAGTCTCATAGAACAATGCACACTATAGAAGATGATAACTTCTCACTAATCCCAAGACATCTGAGAAAGCAGCACCCAAGGGTAGAAGATGGAGTCAGCAGTCTGGAGGTGGACTCCACCTTTCTCAGATCTGAAATGTACCAGCTATGTGACCTTGGGCAAATCCCTTGAACTCACTCTGCCTAAGTGTTCACGTCTGTAAAATGGGGACAAGAATTTCTGCTTTATAGAATTGTTGGCCGGGCGTGGTGGCTCACGCCTGTAATCCCAGCACTTTGGGAGGCCGAGGCGGGCGAATCACGAGGTCAGGAGATCGAGACCATCCCGGCTAAAACGGTGAAACCCCGTCTCTACTAAAAATACAAAAAATTAGCCGGGCGTAGTGGCGGGCGCCTGTAGTCCCAGCTACTTGGGAGGCTGAGGCAGGAGAATGGCATGAACCCGGGAGGCGGAGCTTGCAGTGAGCCGAGATCCCGCCACTGCACTCCAGCCAAAAAAAAAAAAAAAAAATTGTTGGTCAGGTTAAGTAAGTTTTTATATTCCTGGCACATTTAAATAACACATTTCATCATGTTATTTCATTCCCTACCCCCACCCAAGCCTTGGACTTCTTCATGCATTGATTGAGCTTTGTCTCCTGCACAGGTACAGGGTGTCAGGGGTACAAAGAGCAGTAATGTAATGATGCTCTGGAAAAGTTGTCAACAAGAGGAAAGGCCTTGTACTCCACTGGAACAAGGTTAATGATAATAACAACAAAACAACTAACATGTCTGAGGGCTGACCGCATGTCAGATATTGTTCTGAGGACTTTATATATAGTAATTCCTTTAACTCTCACCTACTGTCATGAATCCCATTTTACAGATGGGAAAACTGAGGCACAGAGAGCTTCAGTAGCTTACCCACAATCACACAGTGAGTAGGTGGCAAAGGTTAGGTTCAGATCCTACCTTTGCCACCTACTGCCTCCCTAACCTACACTCTTTAAGCATATGCTATATTAGATACTCCTAGTCCCCAGAGAGAAGTCAGAGGGCAAGAAACCATTTTGTCTGGCTGAGAGGACTCTTTAAGGACATCAGTTGGTGAAACACAGGAGCCCCCCACCCCCTGCCTTCCAGATCCTCATGCCAGTCCTCTTTCACTCCCTCCATACTCTGCTATTTTCTCTGCCCAGGGCCTCTAAATCAGATAACTCAGATCTGACTGCTGCAGGCAGACTAGCCAAGACTGTGAGGCTGCAGGGCCTCCCAGCCCTCACTCAGCCCTTCAGGAAGCTCTAGGGCCCCCACCCCAAGAAGTGTTTTTTGTGTTGAGAGATTGATTTTTCCCAGTCAGGCCTTGCCCCTCTCCAAGATGCCCTCAGGCCCTCCCAGCTTCCAGGCCTGCAGCGTCACTATGGGTGTCTCCTCTCCATGCCCTGTCCCAGCTGGGCTTAGCCTCTGATCAGGCCTAAGTGGGCCCTGATCCTCAACACCAGCCACAGCAAGAATTCCCTAGACAGATCCTGATGGGCCACATGCAGGCCTGACCTGGGTTGTCCCATACAGATCCTCCATGAGACTGGCCAAGGTCCCTGGGAACTGCAGAGCACAGAGGACCCTGCCCATGAGCCCATCCTGTCTACAAGCTCCTGTGTCCACACAACAGGCACTGTGGCCAGCCTCAGAAGTGACCTCACTGTGGCCAGAGCTGCCCCCATCCCATATCCTAGAACTGCCCTGTAGTTCTTCCTTCTTATTTTTTTTTATTTTTATTTTTTTGAGATAGAGTCTCGCTTTGTTGCCTAGAGTGCAGTGACACAATCTCAGCTCACTGCAACCTCCACATCCCTGGTTCAAGTGATTCTCCTGCCTCAGCCCCTGGAGTAGCTGGGATTACAGGCCTGCACCACCACACCTGGCTAATTTTTGTATTTTTAGTAGAGATGGGGTTTCACCATGTTGACCAGGCTGGTCTCCAACTCCTGACCTCAGGTGATCTGCCCACCTCAGCCTTCCAAAGTACTGGGAGTACAGGTGTGAACCACTGCACCTGGCCAGTTCTTCCCTTCTCTAGGCCTGCAATGGTCTTTCTTTTCTCTCCTTGGGCAGGAGTTGTCTTTGCCAGAAGATAGAAGTTGAAGTTCTGAAATGATTCAGTTCTGTGGAGACCAGAATTAGTAGGAATGAAAATATGTGTGTTGGGGGAGGAGAGTCCAGGGCTTGTTTTTGAAGGGTCTCATTTTTTACTGGAATGTAAGCATTTCCTCACCAAGTAAGACTGAATGGCCTCTTGAGATGACCTTTGAATTCTTTAAAAGAGTCACCGTAGCTCAGCAGATACTACTCTCAAAGTGCTAGTATCATGGAGCCAAACCATTGACGCACTCCTTTTGGAGGTCTGCCTTCCTAGCTTGCAGTCCAAGCTTTTGAAAACCCTCCCTCTAAGACGGACAGGGTGTCAGGCCATAGGCCAAGGCATTCAGAGCAGACACTGGGGGTGGAGGTGACTGGATGCATGTAAATCAGAGAGAAGCGCTTTCTGTCTTGCCGCCCCTCCCTGGCTCTTCCTGTCAAGGAAAAGTGTTGTGTGTATGGGGGAGGGGGAGGGGTGGGGAACAGGGTACCCTTGAAGTACATTTATACCTTCCCAAGGACAAGTTGCTTCTCTAAGTCTTAGTTTCCTCATCTGAGAAGTGGGAAGCCTCATCCCTTCTGCATGGAGAAAGTAAAGCCTCAGAGCTCCCAGCACAGTTCCTGGCACACAGTAAGGGCCTCATAAGCGTCATTGTCATGATCATGCCTTTCAAGCAGCCCGCACTTGCGCCAGTCCCAGGCTCGGGGTTCACGGCAATCCTCGACACCTGTGGGAGTTGGGAGCTGGGGGTGGGGGTGGGGTGCGCTTTCTCTAGCAGAGCTGTTCCTCACCGGCCTACAGCTGCGGGCCTGGGGCTGGGGACCTGCTCGCCTACCCCGGCGCGGAGCCTGATGCTCGGCTGCGCAGGCGAGCCGGCCAGGGAGGGACGTTGGACGGCCGGGTCGGAGACTGGCAGGGGTGAGGAGAGCCGGATGGGCGCAGAGGGACCATGCCGCCCGCAGCCCAAGTGGGAAGCGAGCCTGGTCGCCGCCGCCGCGGAGCCCGCCGGGCTTGGAGCCGCCCCGGGGCCCCGCGCGTCCTCCGCACTCCGAGCGCCGCTAGCCCGCGGCCCGCCAAGCCCCGCCCGCCGAGCTCGGGCGCTCGATTAATAATCATAAACCCCCCGCTCACCCTCCTCTTAAAATTAATAACTCTGTAATTAGAGTCATTTCAGAAGCCTCCTGAGCCGCCGAGGCCGGCCGGGCCGGCGTCCGCCCCGCGCAGTGGGCAGGAGGGAGGAGGAGGCCGGGCGCGGCGGCCGCGGCATCTGCAGGTACAGAATGAGAATTAAAATCGCTCTCAACAATCCAATACACTTTTTATCAGCCATCTATCTGAAAGCCGGGCCCATTCATCATCCAAGGCATTCTCCCTGAAAACAAGACCCATTCAGATTTTATACAAATTATCATATTTATCATCGTCTCCAACTCCGGAGTAACATCTCCGCAAAGTGTCTGCGGTCTCCCCGGGGAGCCGCGCAGCTCGGAGCGCCCGAGCGCCCGCCCGGCAATTCCCCCATCGAGCCCCCTCCCCTCGTCCCTTCCTCCCCGCCCCGCCCCCCACCTCGCGGGCCTCCTCTCTGGCCTTTGATCCACCGGCTCTGCTTCCCCCTCCGCTCTTCCCCACTCCCCCCTCCAACTTCCCATCAATCTCTCTCCTGCACTCTTTTCTCTCTCTCTCTCCCTCTCATCTCTCCCTCGCCTTTGATCTACTCTTGCTTCTTCCCCCTTCCCCCTCAGTTTTCTCTCTCTCTCCAGGTTTGGGTCTCCCTTCCTTCCCTATCTTTGTCTCCAGCTCTGCTTGTTTCTCTGGGTCTTTGCTGTCTTCCCACGGCCTCATCTTCTATTTCCCTGGCAGAACCAAAAAACCAGAGGCGCTATTTGGGACAGAGCAGCTTGAGCCTCCCCTCATGGACTGGGGAGGTGTTCCAAAGTGGGGTTCCCCAGGATCATTGGAGGGGTCACTTTGGGCCCAGTCCAAGAGTCTGAGGAAATTAAGTGGGGCCACAGGAGAGATGTGTACGTGCCCATCGCACACTACAGCTCACTGCCCTCAACACACCACACAGGCTCCCCATATACACAGTCACCTCACACCACACTCGCACCACACACACAACCCCTAATACACATGCAGCCCCCAACACACACAGCCCTTGATACAGGTTACCCCACAGCTCCCTAATCATACTCATGCAGCCCTCCTCATAGACACACAGCCCCCCTCAACACGGCACACAACCCACAATATGTACACAGTTCCCTACCACACACATAGCCCCCCAATATGTACAGACACACATAGGTGCAGGAAGATACATACATTCCCAACACACAGGTGTGCACATCTACAAACCGACCTCTCCTGTCCTCATATCTGGATTATCCACCCCATTCCCCTCAATCTCCATTTACTTCTCCTGCATTTCTCTTTCTCTTTCAGCACACACATACCCTTCAGATGAGAACATGCCAGGCACCACAGCTCCTGGAACAACTTGTGGCTTGAGTTTCCCTGGAACCAGCAAGATCTCAGCTGTCCCATCCAGCTCCTGGAAGAGCCCTCCTTGCTCTGCCCTGACCTTCAGAGGTCAATGAGGCTTCCCTAGGACAGGCCTGCAGACACTAGGACATTTCAGAAGGGGCTTTTATTCAGACTCTAAGGAGGGAATACCTCACAAAAAGGGATAACAGGGATGTTCAGAACACAGGTTCCTGACTCCAACAACCATCCATAAGTGACTGCTTCCTTTCTAGGCCTCAGTCCTGGGGGTGACCCTGCTGGCTTCCCTGGGAGCATCCAGTCTCCAATATTTTTTATTTTTATTTTTTTGAGCCGGGCCTCGCTCTGTCACCCAGGCTGGAGTGCAATGGTGCGATCTCAGCTCACTGCAACCTCCGCCTCCCGGATTCAAGTGATTCTTCTGCCTCGGCCTTCTGAGTAGCTGGGACTACAGGCACGTGCCATCACACATCACACCTGGCTAATTTTTAGTAGAGGGGTTTCATCATATTGGCCAGGCTGGTCTCAAACTCCTGACCTCGTGATTCACCCACCTCGGCCTCCCAAAGTGCTGGGATTACAGGCGTGAGCCACCGCACCCGGCCAGTCTCCAACGTTATACTGAAGTCCCCTTCGACTTCATCCCCCCACTTTCCCCAAAAAGGCTGCCTCAGTGGGCTACTGTGGAGGAGCCTATATTTGTGTCTCCTGCCGGTATTGGTTGGTTCATTCATTCATTCATCAGTTATTAATTCAAAAAACGTTACCGAGTGCCTTCTCTGTGCCGGCTCTTTGCCTGACATGAGAATTACAGTGATGGACAAGAGATACCCAGTCCCTACCTCTATGAAGATTACAGTCTGCAGCAGGGTGTCCAATAGAACTTTCTGTGATGGTGCAAGTGCTCTGTATCTTCACTGTTCAGTATGGTAGCCACCAGCCACATGTGGCTATTGAGCACTTAAAATGAAGCAAGTGTGACTGGGGAACTGATTTTTAATTTTATTAAATTAAATTATGTAGTATAATTGTGGCTAATGGCTACTGTATTGGCCAGCACAGATCTAGCCAGCAGATTAGTCTTCATTTTGTTAAATGAGACAGGATATATGTGAAAGAATTCCCTCTTCCTTCCAGAGCTGTGGAAGGTGCAGGTATGGGGCCTCTGAGTACTGGCACTTCTTGTTTGGATCACCAGTTTCCTACACACTCTAAGAATGCAACCCATCCACACATGCGTGACACATAAATCTGTGTCCCTAAAACAGGCTCATTTTCAAAACTGTAGATGAGTGATTTCTCATGCAAGAGTAATAATAGCATTTATTGAGTATTTATTTCATTCCAGGCACTATTTGCATATGTTCTCAGTCTTACCAGGGGCTCATGCATGCAGACGCCTGTAGGGGCAGGAGGAGTTGGGAAGACAACAGGGAGGGGGGTTCTAGAACAACTGGAAAGGAAAGGGTTCTTTAAAGGATGTAGTTCCTCAACTCTGGAGACTGTTGCCAAGCAGGAGTGGCAGTCAGTGATGCCAAGTTGTCTGACCTTTAAAGAGCAACCAAAAATATTGATTTGTATTTGAAATCCATTGGAAAGTACTTAATTTTTTTTAAAAGAAACAACCTAACTGGGCAGATGATCAAATGATGAATGTGAAAGGATAGTCATTGCAGCTTTATTTGCAAATTAGAAGTAATCAAAATGTTCACAGCTAGGAGCCTGCTTAAATGACTTATAATACATCTATTTAGGGGAATACTGGGCAGCCTTAACCAAGAGTGAAGTGACTTTTCACATATAAATATGGAAAGAGCTCAAGATAAATTAAGTTGATCTCTATGAGATGAGATCAACTTTATTTATCTTGGATTTCTTTCCATATATATATATATATATATATATATATATATATAGGCATGGGACAATGTGTAAGGTACCATTCATTAGAGAGAAAAAGAGAACACATACACATGCACCTGCATAGACTAGTTCTGGAAAGTGATTGCCTTAAGGAATGTGGCAGAGGTGGAAGGAAGACTGTTTTTCCCTGTATCCCCTTTGGTATGTTTTAACTTTTGCACTAACCACATGACTTACCTATTTACAGTGCAGGCTGAGCAAACCTGGCTAAAGGCCAGCTATGGCTTTTGAGCCACATGTGCATAAACTCTGATCCTCACAGGCTGTCCCTTTGAAGTAGGTGTTAAAGACTCCATTATACAGACGAGGAAGCCGAAGCTCATTTGGATTAAAGTGTGGCTGCTCAAGTTTATACAACTGGTTAACTAACTGGTTAGTGGTGAAGCTTCGATTTTAACCCAGGTCCCTCTAACTCACAGGCCAGAACACCACACTGCCTCTTCCTGGAAGAGGGGAGGAATCATGATGACAACAGCATCACTGCCATCAATGACAGTATTTATAGAGAACTTGTTACCTGCCAGGCACTGAGATAAATATTTCAGGTCACATTATGAACCTTATGAGTTAGACACCATTATTATCCCATTTTACCGATGAGGCAGCTGAGGCAGAGAGGTTAATGAGGCTGCCCAGAGTTACACTGGGCAGGAAGTGGTAGAGCTGAGAGCCTTATCTGGGTATTATAACTCCAAACTTACCTTGGTCCTTTAACCATTGCAATGCACATAGAGAACTCTATGTCCTTTTTTTGTATCCCACTGTGGGCTCATCCCCAAAATGCCCTGTCACACCTCTCTGGGGCCTGCCATGAGTGTACACTGATTTCTCTAGTGTGGACCTATGTACACATGTATTTGCCCAAACACACATGTGCAGCACCGCAGCAGATGCCCTTGGGGGACAGCCTTCCTGTGTCCTCTTCTGCAGTGAGGAGAAATGGATATCTAACCCCCAGCAATGCTCCTTCAGATTCCTTATGACCCTCCCTTCCTAATTATACCCTTGTGCTGCTGCATGTCCAAGAGCAACCAGAGTTGTCAAATGAGAGTTCTTGGCTCCAGGGTCCCAGGCATTAGCAATACCAAATGTTTGTAGAGAAAAATCTCTCTCTCTTTTTTGTTTTTTTCACTCTCGTCATCCAGGCTGGAGCGCAGTGGCACGATCTTGGCTCACTACAACCTCCACCTCCTGGGTTGAAGTGATTATCCTGACTCATCCTCCCAAGTAGCTGGGATTACAGGTGCCCACCACCACGCCTGGCTACTTTTTGTATTTTTAGTAGAGATGGGGTTTCACCATGTTGGCCAGGCTGGTCTTGAACTCTTGACCTCAGGTGATCTACCTGCCTCGGCCTCCCAAAGTGCTGGGATTACAGTCATCAGCCACCGTGCCCCGGCTGAGAAAAATCTCCTTTCATTATCTTAACACCCTGTAAGGAAAGAAGGACAAGATTAGTATTCCCCTTTTGTGGATGAGGCAGCTGTGGCTCACACATCACATCACATCACATCACACACAAACACAAACACACACGCACACACATACTTGTAAGAAATAAAAATCTATTGTGTCTTGGCAACATGGATGGAACTGGAGGACATTATGTTAAGTGAAATAAGCCAGGAACAAAAAGTTAAACATTGCGTGTTCTCCCTCACATGTGGAAGCTAAAAAAAGTTGATCTTATAGAAGTAAAAAGTAAAACAGAGGTTACTAGAAGCCGAAAGGGAGGGATTTGTTAAAGGATTCAAAATTCCAGATAGATAAGAGGAATAAGTTCTAGTGCTCTATAGCACTGCAGGATGACCATATTCACAATAATATATATTTTCAAGCAGCCAGAAGAGAGGATATTGAATGCTTCCAATGCAAAAAAAGATATATATTTGAGATGACAGATACACTAATTACCTTGATCTGGTCGCCATACATTGCATGTATATATCACTATTTACACCACAAATATGTACAATTATTATGTGTCAATTAAAAAAATAAAAAGAGCAAAACTACAATAAAAAAAGTATGTGTTGTGGAAATTAACTGAATCATTTCATTTTCTTATGTCAATGCCTCCAAGTCCCTGTCCCAATGAAGGAATCATGGGGGAATCATTTACACAGGGGCCCTAAGCTGGAAATGGAGGGAGACAGCAACAGAAGCAAAGAGGTAATGGAAGAACCACGGTCTTTGAGCAAGAACTCACCCCATTGGTGGCTTGGGTTCTATGGCTAAGAGCTAAGACTGTGACACAGTGTGGCTCAAGGTCTGGTGTAGCTTTCTGTGCATAAGGACATGTGTATACACCACTGGCTCTCAAGGCACCAAGTTCCTACACAAGTTTCCCTTCCATCACAACAACCTTGTCCTCCTGCCAAACCTGGTCAAAGAGCAAGTGAACATGAAGGCCCAAAGATTCTCAATCTGTCCCCCAACCCCCTCAGCCACAGGCCTAGATCCCTGGTACTAGCCCCAACCCTAAAGCATGAGTAAGGAAGGACAAGCAGGCAGATATTGAGGGGACATTCCCCTCCCCCACCCACTACATGTGTTGATGCTTAGGTTGGCAAAACACAGGCTCTGGCAGGATCTGGAATCTTGGAGGGTTGGGGGCAGCCAGAGGCAGTCTGAGATGTGGATGGCAAATCTGGCAACAGACTGACCAACCAGGCCTCCCCTAAGGCCTCAAGCATTACCTCTAAGAAATTTATTTAACACACACTTACAAGGTACTTGCTATGTACTCGACACTGTTCTAAGCACTTTAGACAAGTGTGTTAGTTTCCTATTGCTGCTGTAATAAGTTACCTAAAACTTAGTGGCTTCAAACAACACAGTTGTTATCATACCTTTCTTGAGTTCAGAAGTCTAAAATGGGTTGGCAGGGCTTTGTTCCTTCAGGGGGAGAATTTGTTTTTGTGCAGGCTAAAGCAACTCCTTCTTGGATGCTAATCTGCCACGTTGACTTCTGATTAACCCCAGTTCTGGAAAGGCCGCTAAGATTTCCAGTTTATCTATTGTTCTTTGTGTAAAAGCAGGTACTTACTACAAATTCTGCCCTTGTGTCAAACAACCTTGATATTATCATACTTCAGTTGTCCTATATATCCCTTCTGAATCATGCTTTCCTCATGGGCATATAAGCCCTGGGTCTGGGGGATAAAGGCACAGGGATCCACCATCTCCTCTCACTGCTGACTGAGATACTCACACGGCTTCTGTTCATAAGTCCCTATTAAGTGTTTTGTTCTAAGAAACTGGATTTGTTAGCCTCTCGTTTGCTTGTCCTCTCAACTTCCTCAGATTTGGGGGTAGGTTTGAATAGACCTGCCTACCGTGAAACAGTTTCTTTGCCTTTTCCGTAGTCTAGAAACTACCCACATTCCTTGGCTCATGACCACATCATTCCAATCTCTGCTTTCGATCTCACACCTCCTTTGACTCGGATATTCTTGTTTCCCTTATAAAGAATTTTTGTGATGACATTGGGCCCATCTGGATAATGCAGGATAATCTCAAGATTTTAAAATTAATCACAGCTGCAAAATCCCCTTTGCCATGAAGATAGCATATTCATAGGTTTTGGGGATTAGGATGTGGACATTTGGGGGGGGCAGCCATTATTCTTCTTACCACAGTAACTATTAACTCATCTAATCCTAATAATAACTCTATGAAGTAGGCACTATTACTATCCCCATCTTGCAAATAGGGAAGCTAAGAAGCCAGAGGCTAAGTTGTTTGCCCAAGGTCACAGGCTTAGCATATGACAAAGCTACAAGTAAGTCTATGAGCTTAACCACCACACCACAAGTATTCAGAAGCTGATAGAAACAAATGCTCTGTTTCTGCACCTGCAGACACCCTACATACTCAGACAACTCACACAATGTCTGTGTATTTTTTATACATATATACACATGCCTTGCACATATAGATATATTCTGCTCAAATACATATGTGCTACAGACACATGAATATATACAAAATACCTAGACACACATATCCACAAACATCCCCTCTGCTCACATACACTCACACTGTACACATATACACACGCCCTGCACACACATATACACATTTGTATATATTATCTCACACAACTCTATGCATAAATACATACTCTGTGGACACAACCAACATATTACATATTTATTTTTCTTTCTTTTTCTTTTTTATTATGGCCTGTGACACAGCCCTCAGGAGGTCCTGAGAACATGTGCCACCATATTATATTTTGATACTATTTAAACATCCTGTGTTCACAACCACATAATGCCCTCTAATATATACACCTTGCACACTCACACATACACACAGAATGAGGCAAACATATATCCTCTTTATAAACACACCTTGGAAAAAGATATGTAATATGCCTGCAATGGCATATATATCCTGTACATGAAAACACCATGCACACACATATATTCAGCAAATGTCTCTGCTATCTAGACACGTATCTTAACCACACTGAGATTCTGTGCATATGCACGTATATCCCACATAGAGACTCGCTTGGTATACGTACATATTATGAATACACACCCTTCATCTCAAAACACCATGCCCCGCATACCCTATTAACATACACCTTTACAAACCATGCATTATGTTCTCAAGTACTATGCACATACATACAGAGACCCCGGATACACATATCCAGCACACGCACACATACACACACAAGCTTTAATAGATGTCACGCACAAATCCTGCAATTATAGAAATGTATATCCTATTCGACAGGTCTAAATCCACGTTGAACTCTCTGCTTTAATCAGCGCTTCCCATGAAAGAAAACGTCGCAAGTAAGCAGCCCTGTCTGAGGTTCTGAAGGCTTCCTCAGGCATTCCCCAGCGCTGGACCGGGTTGTGCCCATTTTCCCGGGGAGGAGGCCGAGGCGGACGGGGGGCGCGGCTAGGCCGTGGCCGCCGACCCCGCCCCTCCCGCGGAAGAGGTGTGACCAGCCCCGGCGCGTATTCCTGTCTCCACAGAAAAGTAGTTCCAATCCCATGTTTGTTAACTAGGTTATCTAGGCTGTGGAAGGTTTTAATGTTGAATTTTATAGCTTTACCACGCTCTGCCGTCCTTGTGAATATTGTAATATTGCATTTTTTACAAGTTACTCTTCTGTTAATGTTCCAGCTAGTAACTTTTATAATCCTCCTCAATGAAATTTTTTTGTATTCTTCCGCACCGTTAACCCCAATGGCGGAGCCTCGGCCCCTGGCAGGAGGCAGATACGAGATGAATTCCTCTTTAATCAGAAATAATAATAATAAAAACACACACGCGGCTCCGCTGCCTCTCGCTCCGGCTTCCCTCACCGCCGCCGCCGCCTGTCAGGGCCGCCTGTGGACCCTGCGGCCTAGGCCCAGGGCGGCTGCCGACAGACGGCGCCGGCGGCGGCTGGGGCGGGGCTGGGCTTCGGGCAGCGGGGCGCCCTGGGCAGTCCCTCCCGGACGCCCCTGCTCCCGGAAGCCGAATCTCTTCTTGACCCAGCTCTTCAGCCTCGGGCGCACGTTGTCTCTCTCTCTCTCCTGTCCGTCTTCCTGCCTGCGTCCATCTGTCTGGGCCTCTTTGCGGCTGACGCGGCCATTCACTCTCTCTGGCCTGCCTTTATATCCGCCTCTTTCTACCCGACCCCACTTCGTTGGTCTCTGTCTCTGCCCTTCTCCACGCCTTTCTCTGTTGTGGATCTCCTTTTTTCATCTGTCTAGCTTTCCTTTTTTTCCACCTCTTTATCCTCCACATTTCCGGTCTCTACATCCTCCCCTCCTTTTTTCTTCCCAGAAGGCCCTAAGCCACTTGGGGTGGGGAATAGGGAGTCCCATGTGATGGGATGGTCCCTGGTGAGTGAAGTGGGCTATTGGACCAGGTTGTGGCTGGGCTGGGATTGGGGTACGTTTGGAACCGCTAGATTAGGGGAGCATAAGAGAGGGTGATAGTTCTGTGGCCATGCAAAGGGAAGAGGTCAGCTGGGGAGGGAGTGGTGACCAAGGGTTGGGGGTGAAGGTTAAGTCAGAGGGGGCCTAGCTTATGGGGCCCTGGCCAAAGGAGCCCTGGTTTAGTGTCAGACACACTCTTGCCCTGGGATTCCTTCTAACTAATAGGAAAGATCCACCATAGAGGTGGGTGGGGCAGTGGTGGGGTGGGGGCATGAAGGAGGCTGTTACCTAGAAAGAGGGCTGCAGTTGGGGAGGAGTGTCGATGTGATGGAGTGGTGTACCCATGCTTTTGTGCTGGGGTGAAGAGCCTGTCTTCATTGATAGTAGCACCAAAAAACATGTTCAAGATTACAGTAGACCTCACAAATGCCTTCATTCAGTCAACAAATATTTATTGAGCATCTACTATGTGCTAGGCCCTGTGCTAGACCCAAGGAACACAATGATGAGTGAAAATACAGTTCTTGACCTCATGGAACTTATGGACTAGTGGAGGTGACAGACATTAATTAATCACAAATGTATCTTTGCAAACTGGAATCACTGCTAAGGATTGCTGAACTGGGGAAGAATATATTTCTGGGGCTTTCAGGGATCCTACAGGGGCTGAGTGAGGGGGTAGTATATTGGACTCAGGTCCTGCTATGAGTTCCAGGGTCACATTCCTAGGCTTCTCACCTTCCTCCCAATATTCAAGCTCCCAAGAAGTGGGAGGGACTCCAGAGGGCTGAACTTCCCAACTGAAGTGAGATTTTATCAGCTTCTCTAAAAGACTCCATGCCACTAGATTTTCCTAGCAACTCCCAGATCTGACAGCTACAGGACTCTCCTTCCTCATCATGCTGAAGGGATGGCGATCCCAAACGTGAGAACAAAGGTGTCCAACATCTGGAAAGCGGAGCCCTAGCGCAGCCAAACATCTGGAGCGCTAATCGCAGGAGCCGCCAGCGGCCCTAGACGTGGGGTCCAGGAAGGGGATGGGGAGTGGGGGGGCTCAGCTATCCGGGCACTCGATGCTCCTGTCCTCGCGCCCCCCAATCTGGACCTGGCGGGGAATTTGCCTCAGCGCAATTCTGAGTGCCGTCGCCCCCCGCCCCCGCCAGTGCCCCTGCGTGTACCCCCACCAGCGGAGTCCCAGGCCCTGCTCCCCAGTCCCACCTCCGCTGCGGGCCAGGAGCGTGCAGGTGAGGGGGATAGTGTTAAACGGGGACCTGGGGAGGGGAGAGGAAGAAGAACCAGAGGGGGAGAAGAGGGGGCGGGCGGAGCGGGGGCGCCCGGCGCGCCTGTGCCGAGCGCGAAAGCTGCGAGCGCCCGCGACAGTAAAACATCTGTAATGTGCCATTCGCCGCTGCTCGCTGATTGCTCATGGATTAAAGATTAAAATCTCGGCTTTGGCAGATGGGGAGAGAGAGGAAACTCTTATGAGCACGTTTTGCATCTGCATTTCATTCTGCTCTGTTCCCCGCGCCACGCCTGGTGGCGTCCGCCCCACCCCGCCCACCCAGCTCCCAGCTCCCCCTGCGCGGCCAGGCTGGCCCGCACCCGTCGGGCCTGCGGACCTCTTCCCATCCTTCCTGTCGCTGCCAGCCCTGGGATCCTGGCCCCCTCGTCTCTTTCTCATCCGGAGTTCCCGCCTCTAATCTAGTGCTGGTCACTTCCCCGCTCCCTTCTAGACTCCAGGCAGGACGCGGGGAACCTCCCCAGAAACGGAGTACGCTCCATTCCAGGAGCTGGTGGGCCACCCACATGCCTACCCTGCTAAGCTGGCTGCCTCCTGGGTACGGAGGCTGGGGAGGCCTGGGGCGCAGAAGGTGGATCCAACAGTGGTATTTCCGGCTATGGCGAAAAGTAACTGTGGCATAGCCAGGTGGGCTCAACTGGGCAATTGTTTCCCCTCTGCGTTTTTCACGCAGAGCTGCTGTGGAGGCAGGGGGTGGAGTAGGAGAAGAAACAGCGTCAGAAGGACTCCCAGGAGCTCACAACCCAGTGGTTGTGGCAGGAGAGTCCTGGAACAGGGCCTGTTCTGGTCTTTGGATAATCCCTGTAAATTAGCGTGGTCCTGGCCCACTGAGGAGTTGAAACATGCTCAGGCACCTTGGGTAGATCCACTGGCTTCCTCATTTGCCCCTTCCTCCCAGAATGTGTCCCTGGCATGGAACTTTGTTGGGGAGAGAAATCCAGGCAGAGAGAACTGGAGACAAAGGACTGTCAGAAAGACAGACGGGCATTAGAGACACAGAAAAAAGAACAAAAAGCTGCAGAGCAGCATGGCAGATGCGAGCACCTGCATCTGATGGTGGGGGGAGAAGGCTGGGGCGATGGACAGAGGGGGCTCTGCCTGGCTTTCAGGCTCCAACTGGGAGGAGGAGGTTGGTCTAGTGTGAGCAGAAGAAAAGCTGAAGAAGGATGAGCGAGAGGAGGGTCGCTGTGGCAGATGTAATTAATTACTGCATATTAAAATGTTTGTTTACAGAGATGAACAGTGGCCGGAGGTCTGATGGTAATTAATTCACAGCATTTCCCAGCCCTCTTTGAGCCTGAACCCCTCTGGGGGGCCTGGTGGAGGGGTGGACTGGGCTGGGTGAAGTGCTGGTTTGTTCTTGCACTCCGCTCACCAGGGACTGGAGTCCAGAATGCTGATGCTAGAGGGAACCTCAGACATCACCTACTCAAGCCCCACTCCACCACACACACTTGGGGAAATCGAGGCCAGACAGCAGTTGTGACTAGTGATTTGCCCAAGACCACCAGCTAGTCAGTGGTAGAACCAAGATCGTAGTCGGCTTCCTGTCAAGGTGTTCAAGGCCAAAGGAACATTGAAGCCATGGTGATCTTGGGCAGAGATGATATAACAGAGAGAGCAGAAAGGAGAATTAGGGCTACAGAAAAGGCTTGGAAAGGGGGAGATCCATTAGGGCCCTTTCTGGAGAGAAGATCAGAGTTCCACTCACTCTGGAGAGGTGGGGTGGGGCAGCATGGTTATCAGAAGGTAGCTTCTCCCCACCTCTGCACCAGGCCATGAGGAGGGAGGCAGAAGCTGTTAGCATCCTCAGCCTGAGGTTCTGATAGTCTGGCAAGCTTTGTGACCTTGGGGAAATAATGTGACCTCTCTGAGCCTTCGTTTCTTTATCAAATGGACACTTCCCTTGTAGGGCAGTTAGGAAGCGTGCAAGGGTTGTTAGGACTTTCACAGAGGAAACACGATAGTGGCACTTACCCCATGTGGCTGCCCCTGCTCCCACTTCTTCA
This sequence comes from Homo sapiens, assembly GCF_000001405.40. Classification (NCBI taxonomy): domain Eukaryota; kingdom Metazoa; phylum Chordata; class Mammalia; order Primates; family Hominidae; genus Homo; species Homo sapiens. The sequence goes on along the minus strand of NC_000010.11, from coordinate 100,711,916 downwards.
CTCACACATAGTCACTCTCAATAGCCGAGACACAAGCCAAAGTCATAAATATCCCTCAGCTGATTCACTCATTCACGAAGAAGTCAGCTGATGTGCAGGAGTAGGGAATGCAAGATGAAGAGGAGACTTGCTTGTTTTGTAGGAGCACACAGGATTCACAGCTATGAAGAGAGAATCAATGGTGAAGGCACAAAAGGAATGTCAGTCAAGTGAGGGATACAGATAGGAGTAGGGGGCCGAGGGGAGCCTGGAGAAGCTGGGCCCCAGGTTATGCCACAGAGGATGGGTAGGAGTAGGGTAGGAGTAGAGGAGGAGGAAGTTCTGTTGTGGAGCTGGGCATGGCCAGGGGTTCCTAGGCAGAAGGCAGGGGAGGCCTGCCTGCCCCCCTTAAGCCCTGGAGCCCAGAGGGAGCCCACATAGGCCTCTTATTTGGTGGGGCTGAGTAGGGGGACTCCTCATTTTCTCTTACAGGCTCTGCTTTTTTCATACCAACTCTGGGGCTGCTGGTAGAGCAGGCAAATTTCCCCTCATATCTCAAGACCAAGAAATGGAGTAGGAGGCTGGGGAGAGGGACAGGAGAGCAGATATTGGGAGGAGGAGGAGTCGGGGTAAGCAGAAAGCCAGCTGTAGAATGAATGAGGGCATCTGAGATGAATGGGGCACTTGCTGTCTGAAGGGGCTGGGCTGGAGGAAGATGAGAACTACAGGGCTATGTATTTGTCTGGGGATTTGAAGGACAGGGTGTGTGTGTGTGCGTGTACAGGAGGGCACAAGTGTTCATGTGTTCTTGGGCCAGTGGCCATCACTACAAGGACATGCTGGCAGGCATGAACATACGTGTGAGTGTGTGTGGATGTGTGCCCCTGGGTATCTGAGTGTCCATGTGTGAGGAAATGCAGAGGGGCTACTTGTGCACATGTAGGCCTTTCCCCTACAGCCAGCACTCCTCCCCACACCCCTGCAGCCTCTGCAAGGTGAAGTGGGAGGAGGGCCAGCGTCCAGGGAGGGAGATGGAGAGGGGTCACCTCCTGGCCTGGTCTGACCCCCAGGACCCTTCCTGCATGCTCTAGCCTTTCTCCCTGTGGGCTGGATCAGCTCCAGGGCCTGGAGTCCAGGTGGGAGGTGGCAGAGCTCCTTCAAACAGCCCTTCTGCTCTAGCTTGGCTTTTATGGGGGTGGGAGAGGGGGTGTTTATTACAAACGGACGCAAAAAGACAAAACAAGCCCAGGAGACACAGATCCGCAAAAAGACAGGAAAACCCACCTGTCACCTCACACCCGGGGAAGCCCCTCTACATGTTGCTTTCTTTCCAGTCTGATTTCTATGTCAACACGGGGAAAACAGAAGCGGAGTCGTGTAGCGCCAACTGTGGGCTGCCCCTTCCCCCCGCCCTGCGCCTGCCCGGCGCCCCTCTTTACCCCATCCTTGTCACCCCCAACTGCCGGGCAGAAGCTCCTCCCGTCCTAGGCCACATGGGAGGGGTCGGTGGCTACTTGTTGGGCCAGGACCAGCGGCTAGGGCGCCCCAGGCCGGCTGGGCTGGCAGCAGGAGCGCGGGACGCGGCGCCCGGGAGGAGCCGCGGGAGGGCAGGAGTGGAGGGAGGCGGGGCGGAGCTGTCGCTTCCCATCAGGCGCAGGATTGTTCCCGACACGCGCAGGCCCCGCGGCGTTTCTGTGTCAGGGAGTTTTGCAGGCGCCGTGACCCATACGAGGGGGGTCGGGCTGCGCGCGGGGAGCGGCCAAGAGTGACCAGCGCGGCCGGCCGCATCATCACCACCTGGCCGGGTCACTGCTTCCCTCTTCTGCCCGGAGCGCCGCGGAGGGAGGGGCTCCTGGGGGATGGGGGCGCGGGGCGCGGGTTTCTCCCGGTGTCACTGTCTCCCAACCCTCAGGGAAGGGCAAGCGGGAGAAGCATTTCCCACACAGAGAAGGCGCCGAGAGACAGGAGAAATCAGCACCCTGGGCCTCAGTTTCTTCCCTTCGAAACTGGGGAGGGGGAGGTCCCTGAAATTAGAATGCCCTGTTCCCTGAGAAGTGGATGGGGTCACCGACTGGAGAATGCAGTGCCTGAGGGTGGGCAAATCCCCTCAAGAGGCACGGGGAGGCATCTCGCCTTGGTCAGCCCCCAAAGCCAGAGCTGCTCAAATAGGACTGGAGCCTGAACTCCCACGGAGAGAGCCGAGGGAACTGGAAGGCTGGGGTGGGGGTGTCTATGCAAATCAGATGATAATCGGGGTGTGAGTGGCCAAGTTTCCAGAGCAGGAATAGGGTGGAGGAGGGGCTGCAGGGAGGGAGGGGCAGGCTCCTGACCTCTTCCCCCAACCCACTGGTCCCATCTGAAGTCTGCCGGCTCCCATCTTCCGCACTTAATGATTTTGACGGGCCCCACCCGCACACCATCGGGGCCTTTGTGTCTGCAAGACCAATGGCCCCTCTCCTGGGCCCACCCATCAGTCACCCGGAGCTCCAGCTGTTCCCAGCCTTTAGAGCAACCTCGGCCATCACCACTACAAATTGGCTCTCGACAGCCACTTGGAGACCCCTTCTCTGCCATTGTCTTGGGACAAATGGCCCTTCCCCTGCACATGGCCCCACAGGCCCACCCTAGGCTGCCTGCTGCTTCTGGGAAGGAGGGGGCCCACCAGGTTCCTCCGGGAAGCCTCGTCCTCCCCCAACCCCAATAATCTAGCCAGTCTGGGCCAGCACACTGTGGCCACTGCCTAGACACTCCATATCCTTTCCTCAGTCAGTTCCGGTTCAGGAGCCCCAAGACTGAATCTCCTTCTTTTTCCCTCACAGCACCAAGGGCTGAGGAAGTCTAACTACATAAAGATGCTCCTTGACGATAATGGGGTTACATCGGATAAACCAATCACAAATTGAAAATATCCTAAGTTGAAAATGCATTTAGTACACCTAGCCTAGTGTATGAAACTTACTTTAACCTAGCTTGCCTTAAATGGGTTCAGAACACTTACATTAGCTTACAGGGTAAGGGCAAAGTCATCTAACACAAAGCCTATTTTATAATAAAGTGTTTAATATCTCATGTAATTTACTGAATATTGTACTCAAAGTGAAAAACAAAATGGTATTATGGGTACTCAAAATATGATTTCTACTGAATGTGTATCATTTTCACATTATGGTAAAGATAAAAAAAATTGTATTGGCAGGGTGAGGTGGCTCACGCCTGTAATCCCAGCCCTTTGGGAGGCCGAGGCAGGCAGATCACCTGAGGTCAGGAGTTCAAGACCAGCCTGACCAACATGGAGAAACCCCGTCTCTACTAAAAAATACAAAATTAGCAGGGCATGGTGGCACATGCCTGTAATCCCAGCTACTCGGGAGGCTGAGGCAAGAGAATTGCTTGAAACTGGGAGGCAGAGTTTGTGGTGAGCCGGGATGGCGCCATTGCACTCCAGCCTGGGCAGCAAGAGTGAGACTCCACCTCAAAAAATAAATTACATTAATAAGTCAAACCAGCATGAGTTGGGGGCTTGTGTACTTGTTGACTGAAGCTGAAGTGAAGGGTAAAAAAGGAGGGAGGGAAGGATTGGTGGAGGAGGGCCTGGGAACCGGGGGCTGGGGTTCCCAGGAGCCACCATGGCCAAGCACAGAGCCAAGACAATTACATGCCTAGTTTTGCTGATTGCATTAAAATCATAAGAATGAGGGGTCTGGAAGTCATACATTAAAGCGTAGAATTGGAAGGGGCTTTAGAGACTGGCACAGGCATCCCCAAAGTGAATCTGACACAATTAGCTGGAACTGTGTTATACAAGCAGGCTCTTTCACATACTGGCTCAGTGGCCTTCTTGGCACTCTCGCCACCGCCAAACTCTACCCCGTCCTCCCCTTCCTTCTCCTTTTTTCTCCCCCTTGCAGGATCTCTGCTCAAACTTTCTCCTCACTCCTCCTCCTCTTTTGGTCTCTTTCTCTCTCACATTTCCACCTTTCCCCTCCAGTGCTGGCTTGCCCAGCGTGTGTTAAGGAGTAGGCCTGAGAGGAGACAGCGGGTGGGGACTTTGGCTTTGGGGCTGGAAGACAGACGGAGCAAGACACCCCCCATGGAGTCTGCCCTCAGTTAAAATGCCCATCTTGGCAACTGTCCCAGTGTCAGTGCCAGGGCAGCAGGAGAGTTAAAATGGTGTGGTTTGGGGTGAGGATGGAAATGGGCCTGTCTGTGTGTCTGTGTGAGAGGAAGCCTGAATGTTAAGATCTGGCTGAGATTTTTAGTCTCCGGCTGCCTGTATGATAGTATCAGTGTGTGTATGTTGTGTGTGTCCCTGCTAAGGCTTAAGCCTGTATGTAGCTGGTCTTTCTCCAATGGACATCAGTTGGAGTTCTGGGAAGGGGAGCTGGGTGCATCTCTTTAGATCTTAAGGAGCAGTGGGTGGGCTGGGGGCTGGGCTGCACTGAGGTGGGCTCAGGCCCGGCTGGATTGGGCTGGTGTAGGGAGGGCCTGTTGTGGCAGTGGTGAATGGGCCTATCTGGCTAGGGGAATGGTGGAGAAAGGACAGGGCGTGAGTGGGGGTGGAAAATGGAATTGCCAGCCTGGAATGAATGGATGGTGGAGTTTCTCTTTTGTAACCGGGAATAATTAAGATAGATGTGCGGATGGATTAGCTGTCCTGCAAGGTCAGGAGCGCATTGCCGGATCACTCTATTATTTCGCTGCGCCACAGCTACCCAGCTAACGCCTTTTTCATGATATTTTGAACATCCACACAGAAAAAACCAAGTGAGTGGACGAGAGATACAAATGGATCGTTTGGTGGAGAAATCCGTCTTCGTCACCGCCGCCAGGCTGGGATTAATGCGACTGAAGGCTCCTCCAGGCTCCGCCAGGGAGACGGCTCGGGAAAGCAAGAGAAATTGGTTTGTACCCCTGGGAGCACGATTGATGGGCCAGGCCTGCCAGGCTGGGCTGGGCCACCATGTTCTCAGGCTGGACTGGGGGTGGGGAAATGGGTCTGGGGCCTGGCCTTGGCCTGGGTGGTGCCTTGCCCTGTGAGAGAAGCCTAGACTGGCCTAGAACCCACAGGAGCTCGCTTTGGAGGCTGTGATGGAATGACAAGGACAGTCTCAGGCTCTGATGCCCCAGCTGGGCTGAGGGACTTTGGGGAAAGAACAGGAATGGAGGAGCCTATTTCCCAGTGACACCCCTCTTTCTGAGTGGCCAAGGATATGCTCCAAATGCCTACCAGGATGCAGGACTTCGGGGAGACAGTCTGGACCCAAGGGAGCTGTGACCCATCTATTCTTAGAGCAAACATTTACTGAGCCTGCACCACGTGCCAGACACTGCAATGAACACAAACGATGTCTGTCCTCACGAAGCTTGTAGTCTAACTGGGAGGACAAACATTGAACAAGTCATTCCTGCCTGGGTGATAGGGCTGTGATAGGAGCTGATGGAGAACTCTTCACCAGCCTGATGGAGGAGACAGAATCTACCCTGAGGGAGGTCAAATGACTCATCCAAATTTACACAGCTAGTGAATGGCACAGCAAGGACTAGAAAGAAAGTCCTTAGCCTAAAAGTTACTGCAGAATCATACTAACCTGATGGAGGAGACAAGGTCTTCAGTCTCTGACCATGGTAGATATGTGAGCCTCATTTGAGGAAGCAGGAGAGGGAAGCAGTGCACACTTATGTACCAGTAGGTATGCACGTGTGTGCACACACACAAACACACACACACACATTCACATACATGCAGTGAAGATGGCCTCAGTGAGATAATCAGAGAAAGTATGGATCTTTTTTTTTTTTAAGATGGAGTTTCGCTCTTGTTGCGAAGGCTGGAGTGCAATGGCGCAATCTCAGCTCACCACAACCTCTGCCTCCCAGGTTCAAGGGATTCTCCTGCCTCAGCCTCCCGAGTAGCTGGGATTACAGGTGCCCATCACCACGCCCAGCTAATTTAGTATTTTTAGTAGAGACGGGGTTTCTCCATGTTGGTAAGGCTGGTCTCGAACTCTTGACCTCAGGTGATCTGCCCGCCTTGGCCTCCCAAAGTGCTGGGATTACAGGCGTGAGCCACTGTGCCTGGTCTGCTTTTGTTTTTACTTGTTAAATGTATATGGTAAGAAAGAATTTTTTTTTTTTTGAGACGGAGTCTAGCTCTGTTGCCCAGGCTAGAGTCCAGTGGCGTGATCTCAGCTCACTGCGAGCTCCACCTCCTGGGTTGATGCCATTCTCCTGCCTCAGCCTCCTGAGTAGCTGGGACTACAGGCGCCCGCCACCACGCCCGGCTAATTTTTTTGTATTTTTAGTAGAGACAGGGCTTCACCGTGTTAGCCAGGATGGTTTCACTGTGTTAGCCAGGATGATCTCCTGACCTCATGATCCACCCGCCTCAGCCTCCCAAAGTGCTGGGATTACAGGCGTGAGCCACCGCGCCCGGCAGAAAGAATTTAAACATTATAATCGAGTGAAATTAAGTCCCCTCTTACTCTTCACCTTCAGTCCATTAATTTTCCTTCTCAGAAGCAACTGCTGGTATCATTTATGTATGTGTGTATGTATCTTTTTTTTTTTTTTTTTTTGAGATGGAGTTTCACTCTTGTTGTCCAGACTAGAGTGCAATGGCGCCACCTTGGCTCATTGCAACCTCTGCCTCCCAAGTTCAAGTGATTCTCCTGCCTCATCCTCCAGAGTCGCTGGGATTACAGGCGCCCTCCACCATGCCTGGATAATTCTTCTTTGCATTTTTAGTAGAGATGGGGTTTCACTATGTTGGCGAGGATGGTCTTGAACTCCTGACCTCAGGTGATCCACCCGCCTCAGCCTCCCTAAGTGCTGGGGTTAGAGGTGTGAGGCACTGTGCCCAGCTGCGTGTGTGTATCTTTGTAGGAATATTCTCTACATTGGGCCAGATGCAGTGGCTCACTCCTGTAATCCCCAGCACTTTGGGAGGTCATGTGATACCTCGTTTCTACAAAAAATACAAAATTAGCTGGGCGTGTTGGCCAGTGTCTGTACTCCCAGCTGCTTGGAAGACTGAGGTGGGAGAATGGCTTAAGCCCAGGAGGTGGAGGTTGCAGTGATTGTGCCACTGCACTCCAGCCTGGGTGACAGAGCCAGACCCAGTATCAAAAAAAAAAAAAAAGAAAGAAAGGAAGAAAGAAATATTCTCTACATTCACAAATGATAGCAAACTGCAGACAGTGTTCTGCATATTTTTGTTTAATTTAAAAAATTATTTTGGAGATTATTAGAGATTATTAAAATCTCCCTTTTTCTTTTTTACCAGCAGTGTAGTATTCCACGGTGAGGATGTCCTGTGACTTATTTAACCAGTGCTGACGTGCATTTAAGTTGTTACCAGTCTTCTACTGTTGCTATAGTGACTATCCTTGAAGTCAAATGGCTGGGTGGAAGAGAATGTGTAAGAGGGAGTTTTGGCTTGGGTTTGAAGGGAGAAAGAGCAGCGACATAAGAGGAGTAAGAGGAGATGGAGAGGGCAGAGGGGCCAGGGTGATGGTGGGCATAGTGGAGACAGCAAGGGGCTCTGAGCCAGGGAGGCTGGAGGCTTGTGTCCCAGTCTTGGTTCTGTTTTTTACTACTCCTGTGTTCTTTACTTGTTCTGTGACCTTGAGAAAATTACTGAATTTATCTGAACCTCTCTTTTTTGTAAAATGGGGAGAACAATATGAACCTCACTGATTCATTGTGAGGTTTAAAAATAATTTCCATAGCCTTGTAGTATAGTTTGAAGTCAGGTAGCGTGATGCCTCCAGCTTTGTTCTTTTGGCTTAGGATTGACTTGGCGATGCGGGCTCTTTTTTGGTTCCATATGAACTTTAAAGTAGTTTTTTCTAATTCTGGGAAGAAAGTCATTGGTAGCTTGATGGGGATGGCATTGAATCTATAAATTACCTTGGGCAGTATGGCCATTTTCACGATATTGATTCTTCCTACCCATGAGCATGGAATGTTCTTCCATTTGTTTGTATCCTCTTTTATTTCATTGAGCAGTGGTTTGTAGTTCTCCTTGAAGAGGTCCTTCATGTCCCTTGTAAGTTGGATTCCTAGGTATTTTATTCTCTTTGAAGCAATTGTTAATGGGAGTTCACTCATGATTTGGCTCTCTGTTTGTCTGTTATTGGTGTATAAGAATGCTTGTGATTTTTGTACATTGATTTTGTATCCTGAGACTTTGCTGAAGTTGCTTATCAGCTTAAGGAGATTTTGGGCTGAGACAATGGGGTTTTCTAGATATACAATCATGTCATCTGCAAACAGGGACAATTTGCCTTCCTCTTTTCCTAATTGAATACCCTTTATTTCCTTCTCCTGCCTAATTGCCCTGGCCAGAACATCCAACACTATGTTGAATAGGAGTGGTGAGAGAGGGCATCCCTGTCTTGTGCCCGTTTTCAAAGGGAATGCTTCCAGTTTTTGCCCATTCAGTATGATATTGGCTGTGGGTTTGTCATAGATAGCTCTTATTATGAGATACGTCCCATCAATACCTAATTTATTGAGAATTTTTAGCATGAAGTGTTGTTGAATTTTGTCAAAGGCCTTTTCTGCATCTATTGAGATAATCATGTGGTTTTTGTCTTTGGTTCTGTTTATATGCTGGATTACATTTATTGATTTGTGTATATTGAACCAGCCTTGCATCCCAGGGATGAAGCCCACTTGATCATGGTGGATAAGCTTTTTGATGTGCTGCTGGATTCAGTTTGCCAGTATTTTATTGAGGATTTTTGCATCAATGTTCATCAAGGATATTGGTCTAAAATTCTCTTTTTTGGTTGTGTCTCTGCCCGGCTTTGGTATCAGGATGATGCTGGCCTCATAAAATGAGTTAGGGAGGATTCCCTCTTTTTCTATTGATTGGAATAGTTTCAGAAGGAATGGTACCAGTTCCTCCTTGTACCTCTGGTAGAATTCAGTTGTGAATCCATCTGGTCCTGGACTCTTTTTTGTTGGTAAGCTATTGATTATTGCCACAATTTCAGAGCCTGTTATTGGTCTATTCATAGATTCAATTTCTTCCTGGTTTAGTCTTGGGAGGCCTCAGAAATAACGCTGCATATCTACAACTATCTGATCTTTGACAAACCTGACAAAAACAAGCAATGGGGAAAGGATTACCTATTTAATAAATGGTGCTGGGAAAACTGGCTAGCCATATGTAGAAAGCTGAAACTGGATCCCTTCCTTACACCTTATACAAAAATTAATTCAAGATGGATTAAAGACTTAAACGTTAGACCTAAAACCATAAAAACCCTAGAAGAAAACCTAGGCATTACCATTCAGGACAAAGGCATGGGCAAGGACTTCATGTCTAAAACACCAAAAGCAATGGCAACAAAAGGCAAAATTGACAAATGGGATCTAATTAAACTAAAGAGCTTCTGCACAGCAAAAGAAACTACCATCAGAGTGAACAGGCAACCTACAAAATGGGAGAAAATTTTCGCCACCTACTCATCTGACAAAGGGCTAATATCCAGAATCTACAATGAACTCAAACAAATTTACAAGAAAAAAAATCCCATCAAAAAGTGGGTGAAGGACATGAACAGACACTTCTCAAAAGAAGATATTTATGCAGCCAAAAAACACATGAAAAAATGCTCATCATCCCTGGCCATCAGAGAAATGCAAATCAAAACCACAATGAGATACCATCTCACACCAGTTAGAATGGCAATCATTAAAAAGTCAGGAAACAACAGGTGCTGGAGAGGATGTGTAGAAATAGGAACACTTTTACACTGTTGGTGGGACTGTCAACTAGTTCAACCATTGTGGAAGTCAGTGTGGCGATTCCTCAGGGATCTAGAACTAGAAATACCATTTGACCCAGCCATCCCATTACTGGGTATATACCCAAAGGACTATAAATCATGCTACTATAAAGACACATGCACACGTATGTTTATTGCAGCACTATTCACAATAGCAAAGACTTGGAACCAACCCAAATGTCCAACAATGATAGACTGGATTAAGAAAATGTGGCATATATGCACCATGGAATACTATGCAGCCATAAAAAATGATGAGTTCATGTGCTTTGTAGGGACATGGATGAAATTGGAAATCATCATTCTCAGTAAACTATCCCAAGGACAAAAAACCAAACACCGCATGTTCTCACTCATAGGTGGGAATTGAACAATGAGAACACATGGACACAGGAAGGGGAACATCACACTCTGGGGACTGTTGTGGGGTGGGGGGAGGGGGGAGGGATAGCATTAGGAGATATACCTAATGCTAAATGACGAGTTAATGGGTGCAGCACACCAGTATGGCACATGTGTACATATGTAACTAACCTGCACATTGTGCACATGTACCCTAAAACTTAAAGTATTATGATAATAAAATAAAATAAAATAAAAAATAATTTCCATGATTATATATAGAAAAATAGGTGGACTTACTCTGTAATAAAAGCAACAATGATCTCTGGATAGTGGTATCTGAAATGTTCTATTTTTTCTTTTATATCATCTGCATTAGCTGTGTTGTCTAAAATTTCTACAGTACACATGCATTATTTTCACAATCAGAAAGAAATAATATGGACTCTAGATGATTTTTGTGGGGCAGTGGGAGAGGTAGAGGTAGGAGCGTAGGCTGAAATATTTGGTCAAGATTACTTTGCAGAGACTGCAGGGATGGGTTGGATTTACAGAAGAATAGAGTTGGCTAGAAAGACCACATCACTGGAGAACATGAGCGAGCAAAAGCATGGAGATGACAAAGCATCAGTGGGCAAAGTTGTCCAGTTTAGCAGCAGCAGAGTCTTCTTGTTAATTTCACTCACTCATTCTTTTCACAAGCATCTTCCGAGCACAGATTCTGGCCAGGTACTGTGCTCTGCCCTGGTGCTGTTTTGTGTTATGGTGATCATAACAGAAGCTTTGTGGACCTTATGACAATTGGAGACGTTCACAGAGAGGTATAAATCGCTCCTGTGAAATGTCAACAGGAGCGGCTTGGGCTGTCTGAGAGCCTCGCGTAGAGTGTGGCCTAGTTAGTGAGGTGAAGAAAGCATTCCTAGAGGAAGTCCCCAGGGCATTAAACCAAGATTGGAAGGACAAATAGGTGTCGACCAAGCAAAGAAGAAAGGTAAGCGTGTTTCAGGAAGAGGGAACAGCAAAGTGGATGGCCCAGTTGCAGAGGAAGCCTGGTGAGTAAGAGGGATGAGGTCAGAGGGTGAAGGGAAAGGGTCCGGAGGCATTGGCAGACTGGGCAGTCGAAGTCCTCATAGATTGTAAGAATTTTGGACATGAGAGCAGTGGGGACCATGGAAGAGTTTAAAAGTCCAGAGGAACACGATCAGGCTTGTGTTTTGAGCAGTCCCTGCTGGCAGCAGAGAGTGGAGATAACGTAAATCAGTGAGGAGACCCCTGGGAATGGAGGGTGATAATGTGAATGAGGGGAGTGGTGATGAAGATGGAAGGAAAAGGATGGGATTAGCAGAAAAGGAGTGGGAGAAAAGGCTGAAGAGATATAGCAGGGCATTGCTGTAAGTCCCAGCTGAAGAGTTTAATCACCAGTTAGATACCTGGAGCCATTGATAGTGATATTCTAAAAACCTCCATTCATAGAGTAGACTGTCTACCTTTGCTGGACCATGCACAACTATTTTTTGCATGCTTATCTCATTTAATACTTGTGGCTACACTATGAGGATGGTACTATTACTCTCATTTGGTGGGTGGATTAAGCAGCTTGATCTGGGTCACCCACCACTAAGAGGTGGACCTGGGATTTACACCCTGCATTCTGGTTGCAGAGTATAACCACCAGGCTACACTGTCACGGGAGCTTTTCAGCAGAAAAAGGATGTGAGCAGGGTTGTGACTTTGGAAAATTAATCTGGTGGCAGTGAGCAAGATGGACGGGTTTGGGCAGAGGTGAGATCAGGGAGTCTGGGTCATGGTGAGACCAAAGGAATGGGGAGGAAGGGATGGATTTGGAGGCCATTGTAAATAGATAGGATTGAAGATGTGTATTAGTTATCTACAGATAGGATTGAAGGTGTGTATTATCTATTGCTGCTGTAAAAATATACCACAAACTTTGTGGCTTAAAACAACACCTATTTTTTCTTAAATCTTAGTTCTATAGGTTGAAAGTCTTGGCAGGCGTAATTGATTTCTCTCTTAGTCTCACAAGGCTAAAATCAAGGTGTGAGCCTGTCTGAGCTCTTCTTTGAGGCTCTGGGGAAAGAATCTGCTTTCACTGTCATTCTTGTTGGCAGAATTCAGTTCTTTGCTATAATAGGACTCAGGTCCGTGTTTCCTTGCTGGCTGTCAGGTGGGGGTCATTCTCCTAAAAACCACTCTCTGGTGCCTGCATATGGACCCTCTGTCTTCCAAGCCAGCAACAGTACGTTATTTTTGTGATTTGAATACCTCCAGTTGCCTCTATCAGCAGCCAGAGAAAACATTCTGCTCTGAAAGGGCTCCTGTGATTAGACTTGACCTACCCAGATTATCTCCCTTTTGCTATGTAACATAATCAGGGAGCAACACCAGGAGGCGAAAGTCATGGGGTCATCTTAAAATTCTGTGTAATCATACGACCACTTGTATTACACGTCTTGGAAAGGTGGGTGGGGAGGGATGTCAGAAGAGGTGGTGTGGGGACAAGATGGCCCTGAGGTTTGGAAACTGAATAATTGGGAACCCAGAAGAGTTGGTTTGGGAGGCTGGAAAGATAATGAGGTGGGTTTCGAGGTGGACACATAGAGCAGTTAGAAATGGGAATTGCAACTTGGCGTGGTGGCTCACGCCTGTAATCCCAGCACTATCGGAGGCTGAGGCAGGCAGATCACAAGGTCAAGAGATTGAGACCATCCTGGCCAACACGGTGAAACCCTGTCTCTACTAAAAATACAAAAATTAGCCAGGCGTGGTGGCACGTGCCTGTAGTCCCAGCTACTCGGGAGGCTGAGGCAGGAGAATTGCTTGAACCTGGGAGGCGGAGGTTGCAGTGAGCCGAGATCTTGCTTGCTTGCACTCCAGCTTGACGACAGAGCAAGACTCTGTCTCAAAAAAAAAAAAAAAAAAAAAAGGAAAAGAAATGGGAATTGCCTCTCAGCAGAGTGGTGATATTGCATTCTTTTCTACTTTGTTATTGAGATACGCTGCACAGACAGGAAAGAACACCAATCTGAGTGTACAGCTCAGTGAGCTCTCCCATATGTGGACACCTGTGCCAACACCCTTAGATCAAGATTTCCAGCCTCCCCCAACCAAGTTCCCTGTGCTTCTTCCCAGCCATGATTCCCCGTGGGTGACCACTATTCTGACCACAATCGATTGCCATAAATTAGTTTGGCCTGTGCTTGAGCTTCATATACACGGAACCATACAGCATCTTCTCATCAAATATTGATAATTTATTGGGTGCCAGGTATTGTGCCAGGCTCTGCAGATGCAACAAGACAGACAAGGTCCCAGCCCTTGTGGAAGTTCTGCCCAGAAGGAAGAGATCACTACTGTTGGAGGCAACAGGATGACCCAGGGGGAGAGTGTGGACAAAGTAGAAAGATCGTAAAGGTGAAACTGGGAGAAATGCTGAAGTATGGGGTGGGAGTGGGGCAGGGTGATCGGAGGATGGAGGGAAGTTGGAGTGTGCAGCAGCGCAGAAACAGAAGAGAGAGCTCTTCAAGAGGGAGAGGCCGTCAACAGCGTCGCATGCTGCTGAGAGGTTAATCAACACATATTTATGGAGCATCTGCTTTGTACAAGGCTAGGGATGGAGTGGAATAGAGAGTGACATAAAACTCCCTGCAATAACGATCTCTGATATGCTTATAGAGGTAAGAGAAGGCCCTGGCAGAGGGTAGAGGGGGTGTGCGTGGAAACGCTATAAAATTCAAATATGATCATGTCATCACCCTGCTTAAAACTCTCCTATGGCTTTCCATTGCCACTGGGACTAAGATCAAAACTTCACCATGGCTTCCCCGTCCCTTGTGGTCTGACCCCTGTCAACTTCTGTAGCCTTTGACCCTTACCTTTCTCCCTGTTACTCTGACTTCCAGGCATCCTGGCTGCCTCTTTCCTCCTTGTTCTGCTCCCTCCTGCCCCAGGGCCTTTGCATGCATCATTTCTTTTGCCTAAAACTCTCTTCTTCTCCCTGCTACCCCTCGAGAGACCTAGTTAACTATGCCCACCATTATTCACATCTCAGGTCAACGATCATCTACTTAGAGAAGACTTCCCTGATTTTCCTGCTTGAAAGAGTTCCCTATGTTTTGCACTCCCACAGCCTGCTTTACCGACACTTATGGTGGGTCATTATATATCTGTGTGATTACTGCATCAGTGTTTCCCTCTCTCATGTATCAGAGACTTTCAAGAGAGCAGGAATCTCATCTGCTAACGATTGTCAGTGATTCCCCAGCAGCTAGCTTAGCGAGGGCTCAATAAGTAATTGCTGAAGGAATGTGTTTATGAATCTGAAGTCAGAAGGTCTGTCTTTGAGCCCTGGATATGTGACCTTGGATATGCAGCTTTCTTTTCTTCCCTGGGACTCAGTTTCATCATCCATAAAATGAAGGGATAGACTCTCAAAGGGTTTCTCTGGCTTGATGTCCTTGGATTCAATGACTTACACTCATAAGAATGTCACTGGGCTGCCTGCCAGCACATTAGCATTGATATCACTAAGTGCTGAGTAAGAAGGTGCAAAACATCTAGTGCTTTTAGAGACAGGACAGAGCAGTGTGATCTAGGATGTTCAGAGAAGACTTCCTGGAAGAGGTGGGTAGGAATGAATTAATAGATGGAGACAATAGAGATTTTTAAGAGCCAGAGAAGGGCTGGGGCGCCAAATGTGACAGGAGGCAATAAGGAGACTGGCCTAGCCAGAGCCCGAGGGAAGGATCCAGCTCTCTTTAAATAGCAGAGGCCCAATGTATTAGTTTTCTGTTGCTGCAGTGACAATTGACCACAAACGCAGTGGCTTAAAACAACAAAATTTATTATCTTACAGTTCTGGAGGTCAGAGTACAAAGTTAGTCTCATTGGGCTAAAGTCAGGATGTTAACAGGGCCTGTTCCTTCTGCAGGCTGGAGGGGAGAATCTGTGTACTTGTCTTTTCCAGCTTCTAAAGGTCATCCTCATTTCTTGGCTTGTGGTCCTGAATCACATCACCTTTTTCTTTGACTTCGACTTTGTTGCCTCCCTTGTGGTTACATTGTGCACACTCTGATAATCCAGGATGACCTCAAAATCATTAACATAGTTACATCTGGAAAGTCCCTTTTATCATGTCTCGCTTTTCTTTTCTTTTCTTTCTTTCTCTTTCTTCTTTCTTTCTCTTTCTTCTTTTTTTCTTTCTCTTTCTTTCTTTCTCTCTTTCTCTCTCTCTCTCTCTCCCTTCCTCCCTCCTTCTCTCCCTTCCTTCCTTCCTTCCTCTCTCTCTCTTTCTTTCTTTGTTTTTCTTTCTTTCAGAAGGAGTCTGTTGCCCAGGCTGGAATGCAGTGGCATGATCTTGGCTCACTGCAACCTCCGCCTCCTGGGTTCAAGTGATTCTCGTCCCTCAGCCACAGAAGTAGCTAGAATTACAGATGTGTGCCACCATGCCCGGCTATTTTTTTTCTTTTTTTTTTGTATTTTTGTAGAGACAAGGTTTCACCATATTAGCCAGGCTGGTCTCGAACACTTGACCTCAAGTGATCTGCCTGCCTTGGCTGCCCAAAGTGCTGGGATTATAGGCGTGAGCCACCGTGCCCGGCCGGTAATCTCTTTTATCATGTGAGGTAAATATTCACAGGTTCTGGGCATTAGGATTAGGATAAGGACTTTTTTTTTTTTTTTTTTTTTTTTTGAGAGGGAGTTTCGCTCTTGTTGCCCAGGCTGGAGTGCAATGGCATGATCTTGGCTCACCGCAACCTCCACCTCCCAGGTTCAAGTGATTCTCCTGCCTCAGCCTCCCTAGTAGCTGGGATTACAGGCATGTGATACCATGCCTGGCTAATTTTGTATTTTTAGTAGAGACAGGTTTTCTCCATGTTGGTCAGGCTGGTCTCGAACTCCCGACCTCAGGTGATCTGCCCACCTCGGCCTCCCAAAGTGCTGGGATTACAGGCATGAGCCACCGCGCCCGGTATAGGATAAGGACATCTTTGAGTGGCTATTTTTCAGCCTATCGCACCCTGGTAGTTATTCATGTGGTCTCTGGAACCAGAATGTCTCAGTGCAGGCATTGGCTTTGTCACTCATTTACTAACTCACTCATTCACGAGGACATAAAGAGGTTAAATAACTTACCTAGGCCTAATCCTAGGATCCTAGCGGTCATCATGGTGGGTCATAACTTACCCAGGCTTAATCCTAGGATCTCAACCCCTTCATGCCCTAGTTGTCTTATTTGTAAAATATGGAACTAGTAGGATTCACCTAATTTGTTTTGATTATTGATTGTTGTATGACATAGCACCCCAGATTTCAGTAGCTAAAACTGATTTTTTAAATGTTTCATGAGTCTGGGGGTTGGCTGGGCTCAGCTGGGCATTTCTTCTGCTCTTTGTAGTGCTGGCTGAGTTCCCTCCCACAGCTGCATTCATGTGGAAACTCAGCTGGGATTGGAACATCCAAGATGGCCCCACTGACATGCCTGGCAGTGGCTGCTGGCTGGAAAACCTTGGCACTCCTTCATGCCACCTCTCACCCTGCAGGGCCTTTCTGTCTCCACTGGCTTCTCCAGCTGAAGAGTTCAGACTTCTTACATGGTAGCTGGCCTCCAACGGGGTGACTATGGAAGGTGCGAGCTCTCTTAAGGCCTAAGCCCAGAAAGTGTCACTTCTGTTGCATTCTGTTGGTCCAAAAATCACATGGCCAGCCCAGATTCAGAGGGATGGGAAATAGACTCCACCTCTTATGCAAAGTCATATGGCACAAGTCTCGTGGGATGCACCTGCTATGGCAATTGTAAGAATTCTGTGAATTGGAACCTGTAAAAGAACTTAGAACAGTGCCAGCTTCCTAGAAAGTGCTCAATACTTTTTAAAAAGCTCAGGCTTGGCCAGACACAGTGGCTCACGCCTGTAATCCCAGCACTTTGGGAAGCTGAGGGGGGAAGATTGCAAGGTCAGGAGTTCGAGCCTGGCCAACATGGCAAAACCTCATCTCTACTAAAAATACAAAAATTAGCCGCGTGTGGTGGTGGGCACCTGTAGTCCCAGCTACTCCGGAGGCTGAGGCAGGAGAATTGCTTGAACCTGGGAGGTGGAGGTTGCAGTGAGCCCAGATCAAGCCACTGCACTCCAGCCTGGGTGACAGATCAAGACTCCGTCTTGGGGGGAAAAAAAAAGCTCAGACTCGGCCAGGTGCGGCGGCTCAGCACTTTGGGAGACTGAGGTGGGTGAATCACCTGAGGTCAGGAGTTCGAGACCAGCCTGGCCAACATATAAACCCCATCTCTACTAAAAAATACAAAAATTATCTGGCCATTGCACTCCAGCCTGGGCGACAAGGTGAGACTCTGTCTCTAAAACAAAACAAACAAACAAACAAAACAACTCAGGCTCTAGTGCTTGCCTGCCTAGATTCAAAACCCAGCTCCACAGCTTATGGTTTTGTGACCTTTGGCAAATTACTTAATGGCTCCGAGCCTCAGGGTCATCATCTGTAAATGAGAGTAGTGGCAAAATTTACTTTAAAGGGTTGCTGCAAGGATGAAGTATAATCATATATGCAGGCTTATAGCTCAGGTCCTGTCACACAGTTAGTACTCAATAAGCCTTAGCTTTTGATGCAGGTACCGTGCAAGCACTTTCTCATATATTCTTTTATTTTAGCCTATTGTTAACCCCATGTGGTCGAGATAGATACACATTTATCTGTGAAGAAATGGAGGCCTGAAGTCTTCAGAAATTTGGGGAAGGAAGTGGTATATGCTTACGACTGGGGCCCAGGTTCGTGTAGTCCTTCCGCTTTACTACTGATTTCAAGCTTTTTTGTTTTTTTGGAGAGAATCACCTCCCACCCCAACCCATCTTTTTCAAACAAACCTAATGTGTAAAACTGAGAAGACAGTATTTTATTAGCACATATTATGAAGGCTCAAGATTTAGCTTTTTACTTATTAGGAAAAAATGTCAATAAACCCACATACTTATCATGATGGTAGCCTCTAATGTGTTCAAATTCAATTCATAACAACATTTCTATGAACATATGATCTCTTATTTACGGTTTCAAAAATATACCTATATGAAAGTTCAGGCCAGGCATGGTGGCCCACACCGGTAATCCCAGCGTTTTGGGAGGCCTAGGTGGGAGGATGGCTTGAGCCAAGGAGTTTCAGGCTGTAGTGAGCTATGATTGCACCACTGCACTCCAGCTGGGTGACAGAGCCAGACCCCATCTCTAAAACAAACAAACAAGCAAACAAACAAACAAACTCTGTGGACCCTTTACATACTTCTGAGGAATTTTAAAGTTCTATGGATTCCAGGTTGGAGACTCTGTCATCAGACCACATCCTTCTACATGGGGGTGAAGGAGATGGACCATCTGGCTTCCAAGCAATGGAGGTCTCAACCTGGCTAAGGACTTTGGAGTCTTTTTGTAAGCAATGCAGTGTCATTTAATGTATTTTTTTATTCATTATCTATTGGACCTTTTTTTTTTGAGACAGAGTCTTGCTCTGTCACCCAGGCTGGAGTACAGTGGCGCAATCTAGGCTCACTGCAACCTCCGTTTCCTGGGCTCAAGCAATTCTCCTGCCTCAGCCTCCCCAGTAGCTGGGATTACAGGTGCACGCCACCATACCTGGCTAATTTTTTTGTATTTTTAGTAGAGACAGGGTGTCACCATGTTGGCTAGACTGGTCTCCAGCTCCTGACCTCAGGCAATCTGCCCACCTCTGCCTCCCAAAGTGATGGGATTACAGGTGTGAGCCACCATGCCCAGCCCTGGACTTTTGAGGATTGTGATCAAGAAGAATAAAGGCAGAGAAAAATAATAACTGCCAATATTTATTAAATGCTGGCTGTATACCAGGTACCATGCTCTTTCCTTATTTTATCTCATTGAGTTAGAGGAAGGCACTGTTATCATTCCCATTTGACAGGTGATAAAACTGAGGCTTAGGCAGAATAAGTAACTTATCAAGCTAGTAAACAATGAAGGTGGATTGCAAGTCAATGAGAAGTCACTGAATTTTTTTTTTTTTTTTTTTTTTTGAGACTCGGTCTCACTAAGTTGCCCAGGCTGGAGTAAAAAGGCTATTCACAGGCACTATCACTGTGCACTACTGCCTCAAACTTCTGGGCTCAAGTGATCCTCCTGCCTCAGGCTCCTATGTATCTAGGACTACAGATGCACACCACCTCACCCAGACAATTTTAAAATTTTTCATAGAGACAAGGTCTCAGTATTTTGCCCAAGCTGGTCTTGAACTCCTGGCCTCAAGTGATCCTCCTGTCTTGGCCCCAAAGTGTTGTGATTACAGGTGTGAGCCATCATGCCTGGCTGGAAATATTTTAGGGGAAGCTATTGGTGATTGTGGTAAGTGGGAACAGAGGGGTTAGGAAAGGAAGAGGTGGTGGGAGGTGGAGACCCCAGATGTATATCCAGGAATGGTTGACAGCAAGGGGAAGGGAAATTAGGATAGAGGTCCAGAGGATAAGGGCATAGAAGGAAGGCTCAGAGGGGAGAGGGAAAGATGATGGGGAATGCAGGAGGAAGAGGAGGGTCACTGAAGGAGCATGTGGATGAAGCATTGCTTCTCCCTGTGTCCCTGCTTCTCCTGAGTTCCCAAGGGTGTTGACCCCAAGAGAGCCACAGGTGGAGATTCGGCCTGCACCAGGCCCTTCTATAGGAACGGCCCTAGCAGTCCCAGAGATGGTGCTGCACCCTTAAAGGCAATGACCAGTGTGGGGCAGTTTTCCCTTTCCTTTCACACACTCTATGCTCCAGACAAACTGGGCTGCTCTTTTCCCAAACATGCCTGGCACTACAGTGTAGAGGAAAGGGCATGGCTTTCAGAGGCAACTGGTTCCAGGTTTGAGGCTGCTTACTAACTCTGATGTTGGGCAAGTTATTTAACTTCCCTGAACTTCAGTTTCTCATCTATATACACGGAGGTTATAACTCCTATCTCTAAACATGTTGGGAAGGGTTAATGAGATAATATGGCTGAAAGCTGCCAGCATGTTCTTGGTACAGAGTAGATACTCCTGAAATTCTGGAGTCCTCCTTCTCTGCACTTCTGTCCATGCATCTCTCTCCTCTGGCCAAGCTGTTCCTCCAGGCTCCACCTGTTGAAGCTCTGCCCAACACCTGTCCAGCTCCAGTGGCACTTCTTCCTTCAATCCTGCCTCTGACCCTGCCAGTCTGCACAGATCTGTCCCTTCCTGGAACACTGGAACGCTCTGTATTACTCACAAAGAACTTAAGGCACACTTATTGCTTTGTAGTATACGTTTTGTTTTTGGCTTTAACAAGCCTGTAATAAATATTTACAGAAAGAAGCAAAGGATGTATTGGCTTGAGCTTTGGAAGAAAGTACAGAACCAGTTTTGCATCCCTATTCTTTTGTGGGATCTGGAAGGCCTCTGGCAGAAGCTCGGGGGACTGGCAATGACATTTACTTGGCTTTTGGTGAGGAGCAGGCAGATCAATGATGTCCTTGATCAGTTGATCTGGCGGTGCAGTTGCAGGGGTGCAGTGTTAGTATCAGTGAAACTTTTAAGTCTGGGAGAAACAATGACAGCTTTGGCTGAAGTGAAGTTTCAGGAAGGCTCCATTATTGGGATAGGGTTACCACGGAAAGTCTGTGTTCCTAGAAATTAACCAGAGTTTGATGCTGAATTCAGTCAAATTTGAGAGCAGATTGGGGACTGGTTGAACCTAGGACTGGAGATTACACCACTTCTCCTTCTAGGGAAGAACCTGGAATCTCAGCCAGGGCTGAAGGCCATGCCCACTGGCCTCTCTGAGATGGGAGTAGACGGATAAAATATCTGGGACAATGGAAGAAAAGGAAGATAGCCAGTGTGCCTGGGTCTTGGAGAAGTGACATCTGATTTCCCCACCCTTCCTCCTTCACATCCTCCTGGGCCACCTGGACCATCACCCACCATAGCCCAAACTCCCCAGGCCTCTCTTCTCCTAGGAAGTCATCTCTGTTCTCAGCATCTCCACTTCTTCCACTCACCAGTGTTTCAAGACTGACAACTGGCCGGGCGCGGTGGCTCACGCCTGTAATCCCAGCACTTTGGGAGGCCGAGGCGGGCGGATCACGAGGTCAGGAGATCAAGACCATCCTGGCTAACACGGTGAAACCCCTTCTCTACTAAAAATACAAAAAATTAGCCAGGCGAGGTGGCGGGCGCCTGAAGTCCCAGCTACTCGGGGGGCTGAGGCAGGAGAATGGCGTGAACCCCGTGGGGCGGAGCCTGCAGTGAGCCGAGATCGCGCCACTGCACTCCAGCCTGGGCGACAGCGAGACTCCGTCTCAAAAAAAAAAGAAAAGAAAAGACTGACAACTGAGACCTAACTGGTCCATTACTATCTCTCAATCCTTTTTCCAGGGGGAAGTTTGTTTATTAATCCCTGATGCTGGTTTCCTTCAATGGAGATAAACAGCAGGAGAATGTTTTCCTCTGCCCTATTAACAGGACAATTTAAATACTGAATCAGGCCGAGCACCGTGGGTCACGCCTGTAATCCCAGCACTTTGGAAGGCCAAGGCGCATGGATCACCTGAGGTCAGGAGTTCAAGAGCAGCCTGGCCAACATGGCAAAACTCTGTCTGTACTAAAAATACAAAAATTAGCTGGGCATGGTGGTGCATGCCTATAATCCCAGCTACTGGGGAGGCTGAGGCATGAGAATCGCTTCAACCTAGAAGGCAGAGGTTGCAGTGAGCTGAGATAGTGCCATTGCACTCCAGCCTGGGCGACAGAGCGAGAGTCTGTCTCAAATAAATAAATAAATAAAAATAAATACTGAATCATATAACCAATGTGCCACTTCTTACCGGCCTTTGAGTAAGCTCAGAGTCCAGTCAGGGAGATGAAACTCCATGACAATAAGCCGAGAGATATCTCAAGGCAATCTGGGAGTGGAGGGCCAAATGTGGGGGAATCATAGCAATAATAATGTTTCCTTGGGATTTTCTGCTTTATAGAATAATTTCACACCCATTATCTCCATTTGACAGATGGGAAACTGAGGCTTAGAAAGGGGAAGTCACCTGCCAAGATCAGATAGCCGGTAAGTGACAAGCTCAGGATTCAAATCCACACCATCTCTGAAGCCTAAGCACTCCCAGGAAGAAATGCAGGGGTTTCTGGGTGATGGACAGGTGGGATGGGGAGCTCAGGGGAAACTTATGGAGGACGTGGCCTTTCTGGGTGGATAGGAATTCTTCTAGGGGAAAAGAGTGGATGCAGGAAGCAGCAGGGGGCTTATCTGGGAGTCTTCAACTTGCTAGATCCCACCTGTGACCTGTGGACTCCGCAGCTTGGAGCTGTCCCTGGAAAAATCCTTCTACCCTTACTGCAGAGGTCCTAGGCTGGGGAAACAAGGGAGTCTCTCAGGCTCCCAGACCTCTTCTGGAGCCCAGATTCTTCCCAGCTATAGCCTCAGGTTGATCCCTATAGCAATTTGAGCCAAAGATGCCTTCAGCATCCCTGTGCCCCCCTCATAGCCCTGGGGGCCTGTCTGCACCCCTTGCCCATATCCTGAGACCCTGAGAAAAAACCTCAGCCATCCGTGCGGGTCTCCTCCCAGCAGATCAGTGCTCCCCCCGCCATGGACAGGCTCCTGTGATGATGGATCGCTGCCCCAACACACATATTATTATGAAATGGGTTTATTACACTCTAAATCTCTCACTAATGTGCTGCTGTTTAATCCCTTTATCCAATTCTCAGTCTCTCAGGCTTGGCCACAGCTCTCTCCACCCAGGAATAGGTCTGAATCGTTTATTGGATGATTTCTGACTTGGGGGAACTAGGGTGGGGGCTGTTTAGAGGAGGGGAGGAGGAGAGTGAGCCATGCAGCCTTCCAGAGAAGTTCAAGAGCTTGTCTGGGGTCTCAAACATGGTGACTTCCCGGAGCCCCTTCTGTCTGTTTCTCTCTCTCTGACTCACACTTGCCGCCACCTCACTCCATTTCTGCCTCCTGGCTCTCAATGCCTTGTCACCTCCTCTCTGGCTCTCTGACTATCTCTTTTTGTCTCTCTGTCTTCTCTTGAAGCCAGATTGTGGTCAGTCCTCCCAATGGACAGGGTGTCCCCTACCTCTCCCATCCCACCTTGAGCCCCCTTTTCTGGAGGTTTCTTTCCTTCTGCTGGGTTTCTGTCCTCCAAGTCACTTCTTCACCCCAGCCCTACTAGCCAGCTACTTTCGTCTTTGGGCATCTGCTCCTGATGTGCCTCTCTGGCTTTCCTCTTCCACCCTCAGCCCCTCCCATCTGCCCTGCTCTCAGGCCCACACCCACCCCTGCTGACCCCAGCAGCCTGCGCCTCCTCTCTTCTGCCCTCAGCCTCCTCTGCCTCCCCACCCTGGCTGACTCTCAGTTCCGGAGGCCTCCTGCCTGCCCTCCTCGCCTGGCTTTGGCCCCCTCTGCACTGGCCTTCTCTCCCTCCCTCGGTCTCTATCTCTGTCTCCCCCAGTGTCTCTCCCCAAGCAGTCCCTCTCTACTCTGACACACCAGCCGGTAAGGCAGCCAAGGCTTCCTGCTGTCAGCTGGGGAATAGATAAAGATAAATGATATTATGTTAAATTCCACTTAATGACAAATTTTTAATTTTCTGAACATGGTCATTTTCTGGCTAGTGAATCAAGTGGAGGGAGCTAATTACATGAAGATCTGAACAAAAATAACTCCTAATTTTCAAGGATAATGGAAGAGAAATGTTGGAGATTAATGGCACTATTTATCTTTTTTAAATTTCTATCTTTCTCTGTGATAGCCGTGCTCCCCAAGGAAAATATTCATAAAATGAAATTGAAGTCGTAACTTAATAGGTTATTAAAATTTTTGAGTGCATATCACTTTCCTTCCGCAGCACTGTAAATTTAAATTGAAGTTTGCGGCTCCCCGAGTCACCAGCGGAGTTTTTTTTATGATGGCACAATAGAGAGAAACATGCATCTTTGTCAGGAGGTATTTGCTAGTCTAATTTTATGGCAGGCCGGATTATCAGACGGGAATGGCAGCGCCGGGGGAAGCTGACAAGCCCGCAGCCGGCAGCCATGTGTTTCCATTAGCGCCCCGAGCCGTCCGGGGCTTCTCTGGACTCTCATTTTCCACTTCAGTCTTTTATCTTGATTTAAAGTGAGGGCGCCCAATATTCAGGGCCTGTCATTTTTCTCTCTCACACACTCTCACGCGCTCTTCCTCACTTCTCCCCTCCCACTTCCTCTGCTTGGGGCCCGCTCCCTTTCATCTCTGGGGTCTCCAGCGTGGGCGCTGCCCTCCTTCCCTGTCCTCACCCAGCCCCATGGGCTCCTCTCTGGGAGGAGGAAGGGAAAAGAGGCCGGGGCCGGCAGGGCAGCCGCCAGAGTTAGTTATAAATTTGAGTGAAGCCTCCTCCCAGTGGGCTCATCAGCTGAACATTCAATGGGACACCCTGTGTGCAAGAGAGGGAGGGGGCTCCCCAGGCTCAAGCCCATCAGGCCCCCTAATTGAGTGTTAATGGAGTTTCGAGGAGGAGGGGGCGCAGCTGTTGGCCCAGGGGACCAGAGGGCAGTTGGAATGATCACCAGTCTCTCTTCCCGTCCCTGTCTCTGTTTCCATCCAGGTCTCTGTCCCTGGCTTTGTCTCTGGGTCTCAGAATCATAGACCTAGAGGGAAACTTAAAAAGAGCCCAGACCAACTCCCACATTTTATAGATGAACAAACTGAGGTCCAGAGATGGGGAGTGTCTTGTCCAAGGTCCCATAGCTAATTAGTGGCTGAGAAAGCACAAGAAGTTGGATATTAGAGATGCTTGGATGGCTGAACTTCCCGTCGGACCACACTGCCTCCCACATCCTCTTTGTTCTCGGGTGGAAGCCAGCATCTTTGTGTCTGCCTTAGCTCCCATCCCGCTTTGCCTACTGCTGTGGTCACCAACATTCTCGAAGGCACTGGCTTTGACACCCAAGGTCATCTTTTACTCATATCCTGTCCTCATCCCCATACCCTGTCGCTTACCAGGTCCTGCCATCTCTATTTCTCCCATCCTCTCCTTCACTCAGGTTCACCCACCCTGTTACATCAGTCCCCCGTCTGCTGACTTGTTTCCATGCTCTCCCCCAACTCCTGTCCCATGGTGACCTCCCCTAAATACCCCAAATCCCCAAACACTCTTCTGCCTGTGCCCAGAACCCCACTCTGCACCCTCCGTCCCACACCTACAGGGTTGAGTTCCGTGTTCTCACTCAAGCCTCAAAGCCTGCAAGACCAGGGCCCACTGTCTCCCCTCTGTCCCCCTCATCCTTGCCCACCATATATCCATGTAGGGTCAATTCCAGCCAGGTGGCACCACTGTACCTTTGATCTCGGTGTCCCCACTAGGAATGTCCTCTCCCGTGGCTCCAACCAACCACTCATGACCCTCTTCAAACTACACCCTCGCTGGGCTCCGCTAATCTACAGTGATCTTTCCTCCTCTCTAGCCTTCCTTAGCCCTCACCACCCAGGCGTCCATCATCTGTGAATTCACGGCCTGGGACCATCACTGCACTTTCTGTGACTTGTATCATGCTGGACCAGGGACCCTATGTTTAGTTCACATACCTTATTCCAGTGATTGCAAATGCTCTCCTGGGTCACATATCCTAACCCATATGTCCCCTATGCAGCAGGGACCCCTGGATAAGACATTAGACAGGAAGTCTGTCTAACTCACTCCCTCTGTCTCTCACTCATGTTGATGCTAGCAGAGATCTGAGACTTCAGCTCCCTCATTTTATAGATGGAGAAACCGAGGCCCAGCCAGAGGGGTGTCATCCAGGGTTCTGCCTGAGTTGAGACTCACATCTGGGTCTCTGGCCTCACCATCCTGCTCCTAGGGTTCAGGTCATCACTGTCACTCATGTGTAAGTTGGCAATAGTACTTGTAATCTCAGGGACTTGGTTTCTCCAGGATGGAGAAAAGCAATGCTGGACCATGATGCCTTCCTCAAAGTGGGATCGGGGTAATTGGGGAACCCTGTAGCAATGGCAGGACTTTTAATGAAGCATCTACTTCCCCTCTCACCCTCTTCCACATCCAAGACTGTTCAGCCTTTGCCCATGTGTTCCCTCGCCTGGCCACTTCCAAGGGCTCTGACCCCTCCTTCTCCTCACCCACCACAAAGGTGGTGGCCCCCCATTGTGTGGGGGGCCATGTTACAGGCATGTTGCAAGCATGTGGCAGGCATGTCACAGGCATGGCCATTTCCAGTTGGCTGCCTATGCCACACAGGTCAGGTGGCGAGTGGCCCAGGCTGCCTGCACGCCGTGTTTAGCAGTGGAGCTGAGTGGAGGCGGTGCCTGGTTCCCCAGCCACAGTCTCTCGTTAGAAAGAAATTAAAAGCCACTCAATTTTGGCTAATATCCCTCTGAAGGCCTTTAACTCCACCTGTGACTAACCCATTCATAATCGCTCCGTTTTAGTGGCTCAGGCTGATGTAGCCTCAATTAATTTGGGAGGAGAGATAAACGGCCATTCCTCTTTGTCTCCCATCCCTTCCTCCCTTCCTGCCCTCTCTGTCGTCTCCCCCACAGCCTCTCTGTCTCTCTCTGCCTCAGGCTCAGTTTTTCTTTCTCCCTTTCTGAGTCTCACCTTTCTCATCCTGATTGTGGGGGTCTCTTTCTCTCTCTCTTGAAATTTCTGTCTTTCCAACTCTTTCTGTGTCTTGTTCAAAGTCTGTCTGAGTTTTTTTTTGTTCTCTCTCTGTTTTGTTCTGCCTTTCACTCACTCTGTCTCTCACTCTTCCCAACTCTTTCTTTTTCTTCATCCATTTCTCTGTCTGTCCGGGCCGCTGTTCTTTTGTCTTTGTCTTCCTGCCGTGTTTCTCTGGGCCCCCTGCTTCTGGTCACTTTGCCCATTGTTCACTCGGCTTTGGGGCTAGTTTCCATACCCCTGAGTGCACTGTGTGTTTTGTCTTGCTCTGTTTCTGATACAGTTTTCCTGGCTGTCTCTCTCCTCATCTCTGTCTTCTTTGCCGTCTCTGTCTCTTTGTCTCCGCCGCACCACCTCCGGATCTCTCTTTAGTTGCCTTTCATTCCCCCCACCCCTTCTATCTTAACCCTTCTCCCACAGCTTCTCTTCTTCCTCCTTTTTCTCTCTTGTTTCTCTCCTTCCTTTCCTTTTCTTCTGCCTCTGTCTCTCCATTTGTCTCAGTTTCTGCTGTGTCTCCCTGAGTTTTTCTCTCTTACCTTCTTTTTTCTGTCACAGAAATGACTTTTCTCTCACCCCTGCCCCACAGCGCACGCACCTTTTTTCCTGGGGCCTCAACACCCCCCCACCCAGCCCACAAGTCCTTTTGTCTTCCCCTCCCCTCTAGATTATTATTAATGATAAAAGCTCAAACATCACATCAGTAATTTCTGAGTGAGTTTTGCAATGAAACTGGGGCCTTCTCAGCCCCTCCCGAGTCCCACAAATTTTACTTTTGTAATTTCACGCCTCTGGTTATCACCACGCTGCTCCGTCCCTCTCTGCCTCTCAGCTCTCCTCCCCTCCCCCCTCCCCCCCGGAGAGAGCACTTAAACTTGTTTTCATTCCCTTATTCTTTATTTTTTTAATGTCCACTCTCTCCGGAGTCAGTAATGTTCTTCCTCTCTTTCCTCTCCCATTTTCTGTTAATTCTGTGCCATCTGCCTTAGCATCTGTTAAAAATAAAATTTCCCTCACACAATGAGAGGCCTCCCTGCTCCTCCCCTCCCCCCTGCAGCCCCCCAGGTTTGGTGCCGGGGCCGTCAGATGCCACTTCCTCTCCTGGGATCCTCCCCCCTCCCCCCGTCCCTAGTCTGGTTTTCAGAGAAGAGACACAGCGCCGGGCAAGCAGGCGGCAGGGAGGGAGGGGGCTGCCCAGGGGGCCTGGAGCTGGAGGGGCAGCTGCAGAGGGAGCTAGAACTGGGGGGTGCAGAGGATGGAACCAGGCTCCACCCACTTGCCTTCGGGACCCTGCCGAGGCTGGAGCTTTGAGCTGCTGAGACACAGCACCTGCACAGGTAGGTGACAACAGGTGGGGGAGAGGTTTGAGGAGACAGTCCTCGCTCCCCAGGGAAGGAGTCGTTGATAAATCCATCAGCCTTTTTCTGAAAAATAATGCTGGGGCATGAGGCTGGGATGGTGGGGGAAATGGATTGGGGGGATGGAAGGACAGCCCCTAAGTCCCAGTAGCTGGCCTCAGTTTGGGCTAAATATGATGCTAGACAAGGTGTCCTTAAGATCGGCTGCCCAGGGTCCCCTCCCTATGTCTGCTGGAGGACTGTGTCCCTGCTGCCCTAAACTCAGCTTGGAGAAGGGAGGGGAAGGGAGTCAACTGACCCCCATTCCCTGAAGACTTTAGGAGGCAGAATGCTCTTGGGTTGAAGCCAGCTTCCCAGAGGGTCTGAAAGGAGACTGGCGGTGTGTATGTTTGTGTGCCTGTGAGATTATGGTTTCCTGTCTTCAGTGATCTGTGCAGGTGTGTCTAGGAAGTGTGTGCATATGGACTGGATTTTCACTGATTTTCTTTCTCTGTCACATCATGTCTGGCTACAGCTGTTAAGTGTGGGTGTATTGTGGGTGTTATGGTGGGTGTGTAGCTATACCTCTCCATGAGATGGTGTGTGCCAGTGGCTATGTTGTGACTTTGTATCTCTGTGGGTATCTGTATAAATGGTGTCTTACAAAAAAAAAAAAAAACCTATCTTCCTGTGTATGTGGCTGTGTACAGTTGTTCATATCTTATTATTTTGGTGTGTTTGTATGTGGAAGTGTTACATACCTTGTGTATCTGTGTATTTGTACATTACATCTCTTTTGTGATGTTGGGTGTCACTATTTCTCTGTGTGAAACCTCTTTCCCTTGTGATGGGGTGCTCTGAATGTGACCAATGGCAGATAGGCACTTGTGTATGGCTTGCTTTACTTCTGAGTGAGATAGTGAGTTTGGTAGTCTCTCTCTCTGTGGGAGGGTGATCCTGTATGACTGTCTCTGGTGACATATGCACATTTGTGTACGTGTGTGTGCACACGTGTGCTGCATGCTTCCTTTTACTCAGTGCCACACAAATCTGTGGGTACTGGAGGTGGGTTTGGCTGTGCCAGACATGGTTGGGACGAGGCATGTACAGTTATGGTGGTGGATCCAGGAAGGTGGACTGAGAGAAGATCACAAGTGGGAAACTGAGGCAGCTCAGGTGTGGGATGGTGAAAAAGCACAGGCTCTAATACCAAACAGTTCTGAGTCCAATTTTTTTTTTTTTTTTTTTTTGAGACAGAGTCTTGCTCTGTCACCCAGGCTGGAGTGCAGTGAGGCAATTTTGGCTCACTGCAAACTCCACCTCCTGGGTTCAAGCAATTCTGTCTCAGCCTTCCCAGTAGCTGGGACTACAGGCTCATGCCACCACACCTGGCTGATTTTTGTATTTTTAGTAGAGACGGGGTTTCACCATATTGGTCAGGCTGGGCTGGAACTCATGGCCTCAGGTGACCCACCAGCCTCCGCCTCCCAAAGTACTGGGATTACAGGCGTGAGCCACTGTGCCCAGCCCCTGAGTCTAATTCCTAGCTCTGCCCTTAACCAGGTCAGTGACAGCAAGTTACTTAAACTCATTGAGTCACAGTTTCTACATCTATAAGATGAGAACAATCATATTTATGCCATAGAGTTGTGAGGAATAGAGACAAAAGATGTCAAACAACTAGACTGCACCTAATAGTAATAAAATAATAATAACAAAACAAACCATTATTAAGTGCTTACTATTACATATTGGCTTCCTTTACTCCTCATATCCACTCTAGAAGGGTCCTTACTGTTTTAGAGATGAGGAAACTGAGGCACAGAACATAAATAACCAAGATCAGACAGCTAGTAATGGCAGAGTACTTGCTCAGCAAATGATAGCTTTATTTGGAAAGTAGATGCTTCCAGCAACTCCTGGTAATATTATTCTTATGAATATTGGGGAGATGAGTATGCATCAGATAGACAGCACTTTGTTCCCCCTTATAAAAGTGGTCTCTTTCCAGGTCATCCCAAACCCTGCACCCTAGAGGAGCTGATGGCTCCTGGGACTGTTTTGGAGACTGGACAAAAGAGGGAGGCTGAGGAGAAGGATATGTCCCCATCCTCCTGGCTGCCTCTTGCCAGCCTTGATCGACACCAAAGACGCAGTAATCTCTCTCTGGCCCGAGGGGAGCAGCAACGTTTGTGAAACAGATTTTTACAAAATGTTTTGACCCTGCTCTCCCCTCCCCCCGCATCCCTGCCTGGCACCGTGTCACCTAATTAAATCAGCCTTCGCGGGCGTCTCCGCTCCCTGCTAATT
The DNA here is from genome assembly GCF_000001405.40 of Homo sapiens. Taxonomy (NCBI): domain Eukaryota; kingdom Metazoa; phylum Chordata; class Mammalia; order Primates; family Hominidae; genus Homo; species Homo sapiens. The sequence goes on along the minus strand of NC_000010.11, from coordinate 100,681,440 downwards.
GTGCCCTGGGCCGGCTTCCGGAGGAGGCTGCTGTCTCCATCCAAACACCGCCACCCGCTCCCCAACCCAACTCCCAAGGGCAGTGGAGGCTGAGTGTCTGTGTCTGTGTGTGTGTGTGTGTGTGTGTGTGTGTGTGTGTGTGTAGGGAAGGGGTTGCAGGAGGGATCCCCAGGGGGTCTCCTGTGGCGATTTCCGCGGTCCTCCCTCGCGGAAATCCGGGAAACTGAGGCACCGGCTCCAGATCTTCTCGGCCCAGCTTCTGCCCAAGGACCGGGGCCCAGATCTGAAATGACCTGGGGCCTCGGGAAGGCCAGCCGGAGCGTATCCGAGTAATTGTCTCCGCCAGACGCAGAGCCGAAGCAGGCGGCTCGGAAAATCCCGGATTTCTTTCCCCTTCACCGGCTGCACCGGACCCGCTGGAAGCCGGGCGGTTTCATTTACAGATCCCAGCCCAAGCGCCGGGGGAGGCTGGGCTGGGCTGGGCTGGGAGGGCGCGGGCCGCCGCCACCTCTGTCCAGGGTGCTGAACGCGCACGGGGCCGGACGGCTTTTCTGCGTCTGCCGGCATCAGAGCAATGACGAAAAATACTTACAGGCGACTTCTACTGAACGATTACGTGAGGCATGCAATGAGCTAAGCGCTTCCAACCTCTGTAGAATTAATTCTCACTGCAACCCTAAGAAGGGAAGTTTTCCCATTTTAAGGATGAGAAAACTGAGATTTAGGTTAAAGAGCTGGCATTGGGGATGGTCAAGGGAGACATTCACTTCATCTGTAGTGTCTGATTTCCTTTCTATTCTTTTTTCACAACCAATAGTACATTTATATATTACTTGTGCATTAAAAATAAGTTTTTTTAAAGTGAATTTTTTAAACTGTGGAACAGTCTTTTGAGCATATAACCCAGGTTCTTCAAAGGGAAAAGAGATTCATACACATTTTAAAAAGAGAAAGAAAAAAGCAACCAAATACATCATTGGGTGGAACTTGTGTGGTTTCTTATTTGAACAAACCAAATGTTAAAAAAAAAGGAAAATTTGGATATGAATTCGGTAATTGATGATATTAATGAATTCTTACCAATTTTGTAGGTGTGATAGTGGTATTGTGGTTATGGTTGTTTGTTTTTTAAGTCTTTAGTCTTTTTTTCTTAAAAAGAGATGTTGGCCCATCGCGGTGGTGATCCCAGCACTTTGGGAAGCCGAGGCAGGCGGATCACCTTAGGTCAGGAGTTTGAGACCAGCCTGACCAACATGGAGAAACCCTGTCCTACTAAAAATACAAAATTAGCCGGGTGTGGTGGCACATGTCTGTAATCCCAGCTACTCAGGAGGCTGAGGCAGAAGAATCGCTTGAAGCTGGGAGGTGGAGGTTGTGGTGAGCTGAGATTGCACCACTGCACTCCAGCCTGGGCAACAAGAGCGACACTCCGCTCTAAAAAAATAAATAAATAAATAAAAAAGAGCTGTTAAGTGACTTGTCCAAGGTTACTTAAGAACCTCTTTCTCAACTACTCTAACAGCCCCCTAGCAGATCTGAGCAAGTCTACAGTCTGGTGTGTTATGGGGGCCTGTCTACAGGTTTTTGTGACTGTCTCTGTGTGGGTTGGTATGAGGCGCTGGTATTATATCTTTGTGGGAGACTGTGAGTAGTAAGTTTTGAGTGCTAACTATATGCCAGCCTTTCTATAATAATATCTTACAGCATTTTAAACTCAGAACAATGCTGGGAGGGAAGAATTACCATTCCAGTATTGCAGATGCAAGAACTGAGGCAGAGAAAGTAATTGCTTGAGGTCTTCCAGTTAGTAAGGGATGGCACTGGATCCCACGTATTTTGACTCCATTTCCTAATGGTCTTGCTAATTGATTAAGCCACAGTGGCCTTACAGCATGTGTAAGAAGTGTGCCTGAATATGACTTCATCTAGTGAGTGGAAGTCAACAACTGTGTGTATGATCACAGCAGGGACTCTCTTCCTGTGATACACTGGGGTGGAGTTGCAGGGAATTACAGATCTGAGGAAGGAAGATTGACTTAAAATAAACCAATTAGCCAGGTTCGGTGGCTCACACCTGTAATCCCAGCACCTTGGGAGGTCGAGGTGGGCAGATCACAAGAGGCCAGGAGTTTGAGACTTGCCTGGATGGTGAAACCCTGTCTCTACTAAAAATACAAAAATTAGCTGGGTGTCGTGTCACACATCTGTAATCCCAGCTACTTGGGAGACTGAGGTGGGAGAATCACTTGAACCTGGGGGCGGAGGCTGCAGCAAGCTGAGATCATACTGCTACACTCCAGCCTGGGCAACAGAGAGACTCTGTCTCAAAATAATAATAATAATAATAATAAAATAAACCAATCAATGGGAATGAGAATGGGAATGATCAGATCCACTAAAGATTTACATGAACTGAATAATTTACCTTGTGGCAAAATACAGCTAAATTTGCTTTTGAAGTTAGAATCTCCCTGTCTATAATGATAAAACATACTGTCCATTAAGCACCCCCCAAGCTTCTGTCTCCTTATCTGCAAAGATACATAGAAACCATGCATATATAGCACACAGTCTGCCACAAAGTAAGGATTCAATAGAGTGACCTTTGTTATTGAAGGAAGAAGCATAATATAATGCATGAAAACCAGAGCAGGGCATAATCTTGGTCTCAAAATTCACTAGCTGAGTGGCCTTAGGCAAGTGACTTACTTCTCTGGACCTCACTTCCTTCTTCTGTGATAGCGAAATAATCGTACTTTAAAAGTTCATAAAACTTAAATGAGATAATATATAAAGTTCTTGGCATAGTGCCTAGCATATAGTAAGTGCCCAACAAGTGTTCACAGTTGCTACTTTGTACCAAGTGTTTTACATATATTCTCTCTAAGCCTACAAGCTATTTGATATTCCTGCTCAGGCTCTTTTTGTATTCCAAATGCATACTTGTTCCACTTACCCGGCTGCCGGTCTTTCCAAGAGCGACTTCCTCTATTTGAATGTTTCTGAGAGTCAGTGCAGAGGGCTTGGCACAGGGGACTGAAAGGAAGACCGAGAGGGAAGGACTCTGGCCACAGGAAAAAGCACTATTGTGGGAGTTATGAGATTGGAGTTAACATCTTGAACTTGCCATTAACTGATTGTATGACTTTGATCAACTCATGTTTTTCCTCTCAGAGGCTCAGCTATCCTACCTGTAAAATAAGGAGGGTAGACTAGATGAGCTATGATTTTTTTTTTTTTGAGACAGAGTCTTGCTCTGTCGCCCAGGCTGGAGTGCAATGGTGTGATCTTGGCTCACTGCAACCTCCGCCTCCCAGGCTCAAGCGATTCTCCTGCCTTAGCCTCCTGAGTAGCTGGGATTACAGGCAAGCACCACCGCATCCGGCTAATTTTGTATTTTTAGTAGAGACGTGGTTTTACCATGTTGGCCAGGCTGGTCTTGAACTCCTGACCTCAGGTGATCCACCCACCTCGGCCTCACAAAGTGCTGGGATTACAGGCGTGAACCACCGTGCCCGGCCTGATGAGCTATGATGTTGTAAGATTCTCTGGGTAACTGCATGTGTTCAAGAGATTTGAGGAGAATGTGAAAGTATGACTGTGAATTCTGTTGGACTGTGAGAATGTACGAAAGAAGAGTGTTGGGTTGAGTTGCAGGGTTGTGGGTATGGTTTCAACAACATAAATGACAATGACTGAAAGGAACTCATGACTACACTTCCTTAAGATGAAGTATATCAGTGTGAGACTGCACAGGAGTGAATAATGTAGGTGGGAGTGTGTAAACATCAAATTCTGTGAATGTGCTGTGTGCAAGAATGTGGGTGTAAAGGTGTGAAAATTATAAGACAAATTATGTGAGAATAAGAGGGTATGGGTGTGGTTGTAAGGGAAGTATATAAGTTGTGGGATTAGATGTGAATGTGTGAGTGCAGAGGTGACACATGTGTGAGGGATACTGACAGAGAGAGCAGAGTAGGGGAGGGTTCTGCAGAGCAGGCCCCCCAGGCAGGAAGAACCTTAGACATTTTACCCTCACCGCTTTCCTCCCCTTGTGGGGGCCTCTAGAGTGACTTGTAGTGCACTGTTTCCACCATGGTTCTATGCCCCTCAGCCACGGTATCAGGTGCACTTTTTTTTTTTTTTTTTGAGACGAAGTCTCTCTCTGTTGCCCAGGCTGGAGTGCAGTGGCACTCCAACTGAACTCACTGCAACCTCTACCTCCCAGGTTCAAGCAATTCTCCTGCCTCGGCCTCCCGAGTAGCTGGGATTACAGGCGCATGCCACCATGCCTGGCTAATTTTTGTATTTTTAGTAGAGACGGGGTTTCACCATGTTGGCCAGGCTGGTCTCGAACTCCTGACCTCAGGTGATCCACCCACCCTGGCCTCCCAAAGTGATGGGACCACAGGCATGAGCCACTGCACCCAGTCCAGGGACACCTTTTGAGGAAAATCGAAGTTAACACTTGAGGTCCCACTGTGGGCAAACCCAGTGTAGCTTCCCTTTCTATCCTCTCCCTAACAGCCTTGGCCGGGAGACTTCAGAGATAGTGGCAAGACTGACAATGGGAGAATATCCTTGGGGCTGGAGAGGCTGAAACAGACCTCATCCCCGCACTGAGGTGGGAATATAACCCTTTCTTAAGAATATTCATTCAGGACTTCAGCTTACTAGGTAGAGATTTATGATTATACAGAGAACACAGACAGATATACAATTATACTAGGAAACAAGGCTTACCTAGACCTTCATAATCACAGATGTGTCCACACACACACACACACACACACACACACACACACACACACAGAGAGAGAGAGAGAGAGAGAGAGATAAAGGCAGGAAACTGGTCTGAATCAAAGTTTTTGTTGTTGTTTTGTCTTTCAAGAAAGTGCTCATTCATTTAAGCCCCGGGTGTTCAATCTTTTGGCTTCCCTGGGCCACACTGGAAGAAGAATTGTCTCAGGCCACACATAAAATACACTAACACTAGCTATAGCTGATGAGCTAAATATAAATATATATGTGTGTGTGTGTGTGTGTGTGTGTATATATATCTGTGTGTATATATATGTGTGTGTGTGTGTATATATATGTGTGTGTATATATATATATAAAATGTTTTAAGAAAGCCTACAAAGTTGTGTTGGGGCATATTCAAAGCCATCTTGGGCTGCATGCGGCCCACGGGCCATGGGTTGGACAAGCTTGATTTAAGCAAAGGATAAAGGACTAATAATAACCTCTTTGGATAGGAATATACAGAGGTACAACCTTTGGAAAAGGCAGTTTGACAGTGTGTGCCCAAATATAAAATATCCTCGGTGCCCCTGTGTCCTTAAGAAAGGTTCCTTGTGTCCAGCCTGAATCCAATAATTCCATTTCTAAGAATTTACCCTAAGGAGATAATTGTACAAGTGCAAAAAGATCTGTCTGCAAATACATTCATCTCAGGGTGTTTTAAATAGTGCAAAACTGTCTGGGCATGGTGGCTCACACCTGTAATCCCAGCATTTTGGGAGGTTGAGGCGGGTGGATCACCTGAGATCAGGAGTTCAAGACCAGCCTGGGCAGCATGGTGAACCCTCATCTCTACTAAAAATACAAAAATTCACCTGTCGTGGTTGTGCACACCTATAATCCCAGCTACTTAGGAGGCCGAGGCATGAGAATTGCTTGAACCTGGAAGGTGGACATCGCAGTGAGCCGAGATTGTGCCATTGCACTCCAGCCTGGGCAACAGAGCAAGACTCCATCTCAAAAAATTTTTTTTTAAAAGTGCAAAACTGAGAACAACCTAGATGTTTGTCAACAGAAGACTGGCTCAGTACATAATGCAATGGACTATAATGCAACTACTAAAACAATCATATAGCTCTCTTTATTGAAACAGAATGGTGTTCATGCTGTATTATTGATTAAAATGGTAGATTATGGAACAGAACATACAATGTTAGTGTGTTTGTATTGCACACCTATATATATGTTTATTTAAAGGCAGAAAGATGTTTCTGGTAGGATGGTCACTAAAATAGCAACAGTGGTTCTGTGACTCCAGTGGGCTTTATTTCTGGCTTTCTTTATATTTTCTATATAGTTTACAATTTGTACAGTGATGATGTGTCTCTCTTTTTTTTTTTTTTTTTTTTTTTTTTTGGGGGGATGGAGTTTTGCTCTTGTTGCCCAGTCTGGAGTGCAATGGCGCAATCTCGGCTCACTGCAACCTCCGCCTCCCGGGTTCAAGAGATTCTCCTGCCTCAGCCTCCTGAGTAGCTGGGATTACAGGCATGCGCCACCATGCCCAGCTAATTTTTGTATTTTTAGTAGAGACGGGGTTTCTCCATGTTGGTCAGGCTGGTCTCGAACTCCTGACCTCAGGTGATCCACCTGCCTTGGCCTCCCAAAGTGCTGGGATTACAGATGTGAGTCACCATGCCTGGCTGTCTTTTTTTAAAAATAGAAAGAAAGAAAGCTGCTTTCTGCATGCTGTGCCTTCTCTGTGCCAGTCTCTGCTTGGCACAGACAGCACAGCAATGAACAAGGGAGTGGCTCCTTAGGAACTGCCCAGGATTACACCTCCACAGCAAAGGTGTTGGGAGTCACAGTGACCTTGATGGTAGCATCCCAAATGCCCTACAACTGCAAACTGTGTCCTCTTCCTCCTGCCCTGCCCCTTGCCTGTGTTCAAATGATCTGTGTTCATTTTTTGGAACCAGAGTGAGAAGATGGGGGTCACCTAGAGAACCTGTGGGCTTGGACATAGGGGAGGGGGGCAGCTGGGCAAGACTGGGGTGGCTTCAGAGACACCCTGTGGGGAGGAAAACCTAGGCCTGCTTCTGTCCTTGGTGCCCCTATGTCCATAAGAAAGGTTCCCTGTGTGCAGCCTGAATCATTTTTTACTTTCTTGGTGAAAATAATCCTCCTGAAAGTGCCTGAAATCATTCTCCTCTGGGGACACACTCCTTAAAACCTTGGGTCTGTAAGTGATCCTAGAAGCCAAGGATTTCATTGTTCCCCACACTAGTCCCATTTTGGGGGGCTTTAGCCTCTACTTGAATGCCTCCAGGGCAGGAAACTCACTCTGTCTTGAAATAGGTCTCTTCTGTTTCAGGCAGCTGTAATGATTAGAAAGTTCTTTCTTAAGACAAGAGCCCAGGTCAGGCGAGGTGGCTCATGCCTGTAATCCCAGCACTTTGGGAGGCCGAGGCTGGTGCATTGCTTGAGTCCAGGAGTTCGTGACTAGCCTGGGTGACATGGCGAAACCTCATCTCTACAAAAAATAGAAAAGTTAGCTGGTCATGGTAGTGTGTGTCTATAGCCCCAGCTATTCAGGAAGCTGAGGTGGGAGGATCCCTTGAGCCTGGGAGGCGGAGGTTGCAGTGAGTCAAGATCATGCCACTGCACTCCAGCCTGGGTGACAGAGCGAGACCTTATCTCAAAAAATAAAGGAAAAGGAAAAGAACCTGAATCTGTCTCCTGGAAGGTGCCTGTCCCCTATCCCTGCAAAGGAGACGTTCTTCAAGGATGGTTGTTACTATGATCTGACTGTTTCTGTCTCCCCCAAATTTGTAAGTTGTACCTGCCACTGACCTTCATGTCTATGGCCACAATCTCGGGCTTCTCAGACTTGCATTTTGCACCTTGTTATGTGGTTGATTAACTAGTGTAGGTCTTCCTTACTAGACTGGACTATTCCCTGAGGATAGGGGTCTACATCTTATTTTTGTACCCCTAGCGCCAGCCCAATGTGTGACACCTAGTAGACATGCAGGGAACAGTTGAATGAACATGGAGTTGTTGAAGAGGGGGTGCATGACCTTTGTGAAAGGCAAATTCAGCCTTTTGTCAAAGTTGGTCTTGGAATGGGGGGGTGGAGGGGAGAGAGGCATTCAACTTCATTTAATCTCAATGCTAGATGGTTGTGTGGCCTCAGGCAAGTTACTGGGTCTCTTAGAGCCTTAGTTTCCTATCTATGAAGTGAGGTACATAATAGTATTTGTCCCACATGGTTGTAATAACAAATCAAATGTAGCAATTAGTGCAAAGTGCCTGCCACAGTGCCTGCCACAGATTAAGTGCCATTACTATCGCTTTTGTTGCTTTTGTTGTTTTGGAGGGGGGAGTACACATGGATTATTATTATTATTTGGTAGTTCATTTCTACCACCTAGTAAAAACTCTGCCCCATCCTTCAAGCCTCCAGCTCAAATGCCACCTCCCAAATGCCCAGACATCCTCAGGAAGTCACTCTCCACTCCCCTGTTGAATAGACAGCACTGTATGTGCTTCTGTTTCAGCACTCACCAGGAACTGCCATCATTTGGAGACATCAGCCCCCTCCTCAACAGTGAACTCCGGGAAGGCAAGGGTAGCCTGGTAGTCTCAATCTCCCTTTGCCTGCAGTAGGTCTGACCTGTGGGAGAGGTTCAAAAATGTTGGGCGAATTTAGGGGAACTTCAGAGCTCCTGGAAATCTGAAAATGTATTGAAAATGGATGAATATGTGATAAAAATGGCCACTCTTCAAGGCACTGACTTGCTAATGGATTTCATGGGTGTCAGGGGCTAAAATATAATGTAAGTGATGCCACAATCTCAATATATTTAGGGCATCCCTCCTCCTTTTTTAAGAAAGAAAGGGGCCAGGCATGATGGCTCCTGCCTGTAATCCCAGTACTTTGGGAGACCGAGGTAGGTGGATCACCTGAGGTTGGGAGTTCGAGACAAACCTGACCAACATGGAGAAACCCCGTCTCTACTAAAAATACAAAATTAGCTGGACATGGTGGTGCATGCCTATAATCCCAGCCACTCGGGAGGCTGAGGCAGGAGAATCGCTTGAACCCGGGAGGTGGAGGTTGCCGTGAGCTGAGATCGCTCCCATTGCACCCAGACTGGGCAACAAGAGAGAAACTCCATCAGAAAAAAAAAGAAGGAGAAAGAAAGAAAGAAAGAAAGAAAGAGAGAGAGAAAGAAAGAAGAGAGGAAAAGAGAGACAGAGAGAAAGAGAGAGAAAGAAAGGAAGAAAGAAAGGAAGGAAGGAAGGAAGGAAGGAAGGAAGGAAGGAAGAAAGAAGAAAGAAGAAAGAAAAGAAAGAAAGAAAGAGAAAGAAAGAAAGAAAGAAAATTAGTCTGATGTCTGTCTGGAGATACCATTACCACAAAGGGGAGAGGTGTTCTCCTCTTCCCCTTCTTCCTCTCTCCTGCCTCACATGGTCCCTCTAGAGATTCCCTAGACAGTGTTCTCAGCCAATATTGCTCTGTTCTGGTCCAGGCATGCTATAGGCATGCTTTTGCAGGGGCTAGCCTGGAACACTGTTTCCTCTGTCATGCTAGCCCATAGATATTAATTTACCAGAAGTGTGGCTTAACGGGAGCAAAACTAGGAGGGGTGGGAAAAACGACCCCCGACCTCGGAGAGAGCTGTGATCGGGATCCTATTTCCCATGCACTGGTGCACCCACCTGTGGCCTTTGTGCACAGGTATTCCCTGTGGACTCAGCAGAATGTTAATAATAACTAACACTTAATAACAGTACTTGTCACTTGTATTGCATTGCATGGTTTCTCAGATCACTTTTACATAGTCTCATTACTTCAACTAATCCTCAGGGAGTGAGGTATGTGGGGCAGATATATTATTTCTACTTTGCAAATGGGGAAACTGAGGCCCAGAGGACTTGCCCAGGGCCACCCAATTAATTAAGGCAGAGCTGAGAGGTGAACTCACGTCTCAGGATGTTGCACAAACCTGGGCACTGGCACATATAGGTGTTACCTGCACACACCTGAGGTGGATTTTTAAATTAAAAATTTTTTTTTTAATTTTGGAGACGAGATCTTGCTATGTTGCCCAGACTTGTCTCGAACTCCTGGCTCAGGTGATCCACCGTCTCCGCCTTCCAAAGTACTGGGATTACACGTGTGAGCCACCGCGCCGAGACCTGAGCTGGGTCTTCAAGGCAGAGGCTCTAAAAGAGCTGAGGCTGAACTGTCCCAAGCCTCAGCTAGAGCCTCACAATGAGGCCTTTTCTTGTGACCCCATGGGGCTGATCTTGGCGACCCCACCCAGGCCCCCGCCTCTCTATCGCTCTCCGGGGGTGCCGGGCTGCTCCTGCTGGGCAGAGGGGCCAGGCAGGGAGCCGGAGCCGGAGCCGGCGGCCTCGGGTGGGTCCGCGCCCGCAGGTGCGAGGAAGGCTCGGGCCGCCAGCCCATCCTCCGGACCCGCAGACCGAGGCTCGGGCCGCACGCGGCCGCCCCCTGGTGGACGTCGGCGTGTCGGGCACGGCGCAGTCACCCGGCCCCGGCGGAGGCGGCGGGTCTCGTGGCTCTCTCGGGCGCCCGCTCCCCCGCCGCCTCCCCCGCTCCCTCCACTTTGGGGATAATTTAACATGTTTCACACTAACTTTCCCGTAATGGCCGCGGAGCCTTTGGAAATGCAGCCTCCCCGCTTTATCGGCGGCTGCGCTAATGGTTATCTCGCAGCCGTGCCCCCGGCGATCCTGTCAGGAGTAAATAGAAGCTGACACAGTCATTTGCTTAAATCTTCTCCACACTTTTGCCGCATTTCCCTCCAGAGGATACCCCTGAAACAACAATTATTTGAAATGTCACGCGTTTCTGCCCCTGGGCTACCAACAAATGAACATTAAATCTATTAACAGCAAAAAAAAAAAAATTAAATGTTTACTTTTCGGAAGGTGTGAGGGGCCTGAGTCAGGGAGGGGCCTAAGGAGAGTCAGGGACAGGGACAGAGGCAGAGACAGAGACAGGGACAGGGACAGAGGGAGAGACGGGACAGGGACAGAGGGAGCGACAGGGACAGAGGGAGCGACAGGGACAGAGGGAGAGACAGGGACAGAGGGAGACACAGGACAGGGACAGAGGGAGAGACAGGGACAGAGGGAGCCACAGGACAGGGACAGAGGCAGAGACAAAGACGGAGGGAGAGACAGGGACAGAGTGAGAGACACTGATAGGGGCACCAGAGGCAGAGAGGGAGGCAGATGCCAGGCAGACAGCTCGGAGCAGGGGGACAGGGTCCTGGGAAAGGGGAGAGACAGACAGACAGGGATATATCCATAGATATATAGATATATCCATCTCCCTATCTATCTATCTCTCTCTCAAATTTAGAGAGAGAGATATACGTACATGCGTGTATATATAGAGAGAGCCCAAAGACACATAGAACAAGACAAAGCAGAAATTGAAACCAAAAAAAGACCACTGTGGAAAAACAGACTCCAAGACAGAAGGGAGGAGGCCAAGGCAGATGCCCAGAGTATGAGACACCAAAAAAGGCAGAAAGAGGCACCCTCCACCCATAAATGGCAGCCCTCCCACCCCGCATTTTTAAAAAGTTAAGTTAAAACCAGAACCCACAGCACGCTCTGCTAATGGTGCTCACCAGCTTAGGGTCTCACTCCCACAGCCTGGTCCTCTTTGGACCTTAGCGGGCCTTGCCTGGTCAGCCTATCCAGGAGGGGGAGGTCTCATGCCCCTCATCACTGGTCCAGCAGCAGAATGTGTGAAAGGCATGGAGACCTGGAAGCAGGAGATTTTGGGGACAGCAGAGCAGGTGTCACAGCAAAGCAGATAGGCCACTGCTGGCCTCACAGCGTCTCGGGCCCCATGGCCATGCTGGCCCACACCGCGGCTCAGTTTCTCCATCTGTACAGTGGGAAGCAGGTCCCTAAACCACTGCAGGCGACCCCAGTGAGCCTGAAGTGTTCTCACAAGTGCAGGGGCTCAGTTGTCCTCCCGTGGGCCCGTGTGACAGTGGAGAGAAGTCGTGCCTGGTCATGTGGAAGGATCTGAGGTGTGTGATGTCGTGCTTTGGTTCCCATAGGTCAGTGCCTCACTCATGCAGGTGTCTGTGGCCATAGAGCACCCCCAGTGGGGAACCGCCCAGGGCAGGGCAGGAAGCTCTCTGGTCATGGAGGGCCATGCCTGACACCAGAACCAGGGCTCAGTGAGGGTCCTTTGAAGGGTTTGAGGGGCAAGCAGTGGAGGGGTCAGTGAGGGGGGTCAGAGAGAGGGTCCTGGGAGAGGAAGGACAGCTGGAGGAGCCAGTGGGTGGGTGGGGCTGCATGAGGGGCTGGTGTGAGCTGTTCTCACTTCCTGACTCCTCCTCCCCTGGCGTCTCTCCCACCAGGGGACATTTTCTGTGACATTTTCTGTTGAAATATAAATGGGTTGAATTTCATCGTGTGAGGTGGAGGGCTCTCTGGGTCCTGGGCCAGGCGCCTCTGGATCCCTCTCTCGCCCCCTCCTGAGGACGGCGTGTCCAAGCTGGGGCTGCACCGCCCGGACCTTCGTTATGTGTTACTGGGTATGAACACTGGCTCCGTACACTCCATACACCAATAACTCATGTTCAAACACAAAAGCAAAGTTGTGACTTTGCTCTCACACGACTGCTTTAAATTTGCACATTTTAGCTGCATATGAACCCACACTCTGAATTCTACATGCCAAGCACACTCAAGTGTACACACAGATGCTCACCTTCCACATTCGAACATCACCTTGCACACTCAGACACATATCCAAGATCTCCTTCCCCCGTCCTCCACCCTGACCATGCCCACCCCCATCCTCTCACTCCAAAGGAGAATGGCAAAGGGTACGTATGGCTGGGTCACTGAGGCTGTGTCCCTGTCTGCATGTAAAGTTGTATATGTGTGCCTGTGTGTGTGACTGACAAAGAAAATATGCATGTATTTCTAAGTCTTTGAATGTGGACATGTTGCCGCATACAAGAAGACTCTGTGTGTGTGTGTGTGTGTGTGTGTGTGTGTGTGTGTGTGTGTTGGAGGGTTGTGTGCCCGTGTGGTTGTGTGTGACTGAGAGTGTGTGGTGGGGGTGTGGGGGGGTGAGTGCTATTTAAATGAAAAAGAAAGGAAGTGAATCAGGGTCGTTTCCATTTTAATTGTAAAACAGATAAGCACTAAACACTTTGAAAAAGTAAATGACTTGAGAATAATTACTCTCTATTACCCAGCGTCCCAGGGGGGCAGTTGGAGGAGCCCAGATGGCTACAAAAAATGGGATTTAGCAGAAAATTGAAGACATTATTCACCGTAACACATTATCAATTACCTTCATATCAATTACAATAACCTTACATTAGCGAGGGGCCCCGAGACCCTCAAGCCCCGAGACTGTGGAATCACTGCAGCCCTGTGGGGGGAGGGGCGGGAGGAGGGGTAAGAGGATGGGAGGGGACTGGGAGGGTCCTGCCTCCTTCTCTCTCCTGGAGATGCTGCCGGCTCAGGTCTCATACCCCATTCCAGGTCTCTATTCCCCAAATTCCTCCCAGCCCCATCACCCTGGGCTGGGGGGTCATGTGGAGGATGAAGTCTGAGAGCAGGAAGTAAGCTGAGGAGGTGAAGGGTAGGAAGGAGAGAGATGGACAGAGAGAGACTGAGGCCAGGAGGTGGAGGTGATGAGAGGCTGAGCAGGAGGGAAATGAAGGGATGGGAGGAAACGAGGGGGCGGTCTAGATGGGCCCAAGATATCTGAGAGGCTGAGGAGACAGAAAATTCAAAAGAATAAGGGGGACAAGGTACTGAAAAGTCACCTTTTAGAAATGCTGCCTTTACTCTGTGGTCATTTCCTAAGCCACCCACCCCTCCTTCCCTCCCCGCTCCTCCTCAGCACTTGGGGCTTTTCTAGCCTGTCATGTCTCCCATCACCCCCCACGCCCTGCCCAGTTAGTTTCTATGTGATTCTCTCCTCCCACCCCAGATTCTCTCTGATGAAGAGGATGAGGGGGCCCTCATGAGAAAGGGTTGGCTGTCACCTGCAGTAGGAACCTCAGAAGCAACACAAAGGGAAGAACTTCCTCGAGGAAGACTCCAACATTGAATCCACCTGTCTAGGCTGTGACCATCAGTGGGGAAAGGAGCCCGAAGGCTCCGCAAGGGCAGGGTCTGAGGTAGAGAGAGAATGAAGAGTGCAGTGATTCCAACCCTCACTGCTCCCTGTTCCCCCAGCCCCCACCAGCACACACGCCACCCTTCACTGGCTTGTGGGAAACCAGCCAAGCCAGGCTGCAGATCTGTCTTGCCCAATATGGTAGCCACTAGCCACGTGTGACATTGAGCACTTGAAGTGTGGCTCATCCAAATGGAAATGTGCTGTAAATGAAAAATACACACCAATTTGTAAAGATTTACTATGAAAAATGTAAAACATGTTAATTCTTTACAAAATATTGATTACATGTTAAGATGATATTAACTTGGCTATATTGGTTTACATAAAATATCTTATCAAAATTAAGCTGGGGCCAGGCACAGTGGCTCACACCTGTAATCCCAGCGCTTTGGGAGGCCCAGGCAGGAGAATTTCTTGAGCCTGGAGTTCAAGACCAGCCTGGGCAACATAGCAAAACCCCATCTCTAAAACAAATTTTAAAAATTAGCTGGGTGTGGTAGTGCATGCCTGTAGTCCCAGCTACTCTGGAAGCTGAGGTGGGAGGATTGCTTGAGCCCAGGAGATTGAGGCTGCAGTGAGCCATGATTGCGCCACTGTACTCCAGCCTGGGTAACAGGGCAAGACTTGTCTCTAAAAACAAACAAAAAGTTGGCTTGATGGTCAACTGGCTACTCTGGAGGCTGAGGTGGGGAAATTACAGAATTGCTTGAGCCTAGGAGTTCAAAGCTGCAGTGCTCCATGACTGCACTTGTAAATAGCTACTGCACTCCAGCCTGGGAAATATAGCAAGACCCCATCTCTAAAAGAAAACATAAATAACGACTTTTTTTTTTTTTTGAGACAGAGTCTCACTCTGTTGCCCAGGCTGGAGTATGGTGGCACATTTTTGGCTCACTGCAACGTCCGCCTCCTGAGTTCAGGTGGTTCTCATGTCTCAGCCTCCTGAGTAACTAGGATTACAGACATGCGCCACCACACCTGCCTAATTTTTGTATTTCTAGTAGGGACGGGGTTTCACCATTTTGGCCAGGCTGGTCTCAGGCTGGTCACAGCCTGGTCAGGATTACTCCTGACCTCAAGTAATCCGCCCACCTCAGCCTCCCAAAGTGCTGGGATTACAGGCCTGAGCCACCGCACCTGGCCAATAAGTATGTTTTTAAAAAGTAGGCTGGATGCAGTGGCTCATACCTGTAATCCCAGCACTTTGGGAGGCCCAGGCAGGAGGACTGTTTTAGTCCAGGAGTTCAAGACCAACTTGGAGTACAAAGCAAGACCCCATCTCTAGAATAAATAAAGAAATAGGTTTTTGGTTTTTTGTTTGTTTGTTTGTTTGAGACAGAGTCTCACTCTGTGGCCCAGGCTGGAGTGCAGTGACATGATCTCAGCTCACTGCAACCTCTCCCTCCCGGGTTCAAGTGATTCTCGTACCTCATCCTGCCTCAGCCTCATGAGTAGCTGGGACTACAGGCACATGCCACCACACCTGGCTAATTTTTGTATTTTTAGTAGAGACAGGGTTTCACCATGTTGGCCAGGATGGTCTCAGTCTCCTGACCTCATGATCCGCCCATCTGGGCCTCCCAAAGTGCTGAGATTACAGGCATGAGCTACTGCACCAGGCCTAAATAAATAGTTTTACCTTTTTTTTTAACCTTTTAAAGAGGAAATGTAGTCACTATAAAATTTTGAATTGCATATGTGGCTCACGTTATATTTCTATTGAACAGTGCTAGGCTAAAGCATCTGGGAAGGAAAGGGTTAAAGGGAGGAGCAAATTCTGGGTGTCCTCCCTGGGATTCACCCCAATGATGTTCTAGTTTTCCACTTCAGAGAAAGGAGCTCCCCAAGGACCAAACTTTCTGAGATGGAGCTGAGGTAGGAATGCCAAGATCCGCCTGTTCTTTTTCCTTTCCTGAAACCCAGCCCCAGATGTCAACCACCCAGGCCAGGATGTTTGTGGACACAGAAGCCCAGGAGTAACAGTCACAGCTTCCTACATACAGCTCTTTTTTCTTTTTCTTTTTTTTTTTGAGATGGAGTCTCGCTCTGTCGCCCAGGCTGGAGTGCAGTGGTGTGATCTCGGCTCACTGCAAGCTCCGCCACCCGGGTTCACGCCATTCTCCCACCTCAGCCTCCCGAGTAGCTGGGACTACAGGCGTCCGCCACCACACCCGGCTAATTTTTTGTATTTTCAGTAGAGATGGGGTTTCACTGTGTTAGCCAGGGTGATCTCAATCTCCTGACCTTGTGATCCACCTGCCTCAGCCTCCTAAAGTGCTGGGATTACAGGTGTGAGCCACCGCTCCCGGCCTAGATTTTCAATCCTCACAAACTCACTTACACATTCCCATTTCTCCCACAGGGCATGCATGCATGCACACACACTTCCTGCTCTTTTGCACAATCTCACATTCCCACAGGCCAGACACATGCACTCACACTGTCTGCCCTGTGACATCTTCATGTAGATATACATGCATTCACACATCCATGTGGACACATGCTTCCCACCCCACACACAGAGCAGGGTAAGGAGGACAGGCGGGGCAAAGTTGTCAACTTGATTCACGGTGTGTGTGTGTGTCCAGGGGAGTGTGAGCTAATAGTGTCCCCCTCCCCCAGGCTGGGCCCAGAGGACTAATTGCCAGTAATGAGCTAAAAGGAGCTCAGAGCTGGCCTCAGGCACCAGATGAAGATGTTTCCAGAGACCAGCCAGAATCTGTCCTGCTGTTTTGTTGATAGAAAATCCTTCTCCCCCGGTGTCCCCTCTCTGTCTCTGTCTCTCCTCCTGTGGCTCCCTCTGGTTCCTGCAGCCTCTGAGGGGTCCAGCCATACTCCACTCACTGCCTCTCCCATCAGCCTCTCAGCCTCCTTCTCCCAGTCATCCTGCCCCATCATGGCATTTGCCCTCCATCCTGCCCCCTTCTCTTCTCCCCTGTGGGGACCTCTCAGGGTATCCATTGCTGAGCAAGCAGATTCCCAAAGGCACGCTCCAGGGCTAATGGGGAAGGTTGCAAGGAGGTTGATTGTAACTGGATCTAAGAAAAATCTTTCCCGTAAGGAGATCTGCCCAATAATAGAAAGGGACAGAGCTGAGCTCCCTTCCATGGATACAATCAAGCAGCGCCCATTGAGGATGCTGCAGAAAAGACTGCCCCACTGGAAAGGTAGTTGCACAGGATGACCCAGGGGCCTCTTCCTGGGATTATTATGGTTACTTATAAGTTATTAATACAAACTTCACTAGTATTAATTATTATAGTTACCATAGGTTAAGTACCTATAAAATGCCAGGTACTTTACATTTTTAGTTAGCTCTCTTCATCCTCACAAAATCCCTGCAAGGTAGACGTTATTATCCTCATTTTACAGAGGAGTAAACTGAGGCTCAGAGAGGTCACATGGTTAGTCAGTTACAGAGCTGGAATGTGAACCTAGTCTGTCTAACTATAATACCCATGCCATTTCCACTAAAACTCATTCATTCATTCTCTCAACAAACATTCACTCATCAAATAGAGATCCTATGATGTTGCAAGTAAAGACTGAAAGGCATGGGCATCCTTAAACTAAAAGGAATTTGGGGGGAGGTGTGATGGTGGGAGCCAGTGTCTCAGTTTAGAATTGGAAGAAGAAAAATCCCCATGAGAGACTCCCTCTGCCTTCCCTAGGTGGTTGTATGTGTCTGGTGTACACACTTGCTTGCATGTGTCTACAGGGCAGGCATATCTGCATGTATTTCAGTAGAGACGGGGACATGGGGACACTCAAAGAGCCAGCAGCTCTGGGTGAGAGCTTGGGAGCATGATAGCCTGGTGTCCCAGCCTGGTGATTACTGGGGCAAATGTGTTTCTAGGGCAGCCCACTCCCTGCTTTTGGCACATCTGAGTCATTCAGCGAGGGCCAGGCCCAGGCCCAGGCCAGACGGACTCTGGGGGCAACAGGATCTGAGGCCGTGTATGTACTCTTCAGCTCCCCTTTCTCCACCCTCAACCCTATATTGGGAGCAGGGGTGGGCAGAGGGGAGGGAAGGAAGGAGAGAAAAGCAGGGACAGTGGTCAGTGTCGGAGAGGGCAGGGGTGACACCCAGAGATTTGGAAGCTGTTTATGATGCAAATATGTGTAAAAGCTCTGCATTACCTCCCCTGAGAAAGAAGCCTAAAATTGAAGTCTAATTATAATGAATGATTGTTAATGAGTTGTCTAAACATAATAGATGGAAAGAATTAAACACCCAGAAGAAACAGGGTTTCATTAACGCACAATAAAGAAACCACAAGTGGGGTGAGCAGAGCCCTCCCCTGTCGTGGAAAACATCGCCTCTTTCCCCTATATGGGCCTGGCAGGTGGGAGCAAGGCCAGGCCCCCAAAATTGGGAAGCTTGGGATCTTTAGGTGATCCTGAATGCTGGAGGCACTCTCGACAAGGGTGGGTACTGTCTGGGCCCACACCTGCTTGGGTGTGCCTCTGCATGGGTGCCCACTTTAGGCATGCTGTCTGCAGCCTGTAAGAGTTTGGTCATAGCAAGTGGGTGTGGACGTGAGTGAGTATGTCTGTTTCTATAGTGGGCTCCAGTCGATGGTGCCATGTGGAATCTTGGAAATGCATGCCCCTTCCAGGTCAAGAGCAGCCTCTGGGCTTTGGTGGTTCTGCCCCAGCACCTCAGCAACCTGGGAGGAAAAACAGCTGGGAGAGGACACACACACCTGTATACACATGTGTGTACAGTTCTGAAGGTCACACTCACCTGAACTCAGAAAGCCGGAAGGAAGAAGAGTAGAGATCATCTAGTCTGAACCAGACCACCATGCAGATGAGGCCCCTGAAGCCCAGAGAGGGAAGGTGGCAAGTCCAAGTGCACACAGCTCAGAGCTGGACCTCATACACCTCCAGTTTGCTCTGGTTTTTAGAACGGCCATTTCTCACGAATGCATGGTTTGGAGTAAGGCCACACACACAATAAGATACTGACCTGCATACACACATACCACACACAGGCGACAGGCCCCAGGCTCTCCTGGGTAAGGTATGAACATTTGGGGGTTTTGGGGAGGCAACAGAAGCCATGCTTCTGTAGGGGGAGGCTGGGCAATGCCAAGTGGTCCCAGGGTGGCACAATGTGCAGGAACACACGTAGCATGGGCTGATGCAGGGCAGAGCCTGAGAGCTGGAGAGAAGCGGGCTTTGATTGACAGGTTAATGAAGCGCTTTATACTGGTGGTGTAACTGCAGAGGCAGGCTGTGAGCAGGCTTGCGCACACACACCCACACACAAACATACACACCCTGACACACAGGCGACACCCAGCAGGGCAGGAGCCAATCTGGCCAACCTCCCGAGTGGCCTCCCCACACCCAGCAGGACGCCCTCTCTACACTGCTACCCCTTACTTCCCTTGGTTCTTGTGGGTTTGGTGTAATTCTGGAGTCACGTTGATTTAGTTTGGGTCGTGCATGGTTGGGGAGGTGGGGGAACCAAGGGCACCTGGTTCTCTGTACTCCCTGTTGGGGTGATCTCCTCCACTGAGGGATAAGGACAAGACTCCCTCCAACACTGAACCCAAACACCTAGGCCGGCTTCTTGCTGGAGATGGGGGTGGCTTGGGCATGGGAGTTATTCTGGATGAACATGCAGGTCTTTAGCCCATCTTTTCTAGACGCACCCCAGGCAGGGCAGCCTACCCTCCCCACACCTTCGTCCTTCTTATGACCCCGCCCCCCTTGGAGCCAACACTGATTGGCTGCCATGCAGGCAGTGCCGGCCAACCAGCCCCCGCAGCGCCAGGAAAAGTTAATTTGGAGTTCTGGTCTCCTCCCAGGATGCATTTGGGCGGCCGCCCATAATGAGATGCATAATTGCGGAGGCCTGCCAACAAAAGCAGGCTGGATTTAATTGAGTCAACGCATGGCCATTAATAATCTGACGGCAGTCCTCCCCCACCCCCACCCCACCCCCGCCCGACATCATCCAATGCTTTGCAGCCCCCAGTTTACTGGGCTCCCATCCCGGGCTGGTCTCCTGTTCCAGGGAAGCAGGTCTGACCATTCCCCAGCCTGGCCCAGTGCATAGAGGCTGAATAGAGAACCCAAACTCTCCTAGAATATCTCATGGTAAATCTGCCCACCTCCTAACCAAGAACACCTGTACCCAACCAAGCTCTTTCCCCATTCAGTCATTACACAACGACATCCTAAGCCCCTACCATGTGCTAGGCACTGAGCTTGGATCTGGGGAATACAGCAGCCAACACAGATATGGCCAACTCCTTGGAATTTAGTGTCACCATCAACTGTCTTGTTACACCCTTTTCATGCTCCTGACACTCATACCTGTCCCTACATGCCCATATCCACACCCACAACTCCACATACCAGCCCTCATACCCCATCTCTACTTGCCTGCTCCCTATACCTGTCCTCATGCCCTGCCCCACACGCATCCCTTTTGACTTATTCAGATCCTACCCACAATATACCCTTTCCCATATTAGTGTCCTCAGTGTCTATTCTCCCATACATGTCCCCGGATCTCCTGCCTGTCCTCATATGCACAATTCCCATAGAGAACACTGTCCACATCCCCTCCCCACATCAGCTTCCCTCCAGGGAGCTCACACTGGGACAGGCTTTCAGGGACCCTGCCAGGCCTGCTTCAGGGGAGTCCTCTCCCTACCATTCCCACCCACCCCACCCCCGACCTGATCCCCTTCATCAGCCCACCTACCATCACAGGCCCCCAAACCTCATCCACACTCTCCAAGTGGGCTGATTTCCTTGAGCTGAGCCTGCATCTGTATAATGGGGAGAATATTTGTAAAAGACTCATGGGCTTGCTGAAATGATGATTTTATGAGATAATGCGGGTCACCGGCTTAGCACAGAGCCTGGCATGCATGAGCACTCCCCAGTGTTAGCTGTTGACTTTAGCTGGGAGGAAATAATCGAGTAAACTCCCCACACCAGGCTCGGGACTGCCTAAACCTCTCAGTGACCTTCAGGATGATCTGTTTTTCATAGGATTTGCTTGAGAAAGGCCCAGCCCAGCCCGAGTGATTGAAACTCAAATGGGAGGAAAAGATCTCCCAAGAAAGCCTGCTTGTTTGTGTTCTCACCTATCCCCTCCTACCCCGCTCCCATACCTCATATACCTGTTTGTCCACTACTCTCCCTCAAAGTGGGTCTGGAGTGTGTGGAAGGAGGGAACTGGACAACGTTCTCCCACCCACTGCCTTCCTTCAGTAAACCTCTCCTAAGGTGGAGATAGGTTAATCTGGCTTTGGAATGGAGTGTGGGTGGGGTCTTGGGGCCCTGGGAGCTGAAATTTCTCATGAAAGGACAAGAAGAGGGCTCCCCTTCCCACAGATTCCTCCGTTTCCACTGGAAACTCAAGGAGTCAAAGGAAGATGGGGAAAAGGCCACGTCTTAGGGAGAGGAAGTGGCATAGGAGAGCTGGGTGTAAGCCTCGTACTCCCATCTGCCCCTCTAACCTCCCTGGTTGGGGGTAGGAGGCGTCTGGGGGTGGACGCTGGGGAAAGAGAGATACCCTCTGTCCCACTCCCTGAGCCTCTCCTTCCAAACCAGGGTCGGGCCGGCGGGCTTCCGGGAGGAGGTGTCAGGGCTGCGCTCTCTGGGGCCGACAGGCGGGAGCGCACGGGCACGCGGCTCCTCTGAGAATCCCCGTCACCGCCGAAATCGCCGAAATTGGCTGCAACTAGTAAAGATGCCAGGAATTTGCACCTTGCTCTGTGACCTAAAGCAAAAATGACATGAACATTGACAAATTTGACAAGGAAATTTGTGCAAAAAACAACTTCTATTTGGCTAGCCAAGCAGCAAATATGCCGGATGATACGCTTTATTAAGCAATCCATTTCTCAGCAATAGCGGCGCCATCTGCAAAGGTTACCGCGCATCAGGCTCGGCACAGAATTTCATCTGCGTCTGCAGTCGGGGCCGCACGCGGACACATTTTTCATGTACATGCGATTCCGGATGCAAATAGAATCCGTGATGAAGGAGGTGACCTTCCGGGCGGAGCCGCGCGCGCTAAAGTCACGCGCAGGCCCGCGGGGAGCGGGCGGGGCAGGCGAGCGTGAGGCACTGCGTGGGTCTGGGGCTGAGGCTGGACCACCAGGGGGTGAGGGAGGGGTCAGAAGCGCGGGTCGTTGGGGGAGAGATCACAGATCTT
This sequence comes from Homo sapiens, assembly GCF_000001405.40. NCBI lineage: Eukaryota > Metazoa > Chordata > Mammalia > Primates > Hominidae > Homo > Homo sapiens. The sequence continues at coordinate 100,659,307 of NC_000010.11, read as the reverse complement.
TGGGTCTTTTCGTTGGAGGTCTGGAAGGAATTTAGGAGGGCATTGGCTCAACCCTCTCACAGATGTGGAAACTGAGGCCCAGCACGGGAAAAGGTCTTGGCCAAGGTCATACAGGTTAGTAATGGTAGGACTGAAGCTAGGCCCGGGGAACCTTGACTTTCAGTCCAGCCGGCAGGCAGGACTCAAGAGTGCAGTGGTTTATATATCTGGGTTCAATTGTTTCATTACTGCTAACTGTATAACTTTTGAGCCAATCAATAAACCTTTCTGCGCCTTCGTTTCCTGTTCTGTCAAATGGAGATATGCTATTGCCCACCTCATAGACTGGTTATGAGGACTGAGTCAATACGCATAATAATAATATAATAATAATGTGTGGCCAGGCATGGTGGCTCACGCCTGTGATCCCAGCACTTTGGGAGGCCGAGGTGGGTGGATCACTTGAGGTCAGGAGTTCGAGACCAGCCTGGCCAACACGGTGAAACCCCATCTCTACTAAAAATACAAAAATTAGCCGGGCATGGTGGCACACGCCTGTAATCCCAGCTACTCGGGAGGCTGAGGCATGAGAATCACTTGAATCCAGAAGACAGAGGTTGCAGTGAGCCAAGATCTCACTACTGCACTCCACTCTGGGCAACAGAGCAAGACTCTGTCTCAAAACAAACAAGCAAATGGATAATGTGGTGCCTTGTTCTTGGGTTAGTCCAGGCTCTCTTTAAGGTAATCTTATGAAAAACAGGCAATCCTAAAAGCTGACTTGCAAGGGGAAGGCACTGAATGGAAAGCTCTTGTGGAGGCAGAATGGGTATAGGTGGGGAGAAATGGGTGAGTCACAATGGGGTGGTGGCAGATGCCTTATCTCTCTTAGAAGGAAGTCCCCTGCTCCCTTCTCTGCTCCCTCCACCCCCTCTTTATTTTACCCCATTTTACAGCCACCTCCCCATGAAAAGAAATAAATTGCATCTTCGTTTCTTACTCCCAGTCTTGTTCAGTTATTCACATCTACTCCAATTTGGCTTGTGGTCCATTGGGACCCCAAGGTCTGTCTGTCTTTCATGATTCCCCATCATGCTTGTGCTCTCAGTTATTGTTCATTCTTTTTGGTTTTCTATTGAGTGAGGGGTCACTCAGGGAGGTGCTGTGCTTCTCACTGATAAAGCCACCCCAATGATGACGTCTCCTTCTCCCACCATGAGTGGCCTAACCCCCACACCTTTGGTAACAATTTCTGATTTCAGATAAAATTCCACTTCTCTCACTGGTCTACATTACTCACTCTCATGATTTTCCTTTTCTCTAAAGTCCCTCCACTCCCTTCCCAACTAAGACTAGTACACTGATGGTACATAAAGAAATTATGGTGTTAATTTTACTCTCTGGTGGTCCCCTCACCCCCACCTCCCCAGCTTAGGGTCCCTCTCTACAGTTCTTAAAACTCCTAGGGAGAGTTCAAGCACCAGTGCCCACCCCTCGACCCCAGTGTTTTTGGAATGGACAAGGTTTACTGCTCACTGGGTCTAGTTCCTCTGTGATTCTTGCACCCTGCCTCCCCACCATCCTCCATACAGTTCTCAAACCCACAGCACTGCCCCCCAACGCCCATAACTATGGGGAAGGTTTGGAGTATGACAGACCTGGCCTCCAAGGTAAGCTTCCAAACCTAGCAACACTGTGATCTTAAGCCAATCAACCTCTCCGAACCTCATTTTTCTCATCTGCATAATGGGGGATATTGATAGTAACAACCTCTAAGGCTGTTGGAAGGTTTCCACGACATAAAATATGATAAATCAATCATTAAATAAATGGATTTCTGCTTCTATTTCCATTTGGCTTCCCCTACTCTCAGCGGCTGTGCAATCTCTCCATCCCTTTGCCACCCTCCACCCCGTAAGTTTATTTTGTTTGTTTGTTTGTTTGTTTGTTTTTTCCAAAGGGCCAGGTTTTCAACCAAATGAAGATCCAATCCTACCCCAAGTCCTCACCTCGGGACTCAACCTGGATTATGGAACAGAAGTCAGAGATATGTTTGTTGGTTTGTTTAACCTTCATGAAGCACCTACAAAGTGTTAGCTGAGATGAGCTCTCATCTATCCCCACCTCTACCTCCAAAGTAGCTGCAGGCACAGGTCAGCCACGCCAGGAGGTGGTACTGGAGTGCCCTACCTCCTCCAAGTACCCTGAAGCATGGCAGCTGAGGTCTTGCCTCTGGCAAGAGATGATGGAGCGGGAAACCACCAGAAAACATTCTAGAGGTAGAAGGAGGGCCCATCTGCGGCCTTCGCTCTCCTGCTGTCCTTTCCTCTCCATCTTCTTTCCACCCCCAACAAACCCCCCCCACCCTCCGCCTCTAGGGTTCGCGTCCAGCTCGAGGATTCCTTGACCGCCCTGTGCAGCAGTTTCGCAAGGCCACCTCGGGGGCGGGTGCAGGAGGAGGTGCCCGCAGGGCAGAACAGCCCTTCCGCAGCACCTCTTAGGTAGGGAACCCCCAAACCCTAGCCCCAGCGCCCTGCAGTTTCTCGCCAGGCCAGAAGGCCGGTGGGGCGGGGCCTGGGGCGAGGGGCGGGGCCCCAGTTCTGCCCGCCCCTTCGCCCGCCGCTGCGCCCCGCCCGCCGCGGCCCTAGCCGGCCGGCCCGCCCCTTCCCCCGGCCCGGGCACGCTACAGTAATCCAGAATGTGTATTTCTGCAGATGATTAAATCAATACAATCCTGACAGGACTTGTTGGAACATGCTTCTTTATTTTGCGCAATTCCTTCCCCGCGTCGCCGGCATTTATCACCTGCTCGGCTGTCAGCGCCGAGATTGTGCGGGGCGAGGGCGGGGCGGGGTGGGGTGGGGGAGGGAAGCTCCGGGGGGTGGGGGCTGGGACCCGAGGCGGGCGGAGCGGACCCGCCGCCACCCTGCACCCACGCCAACGAATAAACTTAGGGGTCGGGCTGTGCCCCCAACCCACGCACTGCCCGCGCCAGTCTCCCTCTGTCCGGGTGGGTGAGGGCGGAGGACAGGGAGACGGGATGGGGCCGGGAGGCAGGGGAGGCCGCAGAGGCAGGAAGCCAAGGGCCGCTCCCGTACACCCCTTTACACGCCGAGCCCCCACTCGAGGTCACAGCCCCGGCGAACGAGACTCCCGCGAATCCTCTCACCCTCCTCTGACCTTGGTCCCTGCAGCTGGGGACCCTTGGAGGTGGGATGGGGGAGAGGAGAATGGGGCTCCACTGCCCTGGGGATCGGTGGACCTCGGCCCGCTGGCCAGGGAGAGAAGGATGGAGGTTTGAGGCAGGAAGAGGAGGAGAAGGGTAAAGAAGAGCAGGGGGAAGCGGAGGACAACTTGGAGGAAGCAGGGGAGGAGGGAGGAGAGCAGAAAAGGGAAGAGGAAGGCTGGAGGGCGAGGAAGAGGAGGAGGGGAGGCAGGCAAGGAGGAGGACGAGGAGGAAGGCTCGGAAGCGGTGGCGGCCGGTGACAGGTGCCTCGCGGTGGCGGCCCTCGGCAGACGTGATTGCCGCGGTGGCTGCGCGCCGGAGCGTGACTTTACAACTAATCCTGTTTGTAAGTTATTATTTATCTTCAGGAAAGTTTGTCAAACTTGGGCTTTGATTTTTCGCCCTGATTTCCCTCTTGTGGCGCGCTCTCGCACGCGCTCCCATATAATTTATGACTGCCTCTGGTCCTGATGACAGATTATTAAAAGTAGAATTAGTTTTTCGCGCAGAATTTTTCCACTGGGAATTGGGAAGGCAGCGCTCTCCGCGGAAGGTCTCCGGCGAGGTCTCCATTACTAATAGAAGTTTTTTGATGGGGTGAGGAGACTAATGATTTGAATTTACTGTGGCAGCAGTCACGTGGGCGGGAAGGCATCAGCCGAAGAGACAAGAGGTTAACTTTCTCCCTGTGGAGAGGTTTATTGGATTGTTTAGCAGCAGAAGGATAATGTTTTTGTCATAGACTGCTGGTGCCGCGCTGCAGTGCGGTGGCCGCCAGCGCCGGGAGAGGGGAGAGGGGAGAGAGGGGGAGGGGGGAGCCGAGGAGACCGCGAGAGGCAGACAGACCGACGGACGCAGGCCGGGCGAGCCAGGGAGCTGCAGGGGCACCCGCACGGAGACACAGCGAGGCGGGGGAGGGCGACAGAGGCAGAAGGACTCCAGAGAGACCGAGACGCAGAGTGACAGACAGAAAGACAACAGCCCCAAGAAACACTGCAGAGAGAAAGAGGGGAGGGCTAGGGGAGCGACAACCAGAGGGCAGAACCACAGCGCGACAGGAAGGAGTGCAGGGGCGGGAGGGCCGCTCCCAGCTGCCAGGGACTAGAGAGAAGGCCCAGGAGGAAGACGGGGGCCCGGGGACGTCCAGGGCCGCCGTCGAACCCCGGGGTGAGGGGCGATGGTGACCCCAGGGCCGGGCCGCTTCCACCCGGGCTATCTGCCTGGGTTTCCGGGAGGCGCAGGCCGCGCCGGCGTCACCAGTCCCGCCGGGGTGGGCCAGTCGGGACCCGCGGGAGGGGGCTAGGGGGGGTGGGGAGTCGCGCGGCGACGGCGGCGGCGGCGCGTTCACCTGGCCGTGCGCTCGGAACTTGTACTCCCAGCATGCCTCGACAACATGGGAACCGGAGGGGAGTCGCTGCGCAGCTGAGAGCCTCGGCTTAATCTTATGCACCATTAAGCACTCAGCAGCAAGCCCGTCCTGTTCATATACATCATCCACGCTTAATAAACATAATGATGACATAAGATGTAATTCTAGATGAATTTTCATTTTATAGGGAAATGGAGAATTCCTGTAGAAGGGAAAAAAAGTAAATTATCTGGGAAGTGCAAAATAAATGATGTTGCTCCCAGAGATGAATAGAGGTGTTAGAGGGAGAGAGGGAGAGGAGGAAGGAGGGAGGGCGGGAGCGAGGGGAGAGAGAGAAGGAGAGACACAGAGACAAGGAGAGATAGAGTCACACAGAGAGACAGAGACGGGGCAGAGAACGCCACGCGGGTGTGGGGGTGGGGCGGGCTGCGGCGACGTGGGGGAGGAACCCGGAGGGCTGGAGGCGGCAGGCGTCTGGGTGGGAGCCGCGGGGGGCCGGGGCCAGCGTTTGGCGGAGGGGCCGAGGGCTGGGGGCGGCAGCGGCCCGGGCCGAGGCGAGGGTGACGGTGACGGACGGGGCCGGGCCGGGCGGCTCATTCATCAAGGGAAGGATCAGGGGCCCGCGGAGTCACTTACGGGCGGAAATTGAATTCTGATGAAAGCGCGGAGAGGCGAGGGCGGGGGAGCGAGGACCAGGCTGGGGCAGAGTTCCCAGACTTGCTAAGGGGGAGGGAGAAGGGCCCGCAGAGACTTTCCAGATTGAAGTCCACGCCTCCTTCCTGTCTGGAACCCACCCGACCCCCACCCGCATGCCCAGTCACCTCGCAGGGCTGTCCTGCCCGGCTTGGGAAAGTGGTGAGGCCTGAGGATGAGGCCAAATCTAGTGGAAGCCCTCTCCCTGTGGATTTTGACTGCCAGGTGCCCTGGTCTGACCAGGGAATGGCTGTGGGAACGGGGGATGAGGTCAGAGAAATAAAGGGGGCCCTTCAGTGAGAGAATTAGAGGGAAAGGGGGTAAGAATAGTTAATGGAGATTTGGTGGTGGAACTTCAATGAGTCAGGGAGGGGAAGGGCAGCTACATGGAGGGGGTGCAAAAGGGTCAGGGTAGTTAATGGAGGAAGCCAGGGAGAGGGTCTTGGGGGCTAAAGGGATATGGTGGAGGGTCGGGTGAAGGGCTTGGGGAATCCCTGGTGGGAGGGACAGTGTAGCTAATATGGAAGGCTGGCCGGGGAGAGGAGAAGTGGGGCTGTCAGCATATTAACTGCAGAGACTTCCCCTATTAAGAGGGAAGCACCTGGTGAATGAAAACAGCAGCCTGGATAACACTGACAGGGGTCCCGGGATGGATATGGGGAACCCCCCAGGACAGCATGGGGCACAGTCAGTTCCATCCAGCGTCTCCCCCTGTGAATGGGGACCTCTCAGCTGGCAGGAAGACCCCAAGCTTCTCCTGCTAAGGGAATGAGGTGGACAGTTTCTGCTGCCCCAGGCAGAGAAAGAAGATAAAGACAGGAGCCATGGAGAACTGGGGCTGGGGTTTAATTCTGCTGGGTTGGGCGAGGGAGAGGGGCTCCAAACAGGAGCCTCCCCCAACCCCCGCCCCCCGGGCACATGTGTCCAAATCCACCCTAACTCTCCACATGCTCTGCAGTCCGCCACTAGCTGGTCCACAAAGCCTTTGCGAACTGCTCCTTCCCCTCACTCAGGGGTACTCAAAGCCTGGTGCCCAAAGAGAATGGAGCCCAGCAGGTCTGGTCTGCAGCAGGTAAAGAGAAGGGACAAGAAATTCCTGTTGCAGAGGCAGAGAAATCATGCTCCAGGAGTCACTGTGCTGCCGGTAGTCATGGTGAGGTCCAGCATGAAAGCCTTAGAGAAAATGGCATTAAATCTGGCTTGATGGGCTTTAAGACCCCAACCCGCAGAAAATGGGATGGGGTAAGGCTAATGGTGGCATCTGAGGTAGAAGAAAGAGCATGGACAAAAGAGGGAGAGAACCAGCTCATGTTCCTATTTGCTTGGGTGGGGCTCAGGAGGGATATGGAGGGGCTGGGGGAGGCATCATTGAGAACCAAGGACAGAAAAGCAGGTTGAGGGGGAAGGGAACTTCCTATTGTGAAGGGCTTGTTCTGTCTGATAGCAGAAGGAATACAGGCTTTATTGTTTGAGGAGTGGGGAACCATAGATGGTTTCTGAACTATGGGAGAAGAAGTTACAGTTGTGGTTTGGGCTGATTACACTGATAGAAGAATGCAGGAGGAAAAAGGATAAGTGGGGGGTCACGACAAGGATGACACTTTGCCGGTGTGCCTGGATGTCCCACCTCCTGGAGGACATCAAAGAGGTGTGACAGAAGAAGCCCTCTCCAAGGAGGCCTCCCACTCTTCATCACTTCGACTCCTGGGTTCCTTTACCTCAGGATTTCAGCTCTGAATGATTCTCTCCTCCAGACCTTCAGCAAACAACTGGAACCTCTGCTAGCCACCCCATGTTTCCTGCAGTGACGTGTTAAGAGGGTAGTGGGCTTCAGACCTGTGGATATGTGGGTGAGGGCATTATTGTAGCGATGTGACTTATTGGTTCTGTCCTTTCCAGCTGAGTGGTCAACTGGAAGAAGGTGGGGAGTAGAAGGTGGTGAGACTGGTGAAGGTGGTGGGAGTGGCAGAGGTGGCGGGATTGGTGGAGGTGGCGGGAGTGGCAGAGGTGGTGGAGGTGGCGGGGGTGGTTGGAGTGGGGAAGGTGGTGGGAATAGTGGAGGTGGTGGGGGTGGTGGGAGTGGGGAAGGTGGTGGGAATCGTGGAGGTGGTGGGGGTGGTGGGAGTGGGGAAGGTGGTGGGAATCGTGGAGGTGGTGGGGGTGGTGGGAGTGGGGAAGGTGGTGGGAATCGTGGAGGTGGTGGGGGTGGTGGGAGTGGGGAAGGTGGTGGGAATCGTGGAGGTGGTGGGGGTGGTGGGAGTGGGGAAGGTGGTGGGAATCGTGGAGGTGGTGGGGGTGGTGGGAGTGGGGAAGGTGGTGGGAATCGTGGAGGTGGTGGGGGTGGTGGGAGTGGGGAAGGTGGTGGGAATCGTGGAGGTGGTGGTGGGGGTGGTGGAGGTGGTGGGACTAGCGGAGGTGGTGGGAGTGGTGGAGGTTGCGGGATTGGTCAAGGTGGTGGGAGTGGTGGAGGTGGTGGGAATGGTGGAGGTGGTGGGAGTGGGGAAGGTGGTGGGAGTGGTGGAGGTGGTGGGAGTGGTGGAGGTGGTGGGAGTGGGGAAGGTGGTGGGAATAGTGGAGGTGGTGGGAGTGGTGGAGGTGGTGGGAATAGTGGAGGTGGTGGGAGTGGGGAAGGTGGTGGGAATAGTGGAGGTGGTGGGAGTGGGGAAGGTGGTGGGAATAGTGGAGGTGGCGGGAGTGGGGAAGATGGTGGGAGTGGGGGTGGTGGTGGGGGTGGTGGAGGTGGTGGGACTAGTGGAGGTGGTGGGAGTGGTGCAGGTTGCGGGATTGGTCGAGGTGGTGGGAATGGTGGAGGTGGTGGGACTGGTGGAGGTGGTGGGAGTGGGGAAGGTGGTGGGAGTGGTGAAGGTGGTGGGAGTGGTGGAGGTGGTGGGAGTGGTGGAGGTGGTGGGAATGGTGGAGGTGGTGGGAATGGTGGAGGTGGTGGGACTGGTGGAGGTGGTGGGAGTGGGGAAGGTGGTGGGAGTGGTGGAGGTGGTGGGAGTGGTGGAGGTGGTGGGAGTGGTGAAGGTGGTGGGAATAGTGGAGGTGGTGGGAGTGGTGGAGGTTGCGGGATTGGTCGAGGTGGTGGGAGTGGTGAAGGTTATGGGCGTGGTCAGTGTGGTGGGATTGGTCAAGGTAGTAGGAGTGGTGAAGGTGGTGAGCACCGAATGCTCATTACTTTTCCAATTAATCCAAATAAGAGCAGTCTGCAGTTATGTTCTGGGCTCCTTGCCAAAGCGACCCTCACATCGTGGCCATTTGGCACTAGGAGAGGGTGCAACTTTGAGGGTGTGGAGCCTTGAAGGGGTCTCCTGCCTGCCCATTTGGGAGTACGTTTGTTCAAACTCATACAGGGCGTTGGAGTGTCAGCTGGCTGGTCAGCCACCTGGCTGGTCCTCACAGGGTCAGAGGGCACACTCAGGGAAGGAGTAGAAGGAAATGATTCCTCCAACCCTGCAGTGCCAGTGCCATCAGCTGTAGGTATATTAAGAGGGGTGCCATGCGCCCCTCAGGAAGGAATGGGTCTTTGCAATAGAGCTAAGTACTCTACGCCAGGCAACCTGAGAAGGTACACAAACACCCGCAATCTCCCCTTCTCCTCTCTGTCTTTACCCATATCGTCTATGTGACTATCCACCTTAGACATGTACAACACGCCCAACACATACAGCCAGACATGTAGACAATTCCACATGTATGCATAGGCAGGGCCTCCTAAGCAAATCCACAATAGCCATTTGTGTTTGCCATTACAATGTGTCTGTATGAATCATTGCTTGAATGATCACAGAGTACGATTATATATCACAATATCACGAGTACACAACTTCACAAGTACACGCAGGAACATGAATATAAATGTATATAGGGATTCATTTACACATACATGAACATATACCTCATGCCCTGTTCATGTACCCCAGGGGTTCTTTTTAAAAAGAGAGGAACATAATGGGGCAAGTGGGGGTGGGGAATATGGTGGGGGGAGCATTTGAAATTGCAAGAACGACAGAAAAGTAATGAGCTGAAAAACCCAGGCCCAGCTCCTGCCTGCCCCCCACCCCTCAGTAGGCCCTCCGTGAAGGGCCCAGTGCCACGGTCCCCTCACCTCCCTTAGAGCCCGAGTTTTAATTTGGGCGGCGTAATTTTTGTGCGAACGGTTGGGCGCCTTTCGTTGGGAAATTGGGAGGAATGCAAACAAGATTTCACTTCATTAAACAGGGGCAAACAGTAGAGAAATTGCACTTACTTATGGAAATGACTTTTAAACATGCACAGCATTTACTGGCACTGCCCGCGCTGAAATTCTTCGAGGATTATACATGTGAATAATTCACCGCGGGCCAATTAGAACCCACTCTGTCCCTAACCCCCCCCAGCCCCCATCCCACCCCATCTTGATGATGGCCCAGCCTCCTGCCTCTTCCAGCTCCCCGTCTTTCCCTCTCATTCCTAGTCCTGCATGATGGGAAGTAGGCTGTCACACACACGTTTAAGAGACACCTCAAACATGGTGACACACAGGTATGATAACACCTCAAACATGTTCAAATACACACAGACACACAACGTGCAAACTCACAGGGTGAAACACTGTGATGCCTCGACATGGCCACACGCAGATACATTTTGATGACTCAAACATGTCAATACACACAACAAACATGTCAATACAACTCAACAATGGTTAGAAATAGGCTTTGGAACACCTCGAACATGGCAATACACATTGTGACAACTTAAACATGAGGCACCTGATAAACACTGTCATATAAATACATCTGTGTTTATGTGTACTCATACAGGGTCATGATCAAAACACAATGATTCACAGACACACATTGTAACAACATAAACATCTGATAACTCAAACACAATGCATATACATTGTGCCAACTCAAACAGAGAGAGACACACTAGGTTGTTAAAACACAAATGTATTGACATGCGAAGATAACTCATGACAACTCAAACTTTGAGTCATATACAGACATGTTGTGATCATTCAAACCCGGTAATACCATCATAATTTGGGGGCAATTCGGAAAAGAGAACACAATTACACACATTGCGTCAACTCAAAACTGATTACACACCTTGATATCCCTGAGAACTAAAACCTGGCAACATATATAAGCAAGGGGAATACAAGGATATGCTCACGGTGACCGTTTAAACATAATGACCAACTCACATTCTGCCTCCTGAAACATGCTGGCTCATGAGAATACACGGCAACTCAAACACGGCAACACATATCAGGGCTATTCAAACATGGTAAGATAGATTTAGGCATGCATTTCCTCAACTCAGACATCAGGATAATTCCAGTGTCACCCACGTTTTGAAAAATATGGTACACACAGAGCACATTATGAAAATCCCAACATGGGCTGGGTGTGGTGGCTCATGCCTGTAATCTCAGCATTTTGGGAGGCCAAGGTGGGCCAATCACCTGAGGTCAGGAGTTCAAGACCAGCCTGGCCAACATGGCGAAACCCTGTCTCTACTAAAAATACAAAAATTAGCCAGGCGTGGTGGTGCATGCCTGTAATCCCAGCTACTTTGGGAGGCTGAGTCAGGAGAATTGCTTGAACCTGGAAGGCGGAGGTTGCAGTGAGCCAAGATTGTGCCATGGCACTCTAGCCTGGGCAACAAGAGTGAAACTCCGTCTCAAAAAAAAAAAAAAGTCCCAACAGGATGATATTCACTTGTGACATATTAAATATTCACGTATTTGCATGCTATATGAAGGCAAACATAGGGATACAATTTCTGTGACAACTCAGACATGTTGACACACAGGTGAGGGTGAGACACATTCACAGGTTATGACACATGAAGACAATCTAGAAACAAAAGACTCAGCATTGACACAAAAATAAACTGAAACAGCAAATGCAAACATACTCTAACCCTTGGACTTGCAAATGATCCAACAATACACAAATGACAAGCAGAAACTCTGAGACATAATGACGCTCATAACTGATACATAGTAACACTTATACACAAGTGCACTGGCCACTGCCACCACCCTCACTGACAGACACACCTTGACCCCTAAACTCCCCAACACCAGCCAAACCCCTAGTCACTTAATCTAATTAAGAGTACAGAAGATGTCGTAGTAAAAACAAGGCACTAGACACCAAGCATGAGAGTAGGGCTGAAAAAGGAGTAGAGAGAAATAGGGTGTCATCTGTAAACCCAAGATAGAACTCACATGGAGAAGGAATGTTTTAAGAATAATGATGGCGGCAAGGTGCGGTGGCTCACGCCTGTAATCCCAGCACTTTGGGAGGCCAAGGCGGGTGGATCACCTGAGGTCAGGAGTTCGAGACCAGCCTGGCCAACATGGGGAAACCCCATCTCTACTAAAAATACAAAACTTAGCTGGGCATGATAGTGCGTGCCTGTAATCCCAGCTACTCCGGAAGCTGAGGCAGAATTGCTTGAACCTGGGAGGTGGAGGTTGCAGTGAGCCGGGATCATGCCATTGCACTCTAGCTTGGGCAACAGAGTGAGACTCTGTCTCAAAAAAAAAAAAAAAAAAAAATGATGGCAGTTGGTGATACCTAGAGTGCTTGCCTTGTAGTCTTACACTCCTTGAGGATTCATGGCGACAGCTCAGGGAAGGGACAGACTTCTCTACACCCACAACACAGGGAAGAGGAAGCCACCAGGACTCTGCTCCATCAACTCACACAGGGCCCTGGGCCAGTCTGTGACAGCCTTAGGGGCAGGTGGGCACTGTGGAGGAGGTGAGAGTTTGGGCAGTAGGTCCACACCTGGAACTTTGATGTAACTTCCTGAGAGGTCCCTTAGTGACTCTGACCACATCCAGGGTTTGGGGAACAGTGTCATGTCCTGGGTGGTCTCTCCCTATCAATTGGTCCCAAAAATTTCATTACCTGGTGGTCTTCACACTACGGAAATCCTTTCAAGGTGTCATGATATTTGCCCTACCCCAGAATAGATTGGGGGCAGCGCCCAATATACCTCACACAGATGTTGACCAGTAAACGGGCTCCTGTTCCAGCTAGAATCCTCTTGGACCCACTGAGTTTGCTTCAGGAGTCAGTGAGGGTGTCAGCGTCAGGGAATGCACCTTGTGTATCCACATGTCAGTGTTAGTGTATGTTTAGCCATGAACATCAGCATGCATTGGCATAAGTATACCGCTTAGAATCAATGTCCCTTGGGCCCAAGTGTGTCCAGGTGACATTTTGAATATTCATGTGTTGGAGTGGGCACCTCAATGTTTGTATCTGTGGGTCTTATATGAGTCTCTGGAAGTAATTGGGCACAAGTTTGATGGTCTCACTGTGTATGTTTCTGCTGTTTTAATGGTGTGTGTGTGGCTGTCATCTCAGATGTAAATGCATGTGTCCCCATGTGTGTTTTATTGCTATGTTAGAATATTACAATATATGCCTGGGAGTGAGTCGGCAGGTTGTTGTTGTCATGTGGTGGGTGGTGCAATTCCCTCTGCCGGGACTTCAAGACCATTAAGAACAGCAAGAACGAAACAATCAGATTACTGCCCAGTGCCACAACAGGTCACCCACCATGGGGGCTGGGGATTGCTGACCTCTCAGAGGACCAAGTTCTATTAGGAGTCTTGCTTCCAGGAGCAGTCAGCTCTTTTTGGCCACTCCCATTTCACAGAAGGAGGCATTGAGGACAAATGGCCAGCAAGGTCATGCTGAGTCCGGGGAGGGGAAAGGGGGTAAAAGCCTCTGGAGGCAGACAGAGGAACAGAGAGAAGGTGAAGGCACCAGACCTTGTCCGCCCCTTCCCACCCATGACAGAGAGCACCTGGGGCCACAGCTGCTCTGCTGCCTTCCCCCACCCTGCCTGCCTCTCCCTCCACCAACTCCCAGCCCACCCCCAGCCTCCTCCCCTCCCTCAGTCCCAGTCCTAGCCTCCCTCCTCCATTCCCTCCCCACTTTCTCCCTCGCTCTCTCTCTCTCTCTCCAACGGGCACATGTCAGAGAACATTATGTGCACCGCGAATTTGCATAATTCAAGAAGCATCAAATTAAATTTGCATAATTCCTTTGATTACACTTGTTATTAAATGTAAGTGACATTGATTTACAAAATGGCCCAATATAAGGTTAATAGCAAATGTCACCTTCCAACAGGGTGAGTGTGTGTGTGAGTGTGTGCGGCAGGGGCAGGGGATTGCGGGAGGATGGACCTGAGTTCTCGCATTTCTTTTCCGCCAGGCTCAGCGCCTCCCTGCCTACCCTTCTTGTCCTTCTCAGTGGCTCCAGGCCCTCGGTCTCTCCTCCCCAGGTTCTGAGTCCTAACATAAGGGGAACAACTGAGGGTACAGTCCCTTCTTTCTTCCCCTTTCTTCCAGGGCTGGATCCAGTGAGCTCAGGTTGCAGAGTCAAAGTGAAAGGTTCTGAGTTGTGGGGTTACAGCGATTAGGGATCATAAGCTATGAAGTATGCGGGTGCTTCGGAATTTGCCCGGAAGAAAAATATCTTTGGGTAAGTCACTGAATGGATATGGTGTTCTCACTCAGCTTCTGATGTGAGTGAGAACAGGAGACTCGGCAGGGGCTGGGCAGCAGAACATGTGTGGACTGAGTTCACCAGGCTCCAGGCACAGGCAGTGAGGACCTACTGAGGGTAGTGTGAACACACCCACTGAGCAACAAAGAGACCCAAGTGCAAGGCCACGAGGACTCAGGAGCCCAGCAGGGAGGCTCCTAGTGAGCTAAGACTGGGAGTAGGGGTCAGGGGATCCACAGCTTGGTGTCTGAGTCACCATGCCTTTGAAGCCCAGAGAAGGAGAGGGATGGAAATGACATCCACCTGCCCCACAGAGAGACAACAGGCTCCGCAAGATGTCAGCAAGGGCGCTCAGGACCCAGAGGAGGAAATAGAGCTACCGTGACAACTGTGAAGTGCAAGGACACAGAAGTACACATAGCAGGACAAAGACCCACTCCCACTGCCAACACACAACACCTGCACATGCACACTCACCCCTGCAGACACACATACCCCAGCATGGGTCCATGTATGTGTGTACACATGGTTGTGGGCGTTACGGCCACGTGAACACGGAGGGACATAAGGACCCAAGTATACTTGTGGACCATATTACACATTCAGACACATGGATGGCTGGTCACTAAAGCATGTGAAAGTGGAAACTCACAGACACAGAAACACACATAGACCACCTTTGAGTCCACGACAGAGAACTTGGACCAGAATGCTCTCTGCCTTAAGAAGGGACTCCCCTCCCCAGGGGGTCTTCCCATTGCCTCCCAGACCCTGGAGGAGTTGGAGTAGAGAGGATTGTGGGAGAAGTGTTTGGAGGGGGCTGATTCTGTCTCTGGGCCACCACCTTTGTGGGAGCAACTGAAGAATCTCAGTGTCCCTGCAGAGCCTCCTCTGGAGCTTCCCTCCCCCTACACCCCTTGCTGAAGGATCCCTTCCCTCATCCTTAATCTGCCACTGTGTGTGTGTGTGTGTGTGTGTGTGTGTGTGTGTGTGTGTGTGTGTGTGTGTGTGTTGGGGCGGGGGCAGTGCCTCGCCATTCATCCTATCCCTGGCTGAGAATATCGACAAGGCGGTAACTAATCATTAAACCCACTGGCCCCTTTAAACAAGGAAGGAGAATTATGAGCAGGACTGTGGGGCACAGGGACCCCCTCATAGGCCCTCTGAGTGGGAGGTGGGATCAGGACTGAGCTCTGAACACACTTGAGCGCCAAACTCAACAATCATTGCCTCAAGCAGAGGAGAACTGGGGAGCTCAAACCTGGGAGTAGGATGTGGAACAGCATCTGTACTCAAACCCACAGATACACGCTGAATCCAGGTGCAACATTCACACACGGACACACATATACAAGGACCTACAGATGCATATACCTTGTGGACACCCACAAATAAATGCATAATGCACAGGACAGACACAGGTTACATTCTCCTCCCATGAAGCCTCCACCTTCCACTAGCACACACACAGATTCACAGATTCTTTTTTTTTTTTTTTTTTTTGAGACAGGGTTTTGAGACAGGGTCTTGCTATGTTGCCCAGGCTGGAAAGCAGTGGTACAGTCTTGGCTCACTGCAACCTTCACCTGCTAGGCTCAAGCGATCCTCCTACCTCAGCCTCCCGAGTAGCTGGGACTACAGGCACCCGCCACCACGCCCAGCTAATGTTTATATTTTTTGTAGAGATGGAATTTCGCCATGTTGCCCAGGCTGGTCTTGAACTTCTGGCCTCAAGTGATCCAGTCTCGGCCTCCCAAAGTGCTGGGATTACAGGCGTGAGCCAGTGCGCCCAGCCAGATTCATATATTCTTGCAGTGTAATAATCATAATGGTCAAGATTGACAGTCCTAGGGTGACACGAATCTGCGTTCAAATCCTAATTCTACCATTTCCCAGCTGAGAGGCCTTTAGATACTTACTAAATCATTCAGAACTCCTATTTCCTTATCTGTTAAGTGGGGATAATAATAGTGCCTACCCTGGGGAGCTGTTGGGAGTATTAAATGAGATAATAAATGCAAAGTGCCTGGCATATAGTAAGTGGCAGGTGCTTAACATTTATCATCTCGGTCAGGCGCAGTAGCTCACGCCTGTAATCCCAGCACTTTGGGAGGCCAAGGCAGATCACTTGAGTTCAGGGGTTCGAGACCAGCCTGGCCAACATGGCAAAACCCTGTCTCTACTAAAAATACAGAAATTAGCCGGGCATAGGTGGCGCATGCCTGTAATCCCAGCTACCCGGGAGGCTGAGGCAGGAGAATCACTTGAACCCAGGAGGTGGAGGTTGCAGTGAGCTGAGATTGCACCACTGCACTCCAGCCTGGGCAACAGAGTGAGACTCCATCTCAAAACAACAACAATAACAACAACATTTATCATCTCATAAGTGATCTTAGCTGCTCCTGGTGATGTTGCTATTTCCAATCCTGAGTATTTACTGAGTACCTTCTACGTCCCAGGCACTAGTGCAGGCCCTGGGGACACAGTGATAACCCAGACTGACAGTCACGGGGGCTCCAGGGGACTAAAGGACTGAGGAGAAGGCCTCATGCCCCTCACCCACCCCCACTGCAGGGCAGGTGCAACAGACCTGGGAGGTCTGCGGAGGGCTGGGCTGGGCTGGGCATTGTTTTGTCATCTGCCTGGGCCATTGCTGCTTTCCACTCTCCACCCTCAAAGAAGATTCGCCTGGCACTAAAAACTACTCCCCCTTTCTCTGAGCTGTCTCTTCCACCCCCATGTTATTCATTTCCTGACTTGCAAACTCTGAGTTCTGACATGCATACCACCCCCATCCCACCACCGTGTTTTTGTTTTGGTTTTTACTCTTGATTGTCACAGATTTCCCAGGTCCACGAAGGAGGACAGAGTGGAGAGCGCGTGCACACACAGAAAGCACATATTCCTGTCCTTGGGTTCTTTGCCCAGAGTAGCCTCCCCTCACATCCCCCTGCCCTAACCAGGTGGGGCCACTGCTGCCGGTCTCCTAATTAGCAAATCCACAGGCTCCTCTTGGTATTTCTTCTCTTCGACCTCTGCGGCATTTGGCAGCAGCTCCACCCCTCCTCCTTGAAACTGTCTCCTTTCTTGATTTCCATGACATTGCACCTCCCTGCTTCCCCTCCTCCATCTCTGAAGTTCCTGATCTGGCCTTCCACAGCCCTCTGCTTTCTCCCAACCCCTAAATTTAACTCTGCCTAACCAT
Organism: Homo sapiens; assembly: GCF_000001405.40. NCBI lineage: Eukaryota > Metazoa > Chordata > Mammalia > Primates > Hominidae > Homo > Homo sapiens. The sequence goes on along the minus strand of NC_000010.11, from coordinate 100,642,307 downwards.
TCTTCCCTCAAACCTCTTCCCTCCCCTCTCTGCCCTTTCACAAGCACTGTCAAACCCAACTTGACCCATCATCTCTCTGGAAATAAATACCCAGTTGAGATTTCTAACCCCCAACTCTATCTCCCAAATGACAAGCCTAAATTTCCACCTGCCTGTTTCAGCTGGTACATCAATTTCCCCATGTGCAAGACTGAACACGTTCATTTCTTTGGCAAACATTTCTCCAGCACATATTATGTCCAGACACTGTGCCAGGCACTGAGGATACCAAGTGAAGGATGCAGTCCCTGCCCTCAGAGAGCTTAGAGTCTATGAGGCTCCCCTCCCCTCACCTTCCTCCTCATTCCTTCCTCCTTTCATCTTTCCAATTATAGAGCCTCTGAATCATCTACTTGTTTTGCCCCCAAAGCCCATGTCCTTGACACGTGTTATGGTTTCCTCACTTCCTCCTCATCCAATCAACTGTCAGGTCCTGGAATATCTTTGTCCTCATTGCCACTGGCCCAAATCAGGTCCTCTCATTTCTTACCTACTGAGTGGTTTCCTCGACACCTATCTCTAGGGTGTGGCTTGCTCCATGACCCCTACTAAATCTACCTGTCCAAACACAGCTCTGATGATGGGTTGAATTGTGTACTCCCGCTCCCAATTTGTTGAAGACCTAACCTCTGGTACCTGTGAACATCACTTTTCTGGAAACAGGGGCTTTGAAGATGTAATTCTGATGCAGGCTAAGATGAGGTCCTACTGACATAGGGTGGGCTCTTAATCCAATATGACTGGTGTCCTTATAAGGACACTGGTGTCATGCAAAGGCACAGACACACAGACACAGAGAGAAGACAGCCATGTGAGGACAGAGGCAGAGATGGGAGTGATGCTGCCACAAGTGTAGGAATGTCTGGGGCTACTAGAAGCCGGAAGAGACAAGGAAGGGTCCTCCCCTAAAGACTGAGGGAGCATGGTCCTCTGATAATTTGATTTTTTTCTTTTCCTTTAAGATGGAGCCTCACTCTGTCACCCAGGCTGGAGTGCAATGGCATGAACTCAGCTCACTGCAGCCTCCATTTCCCAGGTTCAAGCGATTCTCCTGTCTCAGCCTCCTGAGTAGCTGGGATTACAGGCATGTGCCACCATGTCTGGCTAATTTTTTGTATTTTTAGTAGAGATGGGTTTCACCATATTTCCCAGCCTGGTCTCAAATTCCTGGCCTCACCTGATCCACCCGCCTCAGACTTGCAAAGTGCTGGGATTACAGGTGTGGGCCACTGCACCTGGCCCATACCTTGATTTTTGACGTTGAACCTCCAGAACTGTAAGAGGATAATTTTCTGTTGTTTTAAGGCACTTGGTTTGTGGCTGTTTGTTACGGTGGCCCCAGGAAACTAATACAATGACACAGCCAAACTTGGAAATCTTCAGTGGCTCCCAGTGTGTATTAATATTGGGATAACAGTTATCTCTTCAAAGCATTATTCTCATATATGATTTAATTCCATTTTTACCATAATCCTAAGAAGTAGCCATTTTTATTATTTCATCCTATCTTTTTTTTTTTTTTTTTTTTTTTTGAGATGGAGTCTTGCTCCGTCTCCCAGGCTGGAGTGCAGTGGTATGATTTTGGCTCACTGCAACCTCCGCTTCCTGGGTGCAAGCTATTCTCCTGCCTCAGCCACCCGAGTAGCTGAGACTACAGGAGCCTGCCACCCCACCCAGCTAATTTTTGTATTTTTAGTAGCGACGGCTTTTCGCCATGTTGGCCAGGCTGGTCTCGATCTCTTCACCTCGTGATCCTCCTGCCTCGGCCTCCCAAAGCGCTGGGATTGCAGGCGTGAGCCACCTCGCCCAGCCAGCTATTTCATCCTATCTTACAAATGAGGAAACTAGATACAGAGAGCCTAAATAAGTTGCCAGGATCATACACTTTGGGCTGAGGTCCCAAACTCTGTACCTTTAACCTGTAGGCAATTTTGTCTCCAGTCAAGGCTGGCCACAAACTTATCATTCTGGCTCTGTTGCCAGTTCCTTTTCTGCCCATAGTCTAAGCTTTGGCCAAACTGGTCTATTTGCTGTTTTTTCAAGGAGCAGGCCAAATGTCACCTCCCTAATGATCATCTAATGAGAAGGGACCCTCTTCTGTGATCCCTTTCCCACTACATGTCACCCTTGCCAGACCCATCTCTAACTGCCCCACACAGCTTAGTGTAGCACCAGGCATGCGTCTTCTAGAAAGGTGTTTCACACTGACTCACTGCTCTTTTGCTTGAGGAAGCTGATGTTCCATGTGTCAAGGGCGTGGGCTTTGGACAGACCCACTTTGGATCCAGGCTCTAGGGCTAACTAGTTGGTGGCCAGAGTCTCAGTTTACTGGCCTGTAATATGGGGATGATAACAATTCCTACCTCACAGACTTGTGAAGAAAAGAACTGACATGTTGTAGTAGATGTCCAGTATTGTTGGCCAAACTCCCCTGGGAATGGTGATCTCTCCTTTTGGAAGCCATTATGTGGTCTCAGAGAGTCTCCTAATCCTACCCCACCCCTAGCTACCTGAACACCTGACCTGTGGGGACCAATCTGGGTCCTTCTCTGGGATCCCTCATAAAGGAACTGAGGGGAGAGTTGAACCTTCTCTGGTGATGGCAGCTGCAGGTAAAACCCCAGAGAGAGCATCCTGGTGTCCATCTGGGTCCTGCTCTGAATGTTCCAGAAGCTCAATGCCTTCTCCGCTCTTCCCACTCCTTGATTATTTGTACGTACACTTGATTACCTGAGATGTTCCCATTTCTTCCAGTAGAAACCCCTCTTTGCCTAAACTAATTCAAATTGGGTTGCCATGGCTTGCAACCAAATGAGTCCTGACAGATACAATGTATAAGGAAGGGGCTAGCACATAGTAGGGGCCCAATAATTGTTCGTTCCCTCCCCTAGGGAAGAAACAATGGGATCTCTAGTCCCAGAGAGAGTGTCCTTTGGGGCTGTCCCAGAGAGGAGCAGGACCTCTGCTCAGTTCTCACCTCCAGAAGATGAGTGGACAGCCTGGTGAGAGCCTGAGGCTCAAAAGGCTGAAGGCCTTCAATCACCGTGAAATTACAAACTTTTCATCTGGCGGGGTGCGGTGACTCATGCCTGTAATCTCAGCACTTTGGGAGGCTGAAGTGGGCAGATCACTTGAGGTCAGGAGTTCGAGCCTGGCCAACATGGCAAAACAACATCTCTACTAAAAATACAAAAATTAGGTGGGCATGGCGGCACATGCCTGTAGTCCCAGCTGCTGGGGAGGCTGAGGCACAAGAATGGCTTGAGCCCTTGAGACGGAGGTTGCAGTGAGCTGAAATCACACCACTGCACTCCAGCCTGGTGACAGAGCAAGACTCCATCTCAAATAAGGTTAATAATAATAAAATAAAATAAACATTTTATCCGTAGCTTTTGATCACTAGCAAAAATAATTTATGAGCAATAGCAAACAAGCTGACCTAAATTTTAAAGACAGAGAAAAACGTATAAAACTAAAAATGGGGTTTGGCATGAATAGGTAAAGACAGAAGATTTTAAAAATTGTCAGGAGGTGATCACCTTGGGTAGAAATGGAATCATGATAGATGATTTAAAACCTGGGATCACTAGGCAGATGTCTCCCAGTTGGGTCACAGGCAGGGAGGCTGTGTGAACCTCTGCGTCATCCTAGCCGCCCCTCCGCAGTGCTCTGCTCCAAGGAAAGCCTGGCACTGACTGGAGAGTGAAGCCGCCTTTGTGTGGTGACAGATCCACCATGGTCTTACGTTAGAAAGCAGCCTTTGCTTGAAGGCAGGTATTAAAAGTAATTGCCTCTGAAAAAGGGAGTTGGTGAGGTTGCGACGATGGGGTAATTTTCACATTTTACGCTGCATACTTCTCTGTATTGTTGTAATCTTTTACTTTGAGCATATATTACGGTGTAATTTTAAAAGATTTAGAAAAAGCAGAAAGTGATCTTACTGTGGGTGCACGCATGAGTGCTGTTGGGGTGCACGCGTGGCTCCGTGTCGTCCTGCCAAAGTCCTTCGTGGGGACCTTGGTGAGCTGAGCTCACCCTCCTTCTGCTCCTTTCCCAGCCGCAGCTCAGCGGGCCCATCTTCCTGGATACAAACGACCCGGTGTTTAGCTGCGAGGACTGCCTGCTGCAGCAGAGGCCCCCGGACCAAGGGGGGCGGGGAGGCTCCGTCTGCTTCCCATATGGGGACATTGTCTGTCCCTGCCTGAGGGCCACCTCCCTCCTGCCTCACATTGTCCCCTTGCTGTCTCCTGCTGGCCCAAGCCTTGGCCTGCATCTTCCCTTTTCATTAGCCTCCTAGTGGTAGCCCCGGGCAGGACACAGGGGGGTGGCTGCTCACTCTTCTCCAGCCCTGAGCCCCTGGCCAGCTCACCCTGGACTCTTCCCAGCCTGGAGTCTCAGCCTCACGTGTACACACAGGATGCACATGGAGGAAGCCCCACTCTGGGCAGGGCCTCTGGTCACACGGGTGCCTCTGCTGGGCCTGGCTCAGGCCCCAGGGGAAAAGTGGGGAGAAGGCCACAGTCGTCTCCCATTCTCCTTGCAAAACCCCCCTACTTTATTAATCTGGGCCTGGTGGGAATGAGGCTGGGGTTCCCCACAGTCATTCAGGGCTGGAGGCTGCCACTCTGGAGGCGAATCCAGAGAGCATGGGGATAGGAGGAGGCCACCCCCAGTTCTGGCAATGCTCTGACCCTGCAGGGGAGGGTCTTTGGGGTTTGTCTTGAGAGATAAATTTCTACAAAGCCTCTTTTCAGATATTCAAGGACAGACCACCTAATAGGGTACAGTGTCTAGGAGAAATCAAAAGACACTCAAATGACTCAGCTCAGCTCTCGTCTCCCCCACTTCCCCCACCTAGAACATCACTTCAGCAGCCAGAGCTTCTCTTATCAGACGGTGCACTTCCCACTTCCTCAGGGCTCTCTCCTCTACCCGATGCTCAAGGCCCAGGCCAAGCCTCCCCTATTCCAGAAGCTTCCCTCTAGTCCACCCTGTCCTCCTGAACTGCTCCAGCACTTCTTGCTGAAACAGGGCCCAAGAATCTGCATTTCTAACAGGTTCCCACATGATGCTGATGCGACAGGTCCAGGACCATGCTTTGAGAACTACGGGTTTGGACCATTTCCTGGGGGTGGGGAATCTTCTGGGGGCAGGGGCAGGTGGAAGAGGTGAAGGAGGGCTGGGGAGCCCTGATAACAAAGGCAGAGAAAACCTAATCCACATACCCAGCTACACATACACTCAGCATATCTGATGCTTAGTGAAAAGAACATGGTAGTTAAAGTCAAGAGGCCTGGCTTATCTACCACTCACTGGCTCCCCAGCTGCCGGGTTTTATACAGATCATTGATCTCTTTTAGCCTCAGCTTCCTCATCTATAAGTGGGGATAATATTAATCCTGACCCAAAGGCTACTGAAAAGATCTAACAGGATAATACTTTAAGAGTGTTATGTAAACTCCAGGAGCTTGACAGGTATTTGTTTACAAGGTGTGGGATTTATTTGTATTTCTCAAACATACAGTGTTTAGAATCTGTCACACAGTGTTTTTAAGTGTTTTGTAAATATTTAATGAATTTAACCCTCACAAGAATCCTACGAAGGAGGAGCTATTTTTATTCTTCCCATTTGATAGACGGGAACACTGCGGTTAAGTAACTTGCTGGAAATCGCACAGCTGGCAAATGGCACAGCTTGGTGTTGACCTCAGTTGCCACAGACTGTGCACCTAGCCACCACTCTGTGCTGCCCAGCTACATGTCGGCTTATATGTTCATCAGTATGTGCGTGTTTGCAAATGTGTGCACGTTATCTAAGTTTCTAAGAGGTTCCTGTGTGTATAAGTGCTTACAAAAATGTGTGCAAAGTATGTATAATCTAATGGCAATAGCAATAGAAATCAGTTATTGAACACTTACTCTATGCCAGGTGCTGTGCTAACCATGACTACCATTGACTCCTCACAGCCCTACATGGTAGATTATATTATTATTTTCATTTTCCTGTTGAAAGATGCTGAGCAAGGTTAACTAAATATCCAAGGCCACACCTCCAGAGATGAGTGGAGCAGCGAGGTTTAACTGGATGCTAGCAGAGCCTTATGCTTAACTCCTAGGCTGCACTGAATGTGTCTGTCTGTTCAGCGGGGGATATTGTATGTAGGGGTACGTTTGCATGTATCTCTCTGTCTCTCTGTCCATTTGTCCATCCATCCATTCATCCAACCATCCATTTACCCAACCTTACATATCTGTCATTGGCAGCTGGGGCCGTTGCCCTAGGTCAAGTTCTTACTGAAGAAGAAGTAAGAGAGGGAGCTGCAGCCCCTTTCAGCTGGCTCAAACTTCTGGGATGTGTTCCCTTGAGTCCAGAGTGCCTGTAAGGGACACAGCCTTGCCCAGGTGTGCAGGGGGAGACATCTCACACAAAAGAGTGGATGCATTCTTTTTCTCACTCTTACCACACTAGACCAGTGGGCAGGGACAAGGTGGGCACAGAGGGACCTTGCCACTCCTCAGAAGGCAAATTGGGGCTGACCCTACATCTATCCGTGTTGGGCACTTACCCAGTAGGCCAGAATCTGTACACTGGAATCCAGTGATTTCCTAAGACCAGGCGGGGTGGCTCACGCCTGTAATCCCAGCACTTTGGGAGGCCAAGGTGGGCGGATCACGAGGTCAGGAGATGGAGACCATCCTGGCTAACACGGTGAAACCCTGTCTCTACTCAAAATACAAAATAATTAGCCGGGCGTAGTGGTGGGCACCTGTAGTCCCAGCTACTCAAGAGGCTGAGGCAGGAGGATGGCTTGAACCCGGGAGGTGGAGCTTGCAGTGAGCTGGATCACGCCACTGCACTCCAGCCTGGGTGACAGAGCGAGACTCCGTCTCATTAAAAAAATAAAAAGGTGATTTCCTTTATGTTTCTCCTTAGATTTTTTTTTTTATTACTCTGTCACCTAGACTGGAGTGCAATGGTGCGATCTTGGCTCTCTGCAACCTCCACCTCCTGGGTTCAAGCAATTCTCTTGCCTCAGCCTCCTGAGTAGCCGGGATTACAGGTGCACACCACCACCCCCAGCTAATTTTTGTATTTTTAGTAGAGACGGGATTTCACCATGTTGGCCAGGCTGGCCTCGAACACCTGACCTCAAGTGATTCACCCACCTCAGCCTCCCAAAGTGCTGGGATTATAGGTATGAGCCACTGCACCCGGCTTCTTAGCATTTATTAACTGTGGGTTTTTTTGGTCGGGGGTTGCTAAATCTGGTTTCAAACAGAGAGAAAGCTGAATAACTGAGCTGAGTTAATGTTTCAAGGGAGGTAAGACTAGTAGGCAAAAGAATGAAAAGATTTGGGAGATAAGAGGGCACAGACCAGTGTGACTAATAAGTTTCTTTTTGGAGTGGGGGCCAAGTTACCTGGATATGATGGGGTAAATATTATTTTCTATCTCGAAGAAAAATGTGTGATGTTTATACTGTCTCAGAACAAATAGGCCTGTGACTGATGGATAGTTTACCATTTATGTAGCTGGTTTCATGTACTTTTGACAGCTCAATCAGGATTCCAACAGTTATAAAAAATGATTTTCTTCTAGGAAGTTACAGGAGGGGAGCACGTGCCCTCGCCCCCGCCCCGTGCCCACCGGGCACTGTGCATCTGAGTGAGGAAAATACATGGATGTACAGAGCAGTACGGGGAGAGGGAAGAGGTCGCCCGGTGTCCCCAGAGTTTCCCAGGTTGGACATAGGGTGCCTCATTTCCCCAGGGCTGCCTGGGGACTATTTGGCTGGACTGAGGCCTGGAGGCCATTTGGGAAGGTCATTGAGTCCTTACTGTTCCTGGGACTGGCCATGAGGAAGAAACTCCCATCAGGAACCCAGGAGCCCAAGAGAGTCGGACCCGGATGGAGACTGGCCTTGAGACCACATGGCTGCTTTGGGCCTGAGTGCGCTCCTCCATCTGGGATCCAGCCTGTGTCTAAGCCACTATCCCCGCTAAGGACAAGGTGAAGGGCTGTGGCCATCCTGGCCCTCAGGTGGAGGCAGGAAAAATGACAGCAGCCAGAGCAGGAGGGTGGAAGGTAGGAGGTAGTATTTTGCCACTGTGCCCGTGCCCAGGGGCATTTTGGGTGTGGGTTTGCCTGCTTTAAAGATGTTTCAGTGCAGAAAAACTCAGATTTGTACCAAAGATCAGTTAGCAGCTGATGGGGTGGTAAAGTGGAAAGACAGAAAGTTCTCAGCTGGGTTTGGAGATTTTGCCCATTCTGGGGCAGGTGACTGGCCTGAGAGGCACCCAGAGCTGCCACAGACCTGCTATCAGAGATGTCTTCAAGCCTCTGGCTTATGACTTTGAGAGGATCAGTGAGACCTTCAAGGTCACTTTCAAGAAAGACACCTCAAGGTGTAACTGGCTTTGTCGCATGGACATAGGAGCCCTCCTTAAGGGCAAGGCTGTAAGGCTGTTCACATACTTTTTTTTTTTTTTTTTTTTTAGCATTACTCACAACCTAAGCAAGTTCTGGAGTCAGGCTACCTGGGTTCAAATCCACTCTCCTCCACTTACTGGCTCTGCGATCTTAAGAAAGTCATTTAACCTCTCTGGGCCCCAATTTCTTCATTTGCAAAATGGGTATATATTGAAACAATTTCATAGTATTGCTGTCAAGATTGAATAAAATAACATACTATATTTAGCACAGTGTTTGGCACATTGCAAACACTCACTAAATGATAATTATTTCTCCTCCTCCCTCTTTTTCATAATTATCATTCTGTTACTCAGCCTACATGATAGGCATAACAACATGTATTTATTTTAAAATGTATACCAAAGTAGTTATGTATATTAAATGTATACTAAAGTAGTTATTGAGTATACAGCATTAGATGATAAGTACAATATTAACTAGCATTTATTAGGCACCTACTCTATGCTAAAACTACATTAAAATATTCAAATACATTATATCATTCATGAAGGTCCTTGCCTTCATGAAGCTAACAGTTTAGTGTTTTTTTTTTTTAGAGATGGGGTCTCACTCTGTTGCCCAGGCTGGAGTGCAGTGGTGTGATCATAGCTCACTACAGCCTCAAACTCCTGGGCTCGAGCAATCCTCCCGCCTCAGCCTCAGCTTCCCAAGTATCTTTGACTGCAGATGTGCACTGTCTCACCTGGCTAATTTATTTCAATTTTAATTTTTAGAGATGAGGTCTTGAACTCCTGGGTTCAAGTGATCCTCCTGCCTTAACCTCCCAAATAGCTGGGATTATAATCGTGAGCCACTGTGGCCAGCCATAAATTTAACAGTTTAAAAGGAGCTTTCTGGGCGGGTGCAGTGGCTCACACCTGTAATCCCAGCACTTTGGGAAGCCAAGGTAGGAGGATCACCTGAGGTCAGGAGTTTGAGACAAGCCTGGTCAACATGGTGAAACCCTGCCTCTATTGAAAATTTAAAAAAAAATTAGCTGGGTGTGGTGGTGAGTGCCTGTAATCCCAACTACTCAGGAGGCTGAGGCAGGAGGATCACTTGAACCCTGGAGGTGGAGGTTGCAGTGAGCCAAGATTGCGCCACTGCACTCCAGCCTGGGTGACAGAGCGAGACTCCATCTCAAAAAAAAAAAAAAAAAAGAGCTTTACATATATTATCCAATGTTGTCCTCACAGGAATCCCATGAGGAAGATATTGTTGTCCCCATTCTACAGAGAGAGAAATTGAGACAGGGAGGTCAGATAAGACATGTGGGACTTAGATTCAAACACCCAGCTCTATGGCTCGAAGCCCATGCTCCTTCTGCTGTGCCATGCTGCTGCCTCACCTCCACATTGCTAAATATGCACAAATTAATTGTCATGTCTATAGAAGTTGGGTCTGTAGAAGGGTGTGTGGTCCTGTGTGTCTGGACACATTTCTATGACTGAATGTCTTATGTTAGTAGGTGTGGGTGATTTGTGTAATTATATTTCTGAATCTTATGCCCGAGGGAGACTGTTTATGTGACTTTGTAGAATTGTGTGGGTAAGTGCAAATGTGATTTGATTATGGGTTGGTGTAGCTGTGTGTGTGGGTGTGCTGTGTGTCTGTTCAGATGGCTGTGTGGCTATGGATGGCTCAGGTTAGTGGAGGGTGGCACTGGCCCATGGGACTCTTTTGACTTCCCTTTTAAAGGAGGGGAGAGAGGTGCTGGGAGGTGGGAGGGTGTGGTCTGCTACAGGGGCCCTTGCTGGAGGGGGCATTGGCCGGGCCTGGGCCTGGCCCTTGGCGACTGGCTACACTACCTAGCGCTGGGTTTCAGGCAGAGAGATGTAGAAGCTCATTTCCCCTTAAACACGGTAGATTAAGGGCCCGCAGCGGGCACGGGCGGGAGGGCGCCGTGTCGCTCATGTTACAAATCAATTCATTACCGGCACTCGCAGTTGCCTCCGATCTTCAAGGATCGGGGGGTTTGATGAAGAGGATTCATTTCAAGAAATAAACCTTTTAAATTAACCACGAGATGAGGGAAATTTCTTTATTTAAAAAATGCTCAGGCCCTGCCGGCTTTGTTTTCTCTCTTATTAGCATTGTTATTAATAACCCCACCCTCTCTCTCTAAGGGATAGTCCACCCTGCCCTGGGAGACAGAGTGAGCCGCTAGGGTGGGGGACAGGCTTCCTGCCTGGTCACCTTGGCAGGGTTCTGTCTACTTCACCAAGGTCTCTGAGGTCCAACAGTGGGACCCCAACCAGGCTCTGTGCCCCAGATAGACTCTCAGGCAGGTGGCCAGGAACCTGCCATGTGACCTTTGGTAAGTCACTTGACCCCTCTTTCCTCAACAGCTAAGTGACCATAGAATCATCACTTTCTACAGCTGGACCTTAAAGTTAGGAGTTTAGCTCTTGTTTGTTATCAGTGAGCAAACAGGTTCAGAGAAGGGTGGTGGCTGACCCAAGGTCACACAGACGCTTCTTAGCAGAGATGCATTCGATACCAGCCTAATTCCTGGTATAGTTTCTACCTGGAAACAAGCATCTGGACTCCTGATGTGTAAATTACAAAGCACCTTGAAATAATTTGTCTCACTGGAAGTGTACCAATAACTTGTCAGGCGTATATTACCATCCCTGTTTTACAGATGAGGAAATTGAGGTGCCTTTATGTCAGGAAGCATGTTCTATCCTATTGGGTCATCTGACGAGAGTTTAATAAAACAACTATTTACAAAGGTATGGGCAAGGATTAGGAAAAGTATAAGTGATGATACAGTATCTCGGGGCTAGTAATGGTGGGAAGCCATGGCCAAACCAGGGCTAAAATGGACAAACATGAATGGAGAAGTTACCAGAACCAGCAGAGAGCTCTGTATGGAGAGTTCTAGAGAGCTGTGGCCTTCATTGGGGAAATCCAGCTAATCTGCAACCACCTGGAAGGGAAGGAGCTAAAGAAGCTCCCTTCCTGTGAACTCCTTTTGGTCAATCCCAAGGGAGCTAGCTGATGCGGACCATGCAGGCCAGCATCCCAGGGCCACAGGAGGGTGGAAAAGGGTGGGGACAGATCTGGAAAGGCAGACCACCAGCCAGGGGCAATGTGTCCTGCCAGTCAATGGCAGAGAAAGGATGTGCCCTCAGGACCCCTGATTCTAAGGGTCTCCTAAATCCAACCCATAGTCTTTTATGCCACCCTGCTCTGCCCAGTGATATCTGGTCAAATGAAATGCTAGGTCTGGAGGTGTAACTTAGGGTGGGCAGTGGCTGTCCCTCTCTGTGGCAAACAACCATCTAGTTCCAGGAGGAACTAGAACCAAATACTGGCATCCAGCGATGACAGGTGACAACATCTCCTTCTCAGGGGGTATGTCTACATCAGAGCAGAGACTTTGGGAAACCCAAGGCTTTCACCCAGTGGACCATAGGATCCCTTCTACGGACACACTCTGCAGACAAAATCTGCCCTAAAAGAGTCTGTAGCTCACAGAGCAAGTATAGGGATCAGGTAGCGCGGATGCCACCCCTCCACCCGCCGCCAGACACACACACACACAGGGAGGCTGCCTTAGTCCATCCAAGCTGCTATCACAAAATCGCTGAGACTGGGTTATTTACTTATTTATTTATTTATTTAATTTATTATTATTGCTCTTTTTTGAGACAGAGTGTCTCTCTGTCACCCAGGCTGGAGTGCAGTAGTGCAATCTCAGCTCACTGCAACCTCCGCGATTCTCCTGCCTCAGCCTCCTGAGTAGCTGAGATTACAGGCGCCCGCCGCCAAGCCCAGCTAATTTTTTTATTTTTAGTAGAGACGGGGTTTCACCATGTTGGCCAGGCTGGTCTCGAACTCCTGGCCTCCAGTGACCCACCCACCTTGGCCTCCCAAAGTGCTGGGATTACAGGCATGAGCCATCACGCCTGGACCCAAGACTGGGTAATTTATAAACAACAGAGATATATTGCTCTTCGTTCTGGAGGCTGGGGAGTTCAAGATCAAGGCGCCGGCAGAGTGAAAGTCTGGTAAAGGCCTGCTCTCTCCCGCTCTCTCCCGCTCTCTCTCTCCCGCTCTCTCCCGCTCTCTCTCGCTCTTTCCTTCCTGTGCTTCTTGCTGCGTCCTCACTTGGCGGAAGAGGAAAAGAGACAAACAGCTCCCTCATGTCCTTTCATAAGTGCATGAGTTCATGAGGGGAGAGCCTTAGTGATCTAATCACTTCCCAAATGCCTCGCTTCTTTTTTTATTTTTATTACTATTATTTTTTGAGATGGAGTCTCGCTCTGTCACCAGGCTGGAGTATAGTGGTGGGATCTCAGCTCACTGCAACCTCCAACTCCCAGGTTCAAGCGATTCTCCTGCCTCAGCCTCTTGAGTAGCTAGGACTACAGGCACGCGCCACCACGCCCTGCTAATTTTTGTATTTTTAGTAGAGATGGGGTTTCACCATGTTGGCCAGGGTGGTCTCGATCTCTTGGCCTCGTGATCCACCTGCCTCAGCCTCCCAAAGTGCTGGGATTACAGGCGTGAGCCACCGTGCCCGGCCAGGCCCCACTTCTTAATACCAGCACGTTGGGTATTAGGTTCTAACGTAGGAATTCAGGGGGACACCAACATTCAGGCCATAACAGAGGGAGAAGAGTGGGGCCCAGGGAGAAGAGTGGGGCCCAGAGAGAACACTGCCTACCACCTTCTGTGGGGTCACTGCTTGATGTGGGATGGGTTGGGGACCCCAAGGAAACCCAGATTAGGGTCTCCTTTACTTGCCACCCCCCAAAAAGGAAAGCTAGACTGAGAGATTCAGGTCATGGGAAAATGGAGAGACAATGGGGCCTGGAAAGGTGGAGAGCTCAGAGCCCTGGAGTGCCCAGAGTCTGCAACTCCAGGGAACTGGGGGGTCTGCAACCTGGGAGGACAGGATGGGAGCTGCCAGGGGGCAGCATATAACCAGGCGATTTAAACTCTGCCTTCCAGCTTCCATCCCAACTGGTATTGGCAGAATCATTTCTAGGGTAGGGATCTGTATTCCTCCTTAGAACAGGGCTCCCCCAGGCCAAGGCCACATTTGTCATCCTCAGACTAGGGGTCTCTGGGAGTGGGGCCTTAGCTCATCCTCTTTGTGGCCTTCTAAACTCAGCCCAGAGTTCTGGTCTCAAGTCCGGGTTTCAGTTCAGATGTGGCCTCCCCACCTCCCCACCTAAGAAGATACAAACCCCAAAGTCTCCCTCTGCCTTCCTAGTCCCCTCCTAGCCCCTCTCCCCTGCAGGCTGGGGCAAGGAAGGAGGGGAGAAGAAAAAGTCCTTCCCAGCCTAGGCACTGACCTGCCCAGGTGTGTGGGGGGGACCAGCTCACCACCTCATTAATGTGGAATTGTTTTTAGGTTAATAATCTTGCGTTAATTTTCCCTTAAAATATTGTCTTTGACCGTTAAATGCTCACACTGTTATAAAAAGAATGTAATAAATGATCTTGAAGCAAATTCTCCTGCCAAATGTCATAATTTATTTGCATAATTAGCTCTTAATTTTAATTCAATATGCAAATCCACGCTTCCTTTCCATTGCAGCCGCCTGTTTCCCAGCCGGGCAGCCATGAATTTACTGTGACGCTCCCTCCACGGCTGTCAGAGGCGGGGGTCGGGAGGCAGGCACCTTCTGGGGCTGGTGCCTGGGGGAGGGTCTCAGACACATAGATTCAGATGCACAGGTCTGTGGGCCCCACTACATGGGCCCGGCAGATGGGCCTGTGTGGACACCAGCATACTACATACTGGTGCAGAGACCCAGAGATGAAGGTAGGTGAACCCAAACTGACAGGCCAACACATCAAGCAATTCATGGGCACTCACTGAGACACATATAGGCAGAAACACTGCCACACATGAACACAGATCCCCATGAAGTCACATGACTTCATGGACACAGACATACAGATATACCTACAAACAAATGCAGACAGAGGCCCAGCCAATGAGCAGAGAGGCATGGGCAGCCCAGACATGCATTCCGGCAGACACAAACACTCACAGCAGAGAGATGCCTGGGCCCAGTTACAGGTGTGTGGGGCCACAGAGCTGCCGAAGCCACACATCTATATGGACACACACACAAAAAGACACGCTATCTCAGGTAGAAACTTGACAACACTACAGAAAAGCCTCGGCATGCCACGTGGACACCCACACGCATTTTAGGGCTTGGCCTTCAAGCTTCCATAGCAACATGTCTGTGGCATCGCAGGGCTCATGGAAAGAACACAGAACATAGAGTCAGGGTATCCGGTTCTGGAACTAGCTCCACCTTTCACTTGCTGTGGACTTTGAGCAAGCCACTTCATTTTTTGTTCAATAATAGCTTTATTTATTTATTTATTTATTTATTTTTGAGACAGAGTCTCACTCTGTCGCCCAGGCTGGAGTGCAGTGGTGTGATCTCAGCTCATTGCAAGCTCTGCCTCCCGGGTTCACACCATTCTCCTGCCTCAGCCTCCCAAGCAGCTGGGACCACAGGTGCCCGCCACCATGCCTGGCTAATTTTTTGTATTTTTAGTAGACACGGGGTTTCACCGTGCTAGCCAGGATGGTCTCAGTCTCCTGACCTCATGATCTGCCCACCTTGGCCTCCCAAAGTGCTGGGATTACAGGCGAATAGCTTTATTAAGATCTAACCCACATACCATACAATTCACCTATTTAACATGTACAAGTCGGTGGTTTTTAGTATATTCACAGGGTCATGCAACCATCACCACAATAAATTTTAGAACATTTTAATCACTCCCAGAAACCCCATTGCCATCACCAGTCACTCCCCTTTTCCCCCAACACCCTCTGCCCCAGCCCTAAGCAACCACTAAATGATTTTCTGTCCCTATTTATTTGCATTACATATAAAGGGAATCATACAATATGTGTTTTTTTGGTGACTGGCTTCTCTCACTTAACATGTTTTCAATAGTGATCTGTGTTGTAGCATGAATCAGTATTTCATTCCTTTTTATGGCAATGGACTAATATTCCATTATATGGATATACAACATTTTATGTATGCATTTGTCAGCTGATGGACATTTCAGTGGTTTTCACTTTTTGGCAATCATGAATAACACTGCTATGAACATCCCTCTACAAGTTTTGGTGTGGACCTATGTTTTTATTTCTCTTGAGTCTATTCATGAGAGTAGAAGTTCATCTTCTTAGAGTTTGGTTTTCCCATCAAAAAAATAAAAGGACTCATTCTAATCAAACCCTCACAGGCTTCTCCACGGCCTTTGTTTACGATTAACATGGCATTCTCAAGTTGAGATCATGGCCCTTCTCACTCAGCCACACACAGACACGGGTGTACTTGCACACACACACACACACACGCACACGCAGAAGGACACACCACATAGTCACACACTCAGTTGCCAACACAGCCACCTGACCCATAGCCCCATTGCCCCAAAGGCACAGATGTACCCAAGGTGACCTAAACACTCACAGACACCCGATGCAGGGGTGCCTAGAGAAAAAGAAGGAAATGGAGTTGGAGAGATTGTGATAGCTACATGGAAGGCAGGGGCGGAGTCTGGAGTTTGGGAGGAAGGGGTCAGCCAACAAAATGGGGAGAAAAAGCTGAGTGAGAGGGCGAGGTGTTAGGAGACAGGGCCGCTCTGGGACGGGGGCTGTGCAGTTGGATCAAGGTCTGGTTCAAACACTAGGACACTTGGGTCCTGCTTCCCCATCTGCTTCTACCCTACCCTCGCCCTGACCAGGGTACCCTTTGTCTCCCTGCTCCCTCTCCCTGAAGGAAACGTGACCCCGCCCCACCTTCACCTCCCTCCCCCACAAGCTAAGGAGACAAAAGGGATCCTTTTCCAGGATAATTAAGCCTCAAAGACGCAGCTCCTCCCAGGAAACTGATCGGGTTTGCCCTGGGAGAGCCCTTGAGTGTGGGAGGGGAGGGAAAGGGAGGTGGGGGCACACAGAGGGTTGACCAGAACACAGGAAAGTGAGCTCCGAGACCACCAGGCGGACAGTATTCCTGTGGCCATATATTGTCTGTCACAAAAGTTGGAACTTTATTTCCCTTTCTTAGGAGAGGGTTCATGTGATTAGTGACAGATTCGAATCCACTGTCTCCCACAATCACAGAAGTCCTGGGGTGGACAAGCGGAAGATGCATGTGTGCCTTTGTGGATATGTGTTGATCTTGTTGCTACGTCGCTGTGTAAGTGTGAATGTGTGTCTGTCCCCCACCCTCTCGGGCCCCCACCCCCACCCACGCCCCCCTGCAGAAGACTCACAGTGCGGCCTCAGCGGAGTTTCTAACCTGGAGTGATCGCTTTCCTGATTTGCCACTTTAGTACTCTTGTTAATGAATTTTTAATCTTCTTAATGACATTAAACACGGAAAGTAATTAAGGAAAACAAGTTTGAAACTGCTGACTTCAACCCTTTATTCACAACTATTTAATGTAGAATTAATTTGATTTTGCCCATTATTCAAATGAACACGCTACCTTCTCCCCGGCCCCAGGCCTGTCCCCTTGCCCCCGTCCCCCAAATGCCCAAAGACCCCCTGTTGTGATCACCCAGTTGTTATTGACCCAAGTGGTTGCTGGTTTCTGTGCACCGTGTCTGTGCTGAGGGCTGGAGGTGATGACTAAGCCAAACTCCTGGATGGTGAGGAAGGCAGAGTGGCCTCTGTAAGAGGTCAGGAGGATTGAAGGGACTCAGGAGGGAGCCAGGAAAACAGAGCTCCTTCCCCACCCTGAGTCCGTCTCAGATTTCCACCTCTGGATACTCCATCAATAGCTCCTGCGTGCTCCGTGTCCAGTGCACTCAAGTGCTTGGATGTTGGAAGCCTTGGGTATTAAGATGTTTGGACATTTGATGTTAGAATATATAAATCTATAGAATTCAAAATAATCAGGTGTTTGGAGGCTCAGTGCTGGGGTGGGTACCCAAATGGTCAGGTTCCATGATGTCCATTTTGCAGAATTTTAGACCAAAAGAAAGAAACTTCCACCTCTAAACCCTGGGCCTCAGGCCACTGTCGGGATGAAGCTAAAACGGGAGGTCATAGCTGCTTGAAGCTGAGTTTGAAATCGATCCAGGTCCTGGAAGCAGAAACCAGGTCCCAGGACAGAGCCAGTACCTCCCTGAGCCAGAGGGTTTGGCTGCCACCTTCCAGAAGGGGTCCTGAAGCTGCCTCGGGACCCTGGACAAAAGTGAAGTCAGGGTCCAAAGGGGCCCCGGGGCTGTTGATGCCTGGGCCTTCTTCACGCCTGAAGGCAGTGAGCAGGCAGCTCTTCTCCAGGGCAAAGTACTCACAGCTGGGTGGCGGAGCTAGAAGAACAGGTGCAGGAGGTACCCTCAGCCTCTGGATTCGTGCCCCAAGAGGCCTCTCCACTTTAGCCTTGGGTCCTGGACCCCGTTTTGTGTGGGAGTACGCATGTACCTGTGTGGTGGCCAGGACAGCAGGCAGCAGAGGGAAATGGGAACAGCTCCGCACTCAGCCTCAGGTGGATCTGACTTAAATCCTGACTTTGAGCAAGTCCCTGACCTCTCCTTTCTTCCTCACTGAAGTCGGGTGGCCGATTCTCACTCCAAGGAGTTGTTGCAATGAGTAAATTAGATGCCACAGGTGCAATCCTAGCACAGCACCTGGCATGCTGCAGGCCTGCCCATCAATCCCTGCTCCATCACTCCCAAGCCCCACCCGCGGGGAGAAAAGGAGACCCCAGGAATGTGCCAGAGAAGGAAAACAGAGGGCTTCTGGGGCTGGGGACCAAAAGAGGGTCTCGGAAAGATGGTGGACTTGCCCAGAGTGGGGAAGGGAGAGCTGATTGGAGCATTGGAGAGCTGCCTCCCCCATCCTTGAATGGCCTCAGAAATGTTCCTTTCAGTCATTCCCCTGAATTATATCCCCAGGAGGGGTTTTCTCCCTCCCTCCCTCCCCCTTACCCCTTCCTCCTGCCTCTTCTCTCTAAACAAGCCTCCCCCAAGTCACTTCACTCATCTCAGCTCCTGGAAGAAAAGCAGCCCCAGCCCTTGGCCCCCCCGCCCTCATACTGCGCTGAGCCATGACCCGCCTGAGCTGATGCGAGAGTCTCCCTCGCCCCTTCCTCCCATTCCAGGGACTTTATGGGCTGAGACGCTGCTGGCTCGCTCACTTCTCCCTCTCTCCCGCTCCTCTTTCCATCATTCTCTGTGTCTCTTCCTCCCTCTTTCTTTCTTTCCCTGCCATGGCTGGCCTTGCTCCTTCCTGCCTGTCTTTCTCCATCTCTGTGTCTGTCTTCGCCTCTTGGTCTTTCTCACTTTCTTGAAAGACCATGGACTCTAGAACATTTCTAGCTGCAACTACCCAGGACACACTCTCAGGAAAGGAAAAACAGCTGCATCCAGCAGGGGACAATGGGAGGAACCCATCCTTGTGGGAGCGGCACACCTTGAGATGGCCCTGGGGTAGGGGGAGCCCTTAAACTGGCCTGCAGTTCAGTCCAAGGGAGGCCAGAACTGGTGTGACAGGGATCTCATGTCTCCCAAATACTTTGCCACCTCCCCTCCTTGTTGACATCCTGGAAGGGCCAGGAGGATTCTGAAGAAGAGGACTTGACCAGGTTAGCACACTCCCATCACACTTACCTTCACACACCTGCCCCCACTCTCCCAACAAAGACCCATGTTTCTCACACACAACACTCACAAACAGACTACGTGGTGCCTTGTTTACACACAGACACAAATATGCACCGGCACAGACACACATGGATGCAGATGCACACTCACAGATACACACAGCTACCCCCAACACATAGATCGTACACACACACACGCACAGATGCGCACGCACACACATATATACACGCAGAGATCCCACAGGCGCCCAAAAGCACAGGGCAATGATTAATGTCCCCTCAGAAAAAGAAATTATATCGAATAAATTAAACTACTGTGGCAGCAAATTGAAAAATAAGGATGTAAATGAGGTTTGAATACTTAATATCGAAGACAAGGGGGGAATGAGAAGGGATCGCTGGGCCCCCTGAGAGGGGAAAGGATGGTCTCTCCTGCCCCCTAATTCAACTCTGGCTCCTGTCCAGAGACCTTAGAGCTGGGGCAGGGCTAGTGCTGGGGCTCAGTCAGCACCAGGACCCTCCCTGCAGGGCCATTGCAGACAAAATTCCAGAACCTCTGGAAAGACTCAAGGAGGGAGGATGAGGAAGAGGAGGTGAGACCACCTGGCATCACCTCAAAACCTAACCCTGACACTCCCAGCACACAAAGGGACACTTGCTTTCAGGCCCAACACATAGTCCTTCCAAGGCCCATCTTGAGAGAAGACCCTCTTGACTCATCTCTCCCCAGGCCCCTACCCACCCCACGACACTCAAAGGCACCTGAACACCTATGCCTCGCTCAGCCCTCCACGATCAATCTCAAAGCTGCACACACTCCCAGAACTCACCTGCCTCCTCACACCTCCAATGTATCCTAACCCAGACCCACCCTGCACACACCACAGACATTCGGCCCACTTGCCCACCAACACCCCAATGCCACCCTGGCACAGTCCCACCCACACCAAGTATCCCCAAACCCCAGGGACACACACACACACACACACACACACACACACACAGAGTGGGGTGGGTAGCCCATCCCTGAGTCCCAATCCCCTCAGAACTGTGAGACGGATGGGTGGGAGGGTTGGGGAGGCTTCTCTTTAAGCTTTAATAAGCAGGACTCCCTGCACACACAAACAAGCACGAACACACACACACGCACACACACACACAGACGGACTGGCTGTCTGTGGAGCACTTCCGCTCAGCCTCCATCTCTGTTTCTCTCTGCCTCCACCTCTGTTGCCGGCTCAGTTTCCCTCACTCTGCCTGTCAACTGCTTTCTCACTGTCGCCTTTGTCTCGGACACCCCAATATATCCCCGCCTCCCCCAGCTCCCCATCGGTCGCCGGCCCCCGGCTGCTACCCACACCCTCGCGCCCCCCCACCCGCAGCCCCCCACCCCCTTCCCCTCCTCCGCGTTGCTCGCTGTCGTCTCTGTTCATATATATTTAGTATTTATTTACAAGGCTGGGTTTTTTTCCCTGGGCGGGAAGCCAGCCGTGCACAGAAATCCTTAAGATGCTATAAAGCTGGTGAGGTATAAAATGGAAAGTGGTTAGTGCGCTGTTTGGAGATATCTCACCGGCGGCCGCCCCGCCGCCCCGCCGCCCGCTGTAAATCTCCCGGAGTTTAGCGTGCTTGTTGGTATCTGGCCGCCAGGGAGGGGCTGGGCGGGGGCGGGGGCGGGGGCCCCCCCAGAGCCGAGGGCGCCCCCAGCGCAGGGACCCCTCAGCAGAGGCCCGGGGAGCGCCGCCCCCTCCTCAAAGGGACAGGGGCTAAAGGGGCTGGGAAGTCCCTTTCTGGGGAAACAAAGGCTCCTGCCCGGCCTCTTCTGAACTTTGCCAAGGAGACCGAAAAAAGAGGAGTAAAGACCTTGAGCCTGGAGGTACCTCATCAGCACACGGGCTGGGCAAGAGGTCACTGAAGGACAGGACAGAGCTTAGGCAAGACCCTGCCGAGATTTTGCCTAGGTTAGGAACCAAGGTTCTGCCACTGATAAGCGGGGTGAGCTCACACAAGTTACTTCACCTCCCCGAGCCTCGGTTTCCTCTTCCTCAATGGGATCATGATCGTTCCTACTCATAAGAGTGAAGGGAAGAGTAAATGAGTGCATCCGGTAAAGGATTTAGCACAGTGCCTGGTATGTAGTAGGTGCTCAATAAATGCTAACTAGTGTTCTTTGTGCCCATGCACTCAGTTAGCACTTGGTTCCTCCAGATGTTTGCTCAGCTGCTTCAGTCAGCTAGCCACGGCTTCCATCCACCCATCCATTCAGTGACTTTCAGCTGTGTGGTTCTGGGCTGTGTAACAGAGAATTCTGCAGGAGGCAACAGGGTACCCCAAGTCTGGACGGGGTAGTCAATCTAGACCAAAAGGGTGAAAAAGCCACTTCTGGATTAAGTAGCATTGCAGGGCAGCTGGGAGGAAAGGGCCAGCCCAGTCCATCCACCTGCCCATCAGTGACCATGACAGTCCTTTGAGTTCCCCTGGTCTGAGAGTCACAGGAGAAGCAGGCCCAATCTGCAAGGATCAGCAAGACGGGGAACCCCCAGAGGGCAGCTCTCATCTCCCGCTCATCCCTCCCTAGCAGCAGAGCCCAGAGCTGGCTCTCAGGAGCTGTCAGTAAGTGCCCTTTGATTGATGAGTTGGGAAGGCTGAACTCTGCCACACTCCCCTCTCACTCTGGAGGGATGACACACCTGTCATACAGCCTGCACACTTACGTCCCAGCTCACCTGGACACATGTCAGGAGAGCCGGGAGTAATGACAGGGAACTCTTAGGTGGTCACCGTCCAGAACAGGAAGCTCAGAAGAGCCAAGTCTGTGTCACATAGCCATGTCCTAGTGAGTTTAGCTGTATTCGTTCATTCACTCACTCCTTTATTCACTTGTTCAACAGGTGTTTACTGAGGTTCCTGGGCTAGGGGCTGAGGGGGACACAAATGAATATTATTGGTCCTGGCTCTCAAGAAGTTTATAGTCCAGGACAGATGTAGGTCAGGTATACAAGCAATATCAGTATTAGGAAAGCCATGTCAGCAGCCAGGAAAGCTGTGGAGAGGGCCTATAAGGTTCCCAGAAAAGAGAAACCACTGCTGAGGGGGGAGAATAATCATAGCAATAATAATTATAGTAGCCAGCAGACACCTTGCACACATTTATAGGTAATGTTCAGAAGATGGCTTTGCTTGAATCAGGACTTGCAGAGGATTAAAATATTGATGGGCAGAGAGGAGTTGGGGTGTTGGAAGGTGATGCCATTCCAGAAGGAGATTGTCACAGGCAGAGGAAGGACATGAGTGAATGCTCGTAAGTGGGAAGTCGCTGTGTGGGGAATGTTCAGGGGAACCACTCTGAGTCCAATTTGGCTGGCAAATGTAAGCATGGAGGAGAGTAATGGGAAGGTTTGGAGAGAGGGGTGGGCAGGAGCCAGATAACAAAGGGCCCTGAATATCAGAGTAAGGAGTCTGCACTTTCTATAGCAGGCAACGGGGAGCCTTTGAGGGTGTTTGAGCAAGGGAGTGACATGATCAGAGCTGTGCTTTAGGAGAGTTATTCTGGCAGCAGTGTGTAGAACAATTAGAGACAGTAAAACTGAAAGGCAGAGGAGGATGCCTGACCTGGTACCTGATGCGGTACGCACTCAAAAGCAGTTTGTTGGTTGAAATGAAGTGACCTAGAAGAGCCATAATAAGGACCTTCATGGGGGTGGTGGTGACGGTGAGGCAAAGGTGGGTGCAAAAGGCATCAGGAAGTATCTCTGAAATTTGTTAATTGATGGAAGGTAGGGATGAGGACCAGGAAGGAGACAGAGGCTCCAAGAGTTCTGTGAGGGTCAATAGTGAGTGATAGGGCTATTAACAAAATAGGGGAGTCACAAGTTGTTGCTGGTTTTAGGAGAGACTTATGAGCTCGCTTTCCCACAGTTAGCCTTGTACTGCCTGAATTGTGGGCTTAGAGCTCAAGAAAAGCTTGGAAGTAGAGGTAGATGTTTCCATCACCTGCTGAAGGGGCTGGAGTATGAGATCTCCTGAGAGTCTGCAGGGAGGGGACAGCAGAGAGCTGAAGCTGAAGCTGAAGCTTTGCACTCTATCCATACCTGGGGGTGTGTGTGGGAAGCAAAAGAGACAGAGAAGGAGTGTTAGAGCTGAGAGAGGGGTGGGCGGGAGCGAAGGGCGAGGCAGCCAAGGGAGGAGTGAGCTTTAGGGGGTGACGGTATTCCCAAGGGTTCCCACAGGATGGGGCCTGAGAATCAGATGTAGGGTCTGTTGGTCAGGAGGCTGGACAGGAGGCCAGGGCAACCTTGTGCAGGGAACTATGGGTGGAGTTCCTGAGAGCAGGAGACACCCCAGGGCATAACATTCATAGACACTCCATTGCCTGCCCACTGCTCAGACCAGGCCCCAGACTTGCCGTTTCCCCAGAGGCCCTTCTGTCCCTCTCTTAGATGGAGTGGCTGCCAAGCTGGCCTGGACAGGAAAGTGGAGATCAATGAGATGAACTGCTCTCTGTCTTGGGATCACCAAGACCCTGAGATCTCAGCACATCTGGGGGCTTGTCGAGTTCATCCTATTTATTTGGCTGCAGACCATGCAACCACACCCTTCTCTGATGCAGTCTACACCCGTGTCCAGTCGTCCCCTGGACATGCTTGGCCATCCTTTTCCCTAGTGTCCTTGGTCATACTCCAAGCACTTGGGCTGGTGGTGCCGAGGCCCACAGGATCCCAGGACCCTGGGATAGAGGATGTGGCTGGGAAGCAGGGGAGCAGAGGAGACAGGTCCCAGAACCTTGCTTCCCATTTAGGAGGAGCTAGGCACGGGAGGTGGTGTGGGCCCCCACCCTCCCGGAGGGGACCCGCAGTCCTAAATGCCCCCGCGCCTTCTCCATATTGTGGGAAAAGCTGCCGCATCCATCACTGTCAGGCACCGAGTTTGAATAAATTTGAATGCACTGAGCCGTGGGCTGCAGTTTCTATAATATCACTTTCCAGTTTGAATATTTCACTTACTTTTTTTTTTTTAATTTCTTTTTATCCAACAGTTTCTCCTCCTTTTCATCTACCCCTGCTGCAGCCAAGTTCAGGATATAGAGAGAGGACAGTGCCTTGAGGGTGTCTGAGATGGGAAGAGGCCAGGACTTCACCAGCTTTGGCATCTCTGTCCTCCCACCCACTGGGACCCCTACCCAGCACATGTGCTCCCTGGACCCAGAGCCTGATCTCCCCCAGCTTGTGTAGATGGGGAAACAGCAGCCAGAGAATGAGCCGCCCTCACACTCCACCCCTTCTTCCCTACAGGGGCCTGAGCCCCTCACCTACTGACCCTCCATCACATGGGCGCATACACACATCATCTGATATATTGATTTTTCCCTAGATGTTAACAGTAGATTGCAATTTCCCACTACGAAGTTTGCTCCTAAGTCTCTCCAGCCACTGTCCTGCCTTCCCTTGTAAATAATGACCCCAATTCTAGACCCTTTCCACCACCTCCCTGCAGCTCTCAATCCATCGATGTGGTACCACCAATATAGCCATGTCTTCTGGATGAGGGCTGCTGGGAGGGAGGAAGGACTAGGGTCCTGGTGGCGCACCCTAGAGAACCACCCCCAGGTCCTGACCATGAACCCCATGATTTGTTAGACCTTGCTGGTGCCATCTCCACTCCCTTCCCAGAGCTCAGGGACTAGGGAGAGCCAAGGAGCAAGTCAGGAATGAGACTAACCAGGAACAAACAAGTCGGGATTTCATTTGAAGAGGAGTCCAGGTGGGGATGGGGAGGTAAGGAAGTTCCAAAGGGTCTTCTGGGAACCCTTTGAGTCTGTGAATATCTTTCCTTAGGGAGGTCTGGCCACACTGACCCTTGGACTATCCATAAGGCATGCCTACTACACTGACAATCTCTAGAGGGCAGTGACCCTTCATGAGGCTCCTGGTGACACTGACCATCAGTGAGGACACTCTGCTACATGGGGTACACTGACCAGCCAGCTGACATTGAATACTCCAACTATCTAAAAAGGACCCATGACATTGACCCTATGGGGATCCTTGACCTCTTTGATCTCCTCCAAGGAGACACCAACCGTCTAGGCTATCTCCTATGGAGACACTGTTCATAGAACATGTCCCCTTCCTCCTGCCAGAAACAGCACTCGCTTCGAATACTGACAGTCTCCCACAATGCCTGTATCTACCACATGGAAAAGATGTATGGTAGAAGGTGGGAGGTGGGGGATGAGAGGAAGCGGAGAGCCTTAGTGATCAGGGACCTTCTGGAGGTGATGATGCAGGTCCCTGCTCTGTGCCTGATCCTCTGTGCTCACAGTTAGGCTATGGAAGGGCAAGAGACAATTAGGCTATGGAAGGGCAAGAGACAGGGAGGAAATGGCCAGCCTTTGAGAAACTCATAGTTCAGCTAGAGAGTTGAAATTATCATTAAGAGTAATATTTATGCCAGGCGCAGTGGCTCATGCCTGTAATTCCAGCACTTTGGGAAGCTGAGGCGGGTGGATCACCTGAGATCAAGAGTTCAAGACAAGACTGGTCAACATGGCGAAACCCTGTCTCTACTAAAAATACAAAAATTAGCCTGGCATGGTGGCAGGTGCCTGTAATCCCAGCTACTCAGGAGGCTGAGGCAGGAGAATCACTTGAATCTGGATAGTGGAGGTTGCAGTGAGCTGAGATCACACCACTGCGCTACAGCCTGGGCAACACAGTGAGACTCCATTAAAAAACAGTAATATTTATTTCCACTTTACATTTTGCCATATTCAAAGGAGCTTGAGGGGATTAGGAAATGCACACACGCATGTACACACATATACACACATCACTCAAACAGTGAAAGAAGAAGAGAGAGGACATTTGGAAACCATTTAAAGGCAGGAGGGAGATAAATGGACTAGAGATCTGGTGGGAGAGAGTGTGTCCAGTTAGTGTGGCCCCTGCAGGCTGCGCCCGTGCTGTTACTGGCCCACCTCTCAGAGAGCTCATGCACCGTGGGTTCAGGTAGCTAGGGAAGGCTTTCTGGAGGAGGTGGAACCAGTCTGGGGACTTAACAGATGGCAGAAGTCCTAAACAGGAAAAAACCAACAGGAGCAGCATTCCAGCGGCAGGACCAGAGTGAGCCAAGTCAGAGAAATGAATGGAAGCTGAACGCATAGCCAGTGCCAGGTCAGGGAGGGGCTGGCAATGGGATTGGTGAGTTTGGGGTAGGGTAAGCAGGTGGGAGAGATACAATATATTCAGGGGACAGTGAAGAGATGAGAGAGAAACTGAAGGCCACTGATGGACAGGCTAGGGGTGGTTGATGTGCTGAGAGCACTTAGGAGGTACCTCAGACTAGCTTGGCCCCACCCCAATATTTCCTAATTCTAATTCAGGCCCTTCAGCACCCCTTTCTTGCAGCACCCCCACCCTCTATGAGCTCTAATTCAGCATCCCAGTAAAGACAGAACTCACCAGGGGAGAGAAGCCATACAAAACAGGGGCCCCTGGAAGAGGGGCACCCCTATGAGGGTGGGGGCTGAGCTCTCCTCCCCCCAGGGTGCCCCAGCGGGGCCTGCAGCGGGAGGGAATGTGGTGTGAAGGCAGAGGCTCTCCTGCCGCACCATGACAGATGATTGACTCGAAACAATATCTAAGGCGATCAGGATAAAGTGCTGGCCATTTCAAGGCTCAGCAGAATTCAGATTCTAATTAGACTTCTCACCACATTCCAAATAAAAATGGTTCCCCTGGTATCCTCTTTGCCTATCAGGTGTCTCTCCCTGATCGCTGGAACAAAACGCATAAAGAAAGTGATTAAAGCCATAACAAAGGCATAAAATTGGAATTATCGCTGCCACCACATCTGGGAGCACAGAGTGTCACCACACCGCCCCCTCCTCCCCAAACCCACACACACGCAGAAGTGCTGCCCCATCACAGCTCCTGGCTGGGCACCCTGTAATGGGAGCCATCATATGGGTTTGGAGATGGAGGCCCAGGGGCTCCAGGGTGGGTGGTTGGGATGGAACTGGGGGATCTAAGGAGTCAGGGGTTGAGATCAGGAGGTGAGTGATGTGGGTAAAAACAAGGGGCTCCAGGCCTGAGGAACAAGGGGGTGAGTGGTCCAAGGAGTGAGGGGTAGGACAGGATAATGGTCACCATCTCTAGTGTCTAGAGATTTACTAGTGGGGAGGGGCCTTGGGGCTTTTGCCTTGATGACCTCGCCACTCTCAGGACATGCGCATGTAAACACACATACACACGCACACACACGCGCGCGCGCACACACACACACACACACACACAAAGGCCCATGGCATGCTATAAACATTCCCAAGCATTCCACATGGGTGCCTATCTCTGTTGCCAATGCCGACAGACCAAAAGTCCCCCAACTGACCTACTGCCCTTCTGAGTAGGCTGGAAAAGGGAATTGAAAACCAGCCCTGACCACTGGACCCAGGGTTGGTTTTCAGTCCCCTTTTCCAGCCTACTTCCAATAGGGGGCACCTACTTCCAGAGTCTACTAAGTCCCCAACATGTGCGTGCACAGCCAGCAGGCAATCCAGAGACCTCAGTCCCCTACAACACACATTCACACGCACACACACACACAGACACACCAGACACCCACCATGCCTATAACAATACCCTCACACAGTGCACACACTCTGAAAACATATCACAAAGGCCCCCCATCTCAGTGGGGTGCCCTGGCCAGAGGGGTGTCTCTGGCTTCTTCAGCTCTCCCTCCTCCCTACTGCAGCCCCGTCTGCCCCCTCACAGCCAGCCTGGTACCTGGTACTGGGCAGTCTTGTTCCCTGCGTGGGGTGGGTAGATGGGCGGGAGGTCCAGAGGAGGGTGAAGGAGTGGGAGCGGGGCTCTGAGCAGGGACGATATAAAATTAAAAGGTAAAAAGCAGGAACGCAAATGGAGGGTGCTTTCAGCTTTCACATTATTAATGACTCTTCAAAAAATCGGCGAGTTTTCCAATCTTCTCTGAGAAGCGCTTGAAGGAGCTCACAGATGAAACTGACCTTCAAAATGTTCTTTGGTCTTTAGTTAAGAAATTCGCTCGCCATTATGGCATCATTAGGGAAACAAGGATAAAATTACTCCATGGTTAATGACCTATAGTATCTCCCCACCAAAATTTGTTTCAGATCTAATAAAACTGTGCTTAACACACTCGGATGAGTTATGAGGACTGTTCTGCAGGGTATTAAAATGTGGAAAATAGATTTTCCGAAGCTGGGGGGACTGGACTTTTTGAATCAGATAGCAGAATGGAATTTTCTGGGCAATAAATTCTTCCATGTCTCAATTTCATCTCGAGCTCTCTCTCTCCTGCCTGCCTCTGCCCCTCTCTCTCCCTCATACTCTCCCCCCACTCTCTCTGTCTCTCTCTCTCTCTCTCTCTCTGTCTCTCATCTTTTCCTAAAATACTGAAGCAACACAGAAACCTTTTGAATTTGAAGTCTACATAAACTTTGAGAAAATCATAGTGGCAAAGGCCATCTGTATGTGACAGTGGGAGGCTGCGTGTGTGCACACATTTTCATGGGTCCTGCCTGTCGCATAAGAGTGGAGGCAAGGAGGCAGCTTTCCTCACCACCTCACCCAAGTGCTTCTATTCACACTCAAGAATGGAGTGCCACCTTCCAGCTCTCTACTGCTGGCCAGGCTGGCCGATCTCACCCTCTACCCCCAAATCACAGGGCATACCCTTGTTAATGAACCTTCCTAATACAGCCCTTCCCCCACCCAGGCCTCGGCACACACCAACACCAGGAGTCAGCCTGTATGAAGGTACACCTGTCCTTGTCCACCTGAAACTTCATGGTAATGAGAGGGGGTTGGCTGCACTGGCCTCGTGAAGGGTCAGAGCTGCCCTGTTTTGCACATATGCATGCCCCTGAGCACATGTTAGCACTATTGATGGGGCACACCCAGGTGCCCTGGCCAGCGAGGCTGGAGGCTAAGACCTGATCCCCGGGCCCAAGCAGTGGCTGAAGGTTTTCAGGGGCTGGATACTGCCGCGGAGAGAGGTGGCTGGCGAGGTAATGGCATTTTGCTCTCTTTAAACTTTAATCTTTCCTATTAATTCCCTGCAACTGGAGAATGTGTGAGAGTTAATGTTCCGTGAACGTGTTTCGCACTCGGCAGTCTCTTCGAGCTAATTACCTTCAGGTGCTAAATGGAGGGAAATTGCAATCCATTTGGATGTGAAAAAATTTCGCCTTCCCGTCCCCTGTGAGACATCCTTTTTCCTGAGTGCTGCAGAAAGAATGCTCTCTGGGTGGGAGTTTTTTTCCTAATGTTTTTTTTCTTCGGCCCTCTCCCCCGCCCCCTTTCTCCAAGAGTCTAGGTTTTGCAGGACAGTGGTGGTCGGAGACTGGAGGAGGCTGGGCCTAAGCTCAAGGTCCTCATCTAGGGTGGAGGCCAGGTGGGAAGGGACTTCATGCAGGGGAGACACCCCGGCTGAGAATCTTGCCCCCACCCCTTGGAGGCCCTGGAGTGGAAGTGTATTTACACGCTTAATAACACGCTTATTACCAATGTTTCTCAGCTGCTAGGTTTTGAATACAGATATAATAGAATTTTACAAGCCATATAAAAGCTGTCCTTCTCTTGGACACTTAACTGAGGTGGCTGGTAGGGCAGAGGACAGGGAATGGAGAGTGGAAAAGAGGGGGGCACTTGAGGAGGGAAGGAATGAAAATGGGCCAGAGAACCAGAGAAGAAAAAGAAAGGGATGGGAAGAAGGGCCTATGAATGGTGCTGTATGAAAATGAGAGTGGGAAGGGATGGGTCAGAACTTCTGTCTCTATACCACAGGATACCTGGAGCACCAAGGAGGAAGGCACTAAGGTCAGGGAGTCTGCTCTTAAAGCCATTAGGTCTCAAGAGAGCATGCCTACCTTAGTGAAGCACCTATCCCTCCAGCCCCATCCTTGACCTCTGATCTCAGACCTCAAGCTGAACAAAGCCTTACAAAAAGAGACATCTAATTTTACCACCTTCCTCTCTCCTGGGTCCAACCCACTAGCCCTTGCAAAACCCTGTTCCTTAACCTTTGTTGAGTTAGGGAGCTGCCCAAACAACATTTTGCTTCTCGTGAACTGGGGAGGCGGAACTTGCAGTGAGCCGAGATCGTGCCACTGCACTCCAGCCTGGACGACAGAGTGAGACTCTGTCTCAAAAAAAAAAAAAAAAAAATATATATATATATATATACATACACACACACACACACACACACATATATAAAACAAAAAAAATTCCATAGACTTATTATCACCTAGCTTCAACAATGATCAACACATAGCTGATCTTAATTTATCAATATCCCCCTGCACTGTCCCCCAAGATTATTTGGAAGCAAATCACAACAAACCACAGATTTCAAATCAGTTCATCCATAAATATTTCAATATATATTTCCACAAGTTAAGGACTCTTAACATAACCACAAAACTATCATCTCACCTCATAAAAATTAGCTATAATTTGTTGTTCTCATCAAATATTCATTTGGTGTTCAAATTTCCCTGAATCAGGTTCTGATCAAGATCCACAAATTTTATGTGGTTGATGTGGCTCTTAGTTTCCTTTTATTCCATAGTTTACACTTTCTTTTTTTTTCTTCTTGCAATTTACTAAAGAAACTGTAGGCCATTTGTCCTATGGAATTTTGTTCATTTTGTGTTTTGCCAGTTGCATCCCTGTGGTATCTTTTAACATGTTTCTCTCTCCCTTTGAATTGGTAGCTTCTAGAGTTATTTGGCTTCAGGGTTGATTTTTGTTTGTTTGTTTGTTTTTGTTTTTTGAGACGGAGTCTCGCTCTGTTGCCCAGGCTGGAGTGCAGTGGCGCTATCTCAGCTCACTGCAACCTCTGCCTCCTGGGTTCACGCCATTCTCCTGCCTCAGCCTCCCGAGTAGCTGGGACTATAGGCACCCGCCCCCATGCCTGGCTAATTTTTTGTATTTTTAGTAAAGACGGGGTTTCACCATGTTAGCCAGGATAGTCTCAATCTCCCGACCTTGTGATCCACCCGCCTCGGCCTCCCAAAGTGCTGGAATTACAGACATGAGCCACCGCACCCGGCGATTTTTTTTTTTTTTTTTGGCAAGAATATTTTATAGGTAGTGTGAACTTCCTATTGCATCATGTCAGAACCACATAATTTCTTGCTATCTTTTTTTTCATAACATAAGACTAATCAGTGGGTTCAGTTGCTGTCAACCTGATCTATCCATTATAAAATTCCTTTCAGCTTTTTTTCCCTCCACTAGCTTTCCATTTCATGGTTTTGCAGCCATTTACTATCATTGACTAAATCTATTATTTCATTAGAGGTTGTTGGATTCGTTTTTAAGTTGTTTATGTTCCCCAAATTTTTATTTAGGAAAATTTTAAACCTACAGAATTATTCATTGTTTCAATGAACACCTATATACTCTGCCACAGGTGTGCTACTTTGTAACTATTTCCCACGTTTGCTCTATTTCTCCCTTTCTCTTTCTGAAACATTTGTGTTAGTTGCTGACGTGAGGAGGTTTCACCCCTAAATTCTTCAGCATTTGTCTTTTAAGAACAAAGACATTCTTCTATACTGCACAGTGCAATGATCACTTTCAGGAAATGTAACAGTTATCTGATACAGAGACCATATTCAAAACCCTTCAATTATCGCAATAATGTCCTTTATAGCAACCCTCCACCCCATTCCAAGACCTTGCATTGCATTGATTTATTTTGTCTCTTGAATCTCCTTTGTTCTGAAATAGTTCTTCAGCTTTTTTTTTTTTTTTTTTTTGTCTTTCATGAACTTGGTAGTTTTGGAAAATCCAGGCAGAATGTCCTGCAGGTTAGCTTTGTCTGATGTTTCCTCATGATTAAGTTCAGGCTAAATATTCTGGGCTGGGATACACATCAGTGACATGTCCTTCTCAGCACATCACATCAGGACACATGACATCAGTTTCTCCCATTATTGGCGGTGATAAGTTTGATCATTTTTAAGGTGGTATCCAGATGTATCCATTTTAAAGGCACTTTTTCCCCTTTATAATTAATACACAATCTGTGGGGGAAACTTTGACACTGTGAATATCCTGTTCTCTGAGCAGCCTTCATCCAGTGACTTTAGCATCCACTGATAACATTGCCTGGATCAATTACGACTACGGTGGTTACAAAATGGTGTATTTTCTAACTCTGTAATTACTTCTACCATTATTAGTTGGCAGTTTTCTGTAGCGGTCTTTATTTTTAGCAAGAGAGACTATTCCTATATAGAATGTCTTGATAAGAATGGGGAGGCCATGCTGGTTAGGACTAGGCAGGGCTGTGGTCCCTGGGGATACCATGCCCATCCAAGCAGTGCCACCAAACAGCAGCCTAAGTATACCTGTGACCCCAGGGACACCTCCTCACAGGGCCAGGTAGCCCTATGGTCTATAAGGGACTCCACCCCATATAAACAGATACAGAAATGGTTTCCTGGAAAACTACCTGCAGGATCAGATATATCCATGGTCTCTGAGGAATACCACCCACAGGAACAGGTAAACCCATGGCACATGGAGAATACAGAAAGAATGCAGGATCAGATGCACTGAAAGTCCACAAGGAACACCACCCTACAGGATCAAGTACGGCCAGTGTCTTCCCAGAGCCCTGTCCTCTGGATGCAGCTCCAGAATACAAAATACTTATTCTGAATTCTTGCCCTGATTCCCTAGATGGTTCTCGCAACACAATTTTGATCCTAGAGTAGTTTACCAGTTGCCTGGTCCAACATTGTTAATGGGACCATTTGGTGTAGCTCCTTCCTCTCGTCTAGTAGAAGTCCCAGATACCTACTAGGCAAGGAAAGCCAAGGTCAGAGCTTTCCAGCTACTCATCTGGGATCAGATAAGACAGTCCTACCCAATGAATGACAGGCAGGTTCAGTATCTGCTCTACCTGTTCTATCAGCTGAGCTACCACCATTATTAGAGCCCTTGGGCCACCAGGAACCAGAGCTTCTGAATTTGCAGGTGTATGAACTGCTAGGAGAAGACCCTTTCTACTGAAGGTATTTCTTCCTTAACTAAGCCGTGTTAATAAAGCAATAAATGACAGAAAGTAACCAGAGCTAGCTTAAGCATAAAGGGTTATATGCTGAGAATATCCAAGCGTATCTCACACATTTGGGCTTGAAAAAGACAGAAGCCATGGCAGCTCTCCATCTCTAGAAGCCAAAGCCCATTGGCCGTCTCCTTCATGATGCTTTTATTTTATTTATTTTATTTTACTTTTTTGAGACAGAGTCTCGCTCTGTCACGTAGGCTGGATGCAGTGGTGCAATCTCGGCTCATTGCAACCTCTGCCTCCTGCCTCCTGGGTTGAAAGGATTCTCCTGCCTCAGCCTCCCAAGTAGCTGGGATTACAGGCATGTGCCACCACACCCGGCTAATTTTTGTAT
The DNA here is from genome assembly GCF_000001405.40 of Homo sapiens. Classification (NCBI taxonomy): domain Eukaryota; kingdom Metazoa; phylum Chordata; class Mammalia; order Primates; family Hominidae; genus Homo; species Homo sapiens. The sequence continues at coordinate 100,608,720 of NC_000010.11, read as the reverse complement.
TTTTAGTAGAGACGGGGTTTCACCATGTTGGCCAGATTGGTCTTGAACTCCTGACCGCAAGTGATCCCACCGCCTTGGCCTCCCAAAGTGCTGGGATTACAGGTGTGAGCCACTGCAACCAGCCCATGATGCTATTAATGTGACTCTGTTGCAAGCATCCCAGTCTCCTGTTCCATCAGTTCAAATTCCCAACTCCCAAGAGCAGAAACCTGATTAGCTCACTTTGTGTGAGGCCTTGCTTCAGTCAGCTGTGACCAAATGTAGCTCCAGGAAATCCACCCCTGTGGGTAGAGAGAGTAGCTCCCAAAGATGCCGGACAGATACCCCAAGAGGTGCATGTCACAGAAATAAACTCACAAACTTTCCAAAGGATGGGAAGATAAAAACTCTTGAGAAGAACAACTCCATCATAAAGGGCAAGACCTTGGCCCCAGAGCATGTCGGCTGGAGTTGAAGGATGGGACCAAGAAGGCCATATGCCAAGTCCCATGGATCAATCACAGTGTAATAGGTCTGGAGGTACAATAATATCCAAGGGGAGGTGTGTCCAGAAGGTACAATTCTGAGTATCTGTAGATGTCTGGTTAGGTTGAGGCTGGAACACCACATTCTGATCCAACTTCAGAAGTGAAGACTTTTATGGATGGTAAGCCTCACCCAGGTTCCTACCACCTTGTTTTCCGGCCACTTGATCTACTTAAAGGAAATATACCAAACTCTCCATTTTGATTCCAAATCCCAGAGTCCCTTAGGTCCCTCCCTCTCACTGAAGTGAGTTTGAGAGAAACACCCAGGACACATCCATGCTGTTGGATATTTTTGAGGCCCATGGAGGATTCAGTTCTTTCCCAACCCAGTTTGTCACCCTTGCCCACTACTGGGGAACTCTAGTTAGTGTTTTTTTTCTTCTGATCCCTACACTTTGCTAAGTTCAAATACTAAAAGTTTACAATAAACACGTGCCTAAATTGTACAACAATTATAAGCTGTACATGATAAGTATAGCATGTTTATTTCCAGCAATGCCTTGTCTTGGTGTTCACAACATGGGCTGAGCACACCTTATCTAGGCAGGCACAAGTCAATCCAGATGCAGCAGAGCAGGAAGCTGTCCCTCAGCTCCCCAGCCATAGCAGAACAGCCTGCACTGGCTGGATTCAAGCTCTGGCAGGATCTCTCCAGTATGCTGATCTGTAAATCTCCTTGTTAGATTACTCCTTTTATCAATAAGTAATGTCCTGCTTTATCCCTGTTAATGCCTTTGCTCTTAAATTCTTGTCTGACATCAACATTGCTAGCCTAGCTTCCCTTTGGTTAATATTTGCCTAGCATATCTTGTTCTATATCTTCATTTTCAACCTTTCTGTAGCTTTAGGTTTTATGCAAGTCCTTTGCGAATCGCCTTGACCTGGATTTTTTTTTTTTTAAATCTGATTTGAAAGTCTCTTTAAATGGGCAAGTTTTATATGTCTATATTTATTGTGATTCATGCATTTGGACTTACTTCTGTCATCTTATTGTATGTTTTATATTTACTATGCTTTTTCTTTTGCTTTTCTTCTTTTCCCTCTTTGTTTTTCCCTCTTCCATGCTTTATACAGTGTTGATCAAGTTTTCTTTATTCTCTCTGTTCTTAATTTTCTTGTCTACTAGTATGGAAGTTAAATACTCTATTTCTTGAGAAATAAGAGTTACCTTTAACTTTTTTTTTAGATGGAGTCTTGCTCTGCCGCCAGGCTGGAGTGCAGTGGCGTGATCTCGGCTTACTGCAACCTCTGCCTCCTGGGTTCAAGCAATTCTCCTGCCTCAGCCTCCCAAGTAGCTGGGACTACAGGCGTGTGCCACCACACCCAGCTAATTGTTTTGTATTTTTAGCAGAGACAGGGTTTCACCATGTTGCTCAGGACAGTCTCGATCTCTTGACCTCATGATCCACCTGCCTTGGCCTCCCAAAGTGCTGGGATTACAGGCATGAGCCACTGCGCCTGGCCACCTTTAACTTTTAAAAAATATGTAAATTTAACTTAATAAAGACTAAGTAATTAGTAAAAAAGACTAGTTTTTACTTAATAAAGTCAATCTATATTTCTGTTCTTTTAAATAGTAGAAGGATCTTAGAATGTAAGCCAACTCTTTTCATCTTTCATGTTATTTATTAGTATTTTAGTCCCATTGTATTTTTATACTTTCAAAATAGTCATTATTATTAGATTTACATACATATCTACCAATTGCTTTGCATACCACTGCTTCTAATAACCCAAATATTCCTTTTGTGTTGATTTCCTTCTTGCTGAAGTACATCTTTTAGAAATTCTCTTAGCAAGAATCTGTGAATAACAAACTCATTTGTATCTGAAATAGTCTTTTTTTTCAACTTTTCTATTGAATAATAATTATATGGGTATAGAACTGTAAGCTGATAGTTATTTTTCTTCAGCATTTTGAGACTATAATTGTATATCTTCTGGTTTCTATTGTTCCTAATGAGAAGCCTGCTGTCTGTTTAGTTGTCATTATCCTGATAGCTTTTAAGTCTTTTGTTTTTGATGTTCTGCAGTCTCACTACAATGTGTCTAGGTATTAACCTATTTTTACTTATTCTGCTCAGATATCCAGTTATGTTCCTTCTTACTGATAATTCATTTCTGCATTCAATGCTGGAAAATTCTTCACCATTATATCTTCATATGCTTCTTTCTCTGTTCTCTTTGTCTGGATTTTCTAATATCTCCATTGGACTTCCTTATTTTAGGTCTTTTAATTTCATGTTTTTTAACTTCTCCTTCATATTTGCCATGACTTTAACTCTCTGCATTTTATTTTGGGCACTTTCCAATATGTCTTCCAATTCATTAATTCTCTCTCCAGCAGTGTTGTCAACTTTTTAACCCTTTCGTTGAGTTGTTTTGATTTAATTATTGCTTTATTTCTAGAAATTATATTTGGCTCTTTTCAACTCTGCTTCCCCCTCTCCCCATTATATTTTATTCTTGCCTTTTGGATTTTATTTTTTCCCTCATTTTTGGAGCATTTTAAACATATTTATTTTAAGGTCTTTTTTATGTTTTTTAAAATCTATACAATTATTTGAATTTTCCAATGTATTGTTTTTGCTGACTCTCTTTTCTTTTCTTCCTTCCTTCCTTTCTCTCTTTCTCTCTCTTTGTCCTTCCTTCCTTCCATCTGTCCTTCCTTCCTTCCATCCGTCCATCCTTCCTTCCTTCCTTTCTTCTGTCCTTCCTTCCTTTCTTGCTTTTTTTTTTGTTTGTTTGTTTCCTTGAAACAGGGTCTCACTCTGTTGCCCAGGCTGGAGTGCAGTGGGGCAATCATGGTTCACTATAGCCTTAACCTCCCCTGGCTCAAGTGATCCTGCCACCTCAGCCTCCCGAGTAGCTAGGACCACAGGCATGTGCCACTACGCCTGGCTAATTTTTAAATGATTTGTAGAGAGAGGGACTCACCATGTTGCCCAGGCTGGTCTTGAACTCCTGGGCTCAAGCAATCCTCCCACCTCAGCCTCACAAAGCACTGGGATTACAGGTGTGAGCCACTGTGCCTAGCCAACTCTCTTTCTTATAGTGGCTTATTTCTTCTTGTTTGTAGTGTTTATGAACTCATCTCCAGCAGGACTTGATTTCTGTGGGACACTTGCATGCCCTTAGCTATGGAGGAGCCATTATAATGAGCAGTTTGCCTCTGCTGAGACCTCAAGGGTTCACAACTAAATAAACTGGTGATCAATAAATAAACTGGTCACCATTTCTGGACCAGTTTATTTATTATTTTCTTGAATTAAGGTTCCCACAGCTTGTATGTAGTGCATACTTGCACTCTATACCCATGTTTGTCACAGGCTTGGGGTTGTAATTTCTCAAAGAAGACTCTTTTTTCACCCTTAGACCCAGAAAGATGACAAGCTACTCTACTGAATCCACATTTGTGGGTTAAGTTTGCTGATTCCTGTTACACGGATAGGCAATACCCATGGCTCCTAAGTTAATGAAGGGAGCTCAGTTCCAGCTCCCTAACATACAGAGGCCTGGGGACTGCTCTTCTGTCTTCATCACTGTTCAAGTCTAGCTCTTATGACATGTTATTGACTCTAAGACCTTTCTGAGCTCCCCTCGAGAACATTGGCTTTGAGTCTTCTTTTTTTTTTTTTTTTTTTTGAGACAGGGTCTCACTCTGTCACCAGGCTAGAGTGCAGTGGCGAGATCTTGGCTCACTGCAACCTCCACCTCCCAGATTCAAGCGATTCTCCTGCCTCAGCCTCTCGAGTAGCTGAGACTACAGGTGCACGCCACCCTGCCCAGCTAATTTTTGTATTGTTATTAGAGACAGGGTTTCACCATGTTGGCCAGGATGGTCTCTATCTCTTGACCTCGTGATCTGCTCACCTCAGCCTCCCAAAGTGCTGGGATTACAGACGTGAGCCACTGCGCCCTGCCAGCTTTGAGTCTTCTTTTCATTTGTGGCACTTAGGGACTTTCATTTATTGCTTTAAATGTGGTTGTATACTGTTCAATTGTTATTTTTATATATTTTTACTGTATCATATATAATTGCTGTAAAGTTTATATTTCTAGAGGGTGATGTCATATCACATCAATTCAGCCTGCCACATCGCCTGAAATCTCATATTTTTGTGTATCGATCCAGTCCATCTCTCCCACTACATTATAATTCTTTTAAGGTTTTAAGGACGAAGTATTTTCTATTCTTTTTTTTTTTTTTTTTTGAGATGGAGTCTCGCTCTGTTGCCCAGGCTGGAGTGCAGTGGCACGATATCGGCTCACTGCAAGCTCCGCCTACTGGGTTCACGCCATTCTCCTGCCTCAGCCTCCCGAGTAGCTGGGACTACAGGCGCCTGCCACCATGCCCGGCTGATTTTTTGTATTTTTAGTAGAGATGGGGTTTCACCGTGTTAGCCAGGATGGTCTCGATCTCCTGACCTCGTGATCCGCCTGCCTTGGCCTCCCAGAGTGCTGGGATTACAGGCGTGAGCCACCGCACCCGGCCTCTATTCGTTTTTGAGACAGAGTCTTGCTCTATTGCCCAGGCTGGAGTACAGTGGAGTGATCTCAACTCACTGCAACCTCTGCCTTCTGAGTTCAAGTAATTCTCATACTTCAGCCTCCTAAGTAGCTGGGAGTACAGGCACACGCCACCATGCCCTGCTAACTTTTTTTTGTATTTTTAGTAGAGACAGGGTTTCACCATGTTGGCCAGGCTGGTCTCGAACTCCTGGCCTCAAGTGATCCACCTGCCTCAGCCTCCCAATGTGCTGGGATTACAGACATGAGTCACTGTGTCCAGCCTTCTATTCACATTTTTATTCCACTCAAGTACCTAGCACAGTTGTCTGAACTGAGTAGGTCCTCAGTAAATGTTGCTATTCTTCATATTGCTGTTATTTTTTACTATTTCCAATCTCAATGTTTAGGAATGACAGAAAACCAGATTCTGTATCTGCTATGAGCATTTAAAGTACACAGTCAGGTTGCTCAGCTTTTGGCACTGCTCATCTGAATTTCATTATTCATGGACAACATCTTCCTCAATCACCTTCAAGGACAAGTTGTCATCTATTAGACCAATGTTTCTCAAAATACATGTTGCAATCCATTAGCATATCATGAAATCAACTTAATGAAATAGAATAAAATAGAAAATAAAAGACCAGAATGCATCACATATGTTAAGTATAGGTACTGCCTAATAAAACTTTTGTTTCAGGTGTGTGTGTGTATGTGTATATATGCTAGGTCACCATGCAGAATGTATTTTGGGCTGTGGGTCAGAGTAAAAATATTTGACAGTCATTAATTAGACCATAGTCCACTTTCCCCTGAGACCCCATTGAACCTACCATCCATTTCTAGCTGGCCCATCTTCAAGCAAAGATTACTTGCAAAGCCAGGAAAACTTAAGATATGTCTTTACCTTAAGTTTGCAAAATTCTTAGAGTACATCAAGCCCCAAAGCAGATGGAGGATCCCACAAAGGTCCACACTGCCCTGGATTGGAAGCCCTACAAGTAGTCAAGGATATTCACTGAGTTCTGTGATTCACAAATACTCCTTGTGCTCCAGGCTCCCATTCTTCGCCTTCTTCAGCTCCCTGGACAGGCCTTTCAGCTGATGTTCAGCAGGTCTTTGAGACCCTTAAATGCCGCTTCCTCAGGGTCTTGACCCCTAGACAGCCCTTCGACTGTGGCTCTCAAGGCTGCCATATAATAATCCACCTGGGAGGACACTGGGCAATTGCTCCCAGGAATGTAGCTCCCAGAGAAGTCACCACCTGCAGAAGTCCCCTGTACGGTCTGGAAGGTGGAAGTGTCAGCTGTAAAAGTGTCATTCGGAGCATCAGCATTGTTATCAAGAAGGACCCCAGCACTTGTTCCCCCTCTGTACCATCTTCAATGTCTGCAAATCACACAGGGACTCAACGCCTTTCATATACAATAAACTCTGTTATTAAGGATTTGAGCCTCATTTAACTCCCATATTCGGTATATCCCAAGGTTATCCCAAAATAAAAGGAAGCCTATTATCTCCCTTTTAAAAAAAAATCAATTATACAGATATTTGTTGAGCAACTACTATGTGTCAGATACTTTCACATACATGAACTAATTCAATCATAAGAGCAACTCTATGAAGTTAGTATGATTAGCCCATTTTACAAATAAGGAGTGAGAGGGTCAAAGGGGTTAGTCGAGTAACATGCTAGAAGCCACCTAGCTGGTTAGTGGTGGCCAGGATGGGATTTGAACTTGTTTGGTAGACTCTTGGCTTGAGCACTTAACTATGATCCCATACAGCCCTTCAATAAAGAGGCCTCCTTTCAATAAAGAGGCCTCCCTGCCAGTAAGGACATAGACCTCAGGGCCACCTCATGCAGAGCCAGTGCTATCTCTGCATGACTGGCCTAAAAAGTGAAATAAAGGCCAGACACCGTGGCTCACACCTGTAATCCCAGCACTTTGGGAGGCCGAGGTAGGCGGATCACTTGAGGTCAGGAGTTCAAGACCAGCCTGGCCAACATGGTTGGCCTGTCTCTACTAAAAATACAAAAATTAGCCAGGTGTGGTGGCAGGCACCTGTAATCCCAGCTACTCAGGAGGCTGAGTCAGGAGAATCGCTTGAACCCAGGAGGTGGAGGTTGCAGTGAGCAGAGATCACACCATTGCACCCCAGCCTCAGTGACAGAGCTAAACTCCATCTCAAAAAAAAAGAAAAGAAATTTGATTCCCAATGAAGTAGTCTTGCAGGGTGGGACCTAATGGGAGATGTTTGGGTCATGGGTACCACCGTCATGAATGAATTTAATGCTGTTATAGCAGGACTGGGTTTGTCATAAAAAGCTGAGTTCAGCCCCCTGTTCTCTCTCAACCTCTCTTTGCCCTTCTCCCATGAGGTGAGTAGCAAGAAGGTCCTTGCAAGATGCTAACCCCTCAGTCTTGGACTTCCTAGACTCCAGAATTGCAAGCCAATAAATTTCTGTTTATTATGGATTACCCAGTCTGTGGTATTCTGCTATAGCAGCAGAAAATGAACTAAGACAAAGCTTGGTCCATATAATGTGCTATGGTCTAAACGTGTGTGTCCCCAGTGCAATGGTATTAAGAATGGGGCCTTTAGAAGATGATTACCTCATGAATAGGATTGGTTTCCTTACAAAAGAGGTTGAGGGGAGCTGCCCTGTCCCTTCTGCCATGTGAGAATACCTCAAGAAGTCACCATCTTTGAAGCAAAAAGCAAGTTCTCACCAAACACCAAATCTGCTGGCACCTTGATCTTGGACTCCTCAGCCTCCAGAACTGCGAGTAATGAATTCCCATTGTTTTTAAATTACCCAGGCTAAGGTATTTTGTTGTAGCAGTCCAGAAGAACTAAGATGGGATGTAAATAGGTATGAGAAAAGCGTTCTGTGGTCACATAATCTGGGAAACAGAAGCCTAAACAGATGTAAACAGGATTTTAACTTTTATAAACCGCAGGACTTCTTAGAGCAATGCCTGGGTCCCTGGTTGGTGACAATGCAAAGCAGCCTAGCCAGGATGCACACAGTGGAAGAAAAAAACCTTCCTTACCTTAAACTGCTGAGAATGGGGGTTGTGACAGCCACATAACTCAGTCTACTCCGACGTATGTATCATTTATATGGAGTATTTTCGCTGTTGGAAAATCTATAGAAATAGGAAGCCATAAGGTTTCTAGGACCCCGTGAAGAACACATCCATTAGGAGAACTGAAGAGGTGGGTGGCTGGGTGAGCTGCACTTGTTCATTCATGACAGTCAGGGGATATGAGTCATTCTGCTCTACACATGACCAGGGAGACAGAACTATATATAGCAGACAAAATATGATGGGTAGTAACTTAGACTTTCAAATGAGAAGAGGTTTAATCATTGATTAATTAATACATTAAATAAACATTTATTGAGCACCTACTACATGATAAACCCTATTAGGTACTGGGAACACACTGGTGAACAAGGGTTCATACATAGGTTTTCAGGGCTCACAGTCCAGAGTGGGGAGGCATACAAGTAATGAGTTAATTTCAGTCTAGAGTTTTAAGAGCTAAAAGGCACCCAACACAGAGAAAAGGCACTCAACACAAGTGAGGGATTGGGGGAGCTTCCTAGAAGAGGTGACATCTGAGCTGTGATCCAGAGGATAGTTAAAAGTAGCCCGGGGCCATGCGCGGTGGTTCACGCCTGTAATCTCGGCACTTTGGGAGGCCAAGGCGGGTGGATCACCTGAGGTCAGGAGTTTGAGACCAGCCTGGTCAACATGGCGAAACCCCGTCTCTACTAAAAATACAAAAATTAGCCGGGTGTGGTGGTGCATGCCTGTAGTCCCAGCTACTCGGGAGGCTGAGGCAGGAGAATCGCTTCAACCCGGGAGGCGGAGGTTGCAGTGAGCCAAGACCATGCCGCTGCACTCCAGCGTGGGCGACAGAGCAAGACTTTGTCTCAAAAAAAAAAAAAAAAAAAAGTAGCCTGGTTAAGAAAAGGTAAGAAGGAAGGGTATTTTGAGCAAAAGGAACAACTTTCTGTAGCTGAAGAATCTGTTCCAGACCACAGAAGGGATCCAGCAGGAGACTGAGAGCTCCAGGGAGCGCAGGGTTATCTGCAGGGCACAAGGCAGAGGCCAGAGCAGACACAAATATCAGCTGGGGCCTGAAGTCAAGCTCTCCCAGAAAACTCACTTGGAACTCTGGACAGGAGGTGTGCTTCGGGTGACAGGATATAACAGGGCAGCGAGAAATGGCTTCAGGGTGAGAGCAGGGCCTCTTCTTCTAAGGATAAAGAGTGAACCAGGAGGCTAAGCCTGCTGATACCTTGTCTCTGCTTCCTCACCAGGAGACACAGGCTCGGGGGCTTGGCAGCTCTGAGGTGGAGGGGTGCGCAGCTGCCCGGAGGACAGATACACGGAGGTGGGGGTGGCATACAGCTAAGAAGGAGGTCTGGGGAAAAAGAACAGGAGCTCCCCAAGCCCAGCCATGGTGCCAGCCCGAATCTGCCATGCTTGATTCGCTCAGGGTTGAGGTGAGAGATTGAAATGGAAGGCTGGCCCATAAGCCTTGGCAATCAAGCTGGTTGGTGATTCAGCTGTTAGTATGTTGGGGTTATGAGTCCAGGCACTGAAAGTGTAGCTTTGTCGTTCTCCTTTAATTTTGTAATTAAGATTAAAAAATTCCAACCAGATTCAGTTGAAATAAAAGAAGCTAGGACTGAACTAAAGGGAGGCCACTGGTGATTGTAACCAGATGTCTGGAATCGATATAGAAGACAAGGACCGACATGTCCCAGCAGAGTGTAAGCTTCCCCAAACACCCCAAACCCCTCTAGGAATATCCTCTCACCTCAGGAAACTGCTAAGAATGAGCCAGTTGGTTTTCGAGGAACACTTTTCTGACGGTAGGAAAATGTTTTCCAACATCCAAGCCCTTACCTATCCTCTGCATACTTGCTTGTGTTGGTTGTTCATTGACAAAATAAATATTGTAAACAATATAGTGTAGCACACAAAAGCATAGATTTTGGAATCAGCCAGAAGAAACTTGCCTCTACCATCTAGTAGCTATGAGACCTTGGGAAAGTTATGGAACTTCATTAAGCTTCAGTTTCCTTATCTATAAAATAGGATGATCCTACTCTCTTCAGGTAATGATTAATTTAGATATATATAGAAGCCAGCCTGGGCAACATGGCAAAACCTAGTCTCTACAAAAAAATACAAAAAAAAAAAAATTAGCCAGGCTGGTAGTATGTACCTGTATTCCCAGCTACCCAGGAGGCTAAGGTGGGAGGATCACTTGAGTCTGGGAGGTCAAAGGTACAGTGAGCTGTGATAACAACACTGCATTCCAGCCTGGGCAACAGAATGAGACCTAGTCTCAAAAAAAAAAAAAAAAGCCAGATTTGTGGCTCACATCACATCTGTAATCTCAGCACTTTGGGAGGGCAAGGCAGGTGGATTGCTTGAGCCCAGGACTTCAAAACCAGCCTGGGCAACAGAGTGAGACTCCATCTCAAAAGCAAACAAACAAACAAACAAACAAAAACAAAACAAAAACAGCCTGGGCAATATGGTGAGACCCCATCTCTACAAAAAATACAAAAATTAGCTGAGCATGGTGGTGCATGCCTATAGTCCTAGCTACTCAGGAGGCTGAGGTAGGAGGATTGTTTGAGCCCAGGAGGTCAAGGCTGCAGTGAGCCAAGATTGCACCACCGCACTCCAGCCTAGGTGAGAAAGTGAGACCCCATCTCTCTTTTTTTTTTATTTAAAGATACATATAGAAGCATTTAGTATGGTGCCTGGCACAGACAAAGCACTCAATAAGTTTTAGTTATTATTATTGATATTATTAAAATAGAACTTTTAAAACAACCTGCACATACCTGGCTCACTGGCTTAAGTGACACCATCAGTCCTCTGTTACACATACTGACTTAACACTTGTGGCTTATCAAACGTTCATGGGCTGGGCCGCCGTGCGCTTGTGCTCCCCCATTTGGTTGAATTGCATGGGTACTGAGAGTCATTTTTTTTTTTTGA